>NC_000004.12:1074518-1429358 GCF_000001405.40 Homo sapiens
CATGGTCTCTCTACCAGCACAGGAGTGCCCTGCTCCAGGGACTCTCTCTGCCACACCCTTGGCCCTACCCTGCCAGTCCTCCACTCCTACTCACTGGCAAGACTCTAACCTTGGAAGGACGGACCCCCCTGCTTGGCATGGCCCTCTGAGCTGCCTGCAGGCCAGCTTTCTCATGGAGCTGTCCACTAAGCACATTCCCCATCCACCTGAAGCTCATGACCTCACTCCTACCCCCAAGAAGACAGAATCTTGTGAAATCAGGAGCTTTTGTCTCTGTACCTTCAGCCTCTGCCTGCCATCCTGTGAACACCAGACATATTCCTGCCTCATCAGGACAGGCTCCAGGTACTTCCTTTCACCTGCCTGGAGTGCTGCTATGCCATCATTTCTGGATCCTTCCATCCGCTAGGATGTCTTCAATATCAAGTTCATCCTAAGAATCCCCTTGACATCACCGTCCCTTCGAACTACATTCCATTTGCTGCTCCATTTAGAGAAAATCTCCGCAGAGCGTTCAAGTGCTGGTGTCTTTCCCCGTCCTGGTGCTGTCTGACAGCTGTGAGTTACAGAAGACAGTGGTGCAAACCTTTCTTGTAAATGGGCCATGGCAGACTTGGCTGGGCAAGACACTGGTTCCTGCCACATGGGAGGGGCTGTGTACGCATCGGTGTGTTCACATCTGCATTTGGCTGCCTACACGCATGTTTGCTCTTTGGATTCTCCTTTAAACCAGTTTTCACATTTAACTGGTGTATTAGGCCATTCTTGCACTGCGATAAATACCAGAGACTGTGTAATTCATAAAGAAAAGAGGTTTAACTGGCTCATGCTTCTGAGGGCCGTACAGGAAGCATGGCAACAGCTGCTTCTGGGGAGGCCTTGGGAGGCTACAATCAGGGTGGGAGGCCAAGGGGGAGCAGGCGCGTTGCAGGGCGAGCAGGCAAGAGACTGGGGGGTGGTGCCATGTACTTTTAACCAGCCAGATCTCGTGAGAACTCACCCACCATGGCAAAGACAGCACCAGCCACCAGGGATCTGCCCCCATAACCCAAACTTCTGCTACCAGGCCCCACCTCGGGCACTGGGGATTATAATTCCACATGAGATTCGGGCAGGGACAAATATCTAAACTATATCAGCTGGTTTCCCTCATTAACTCATAACCTTTTGTTTTTGAGACAAGGTTTCACTGTCGTCCAGGCTGGAGTGCAGTGGGGCAGTCACTCACCTCACTGCAGCCTCAACCTCCTGGTGGTGATCCTCCCACCTCAGCTTCTCAGTAGCTGGGACTACAGGTGTGCACCACCATGCCCAGCTAATTTTTTGTAGAGATGGGGTCTTGCCATGTCACCCAGGCTGGTCTCAAACTCTTGGGCTCAAGGGATCTGCCTGACTCAGCTCCCAAAGTGTTAGGATTACAGGCGTGAGGTACTGTGTCTGGCCACCTCATAAGTTGAAGGAAGTGTGTGAATGGTATTCATTTTGTATTTGTGAGTCATGATTTTACCTTTTCAAAAAGATATGTTAATCCTGGTCAATTTTACATAATAGAAAATGCCATGCTCATTTAAGGTTAACAGCCTTAACTTAGAAATTATCCCGCCAAGCCAGACACCTTAGTCAACACTTCCATCTGCATGTGAAGGCAGACTCTCCCTTGCCTTCCCGGGCACCTTGTCCAGGAGGGTGGGGGCCTTAGGCTCTGCTTCTCCTCCTCCCCAGTGCCAGCAGCCTGAGGTCCCCAGGCCTGGAGCAGCAAGGGTGGAGGAGGAAGGAAAAGAACCAATCCCCTCTGGGCGGGCCCAGCTGTGCCCCAGGCGCTGTCATGGGATGGCGCTGGCTTTGCTTCTCCGAGTCCACCCAATGAGAGACCCTTGCACTGTGGCCCTCCCTCTGACGAGCCTTTGGGGCAGGAACCCCACCAAGAGCACCCCCGATAATGCTCTTTCCCATGCAGCCCTGAACAGTGTGGGAGGTTCACCTCGAGAGAGGCCTGCACACTGCTCTCTGCAGGCCAGAGAGTGAGACCTCAGTCTGCACAGGCAACAGGTGGTGTCCCAGAACCTCTGCTCAGGCTGAGGGTTACCAGGAGCACCTCTCACTCTAGGCCATCATGTGGGGCAGGGAGGACGGGAGCTCTTTCCAAAGGAACTGCTACACACATCCACTCCAGGGTGACAAGGCGTTTCGGGAGGTGAAAAGTTGGTTTTAGACACTTTCCTTGAAATTTGCATTCTGGTGTGGCACAGGGGTTGGCAAACTATGGCCTGCAGCCTGTTTTTGTTAATGAAGTTTTATTAGAACACAGTCATGGTCATGCCTATTAGCTTCCATACTTTCTATGGTTGCTTTTGCAATTCCATGACAGAGTTGAGTAGCTGTGGACTGTCTGGTCTGCAAAGTCCAAATGTTTTACTATCTGGCCCTTTACAAAAATGTGTGCTGGCCAGGCTGTAATCCCAGCACTTTGGGACGCTGAGGTGGGCAGATCACAAGGTCAGGAGTTCGAGACCAGCCTGACCAATATGGTGAAACCAGGTCTCTACTAAAAATACAAAAATTAGCCAGGCATGGTGGTGCGTGCCTGTAGTCCCAGCTACTCGGGAGGCTGAGGCAGGAGAATTCCTTGAACCCGGGAGGCGGAGGTTGCAGTGAGCCGAGATCTCGCCACTGCACTCCAGCCTATAGGCAATAGAGTGAGACTCTGTCTCAAACAAACAAACAAACAAAAAACAAAAAGCAAAAGACAGAAAATGCCCATGTCTGGTCTTTGCCCCTCACTTAGGAACTTTGATTCATTACATTCTGGTTCCTCAGCAATAATTTCCAACAGTAGCACCTAGTGAAGTGTCAATCAATTTAGCCTGCCAGTCTTTTCTTTCTTTTTTCTTTTTTTTAGAGACAGGGTCTCACTATGTTGCCCAGGCTGGTCTTAAACTCCTGGGCTCAAGTGATCCACCTGCCTTGGCCTCCCAAAGTGCTGAAGTTATAGGCGTGAGCCCGACATGCCTGCTGCCTGCCAGTCTTGAGTATTCTCTATCCTCCTCAATTACTCAGATCCTAAGGAAAGGTAGAAAGCTGACCTGACAGAACAAAGTTCTTCCTCCTTAAGCTGTGGGGACTTGGAGGCTGTGAGTTCATCCGTGAAACAAGGCCCTAGTGCAGCAAGGGACAGCTGGAAGCAGGTGTCTGGCCTTGGGGGAGCCAAAGCAGGTGGTGGGGACCTACAGGGACCCAGGGGAGGGCTCCATAAGAGCTTCCAGCAGGGCCTGAGGGGGCAGGTGGGGTCCTCGATGTGGGCCAGTTGCCTAGGGAGGAGGTGCACCCATAAGGAAGCGTGTCCCTCTGGAAGCACAGCTCCCGTGTTGCCGGTGGGTGTGGGCGTGGCCATGAGGATGGCAGAGGTGAGCTGGGCAGGGAGAGGATGCGTGTGCTTGACCCAACTGCCAAGGAACTGGCGTTTCTCTTTCACGGAAGCTGTGACGGCTCTTCGTTCCCTACTGGATCCAGTTCTGCCTTCTTATTCTGACTCCGGGTCCCTCCATCATCCGGCTCCGGGTGTGATTACCCATGCCACAGGGCTGCTACACGACTGAGTTCATATCTATAAAGGGCTCGGAACAGTGCTTGCCAATGAGCCACACTGTGTCGCACAACCCGAAGCAACACATAAATCAAATAAGCCAATAACTGGCACTGTGGAACACAGGCATTCACCGCCGCCAGAACACACTCAGTTTTCCTGCCTTTGCTCCTCGGCCCCCTCCTGCCCCACAGGCTTCTCAAGTCCTGATCCCTCCTATGGGGTGCAGCTCACTCTGCCCTGAGTCCTTCCCAAACTGCCTCCTCTCTCCCGTTTCCGAGCTGCCTGGTGTGTGGCCGATGTGGTACATCTGGCGCTGAGTTCTGCCCACCAGGACAGACGACGGGAGAGCCGGGCCTGGACTCTCCCTGAGTTCCGGGCAGGTTTCCTCTGGTCTTGCTTCTCTCCAGCTTGAAGTTGTTGCTTCCTGTTTCCCAGAGTCCTTGGCTTTTCTGACCCATTTCTTTTCCTGGGCTGACAAAGTTTACTACTGTCTTCTTCAGCACTGTTTGTCATTTCATGAGACAGCAAGTGAAGGCAGTTAAAGCCCAGGGCCACCAACTTTGCTGCCCTTTCTCCTTGACACCAACAGAGACTGACAGGGACCAGCACGGGACCAACATGGGACCAGCAGAGGATCAACGCAGGATCAACACAGAACCAACATAGGACCAATACAGGGTCAACACAGGACCGACATGGGACCAACACAGGGTCAACACAGGACCAACACGGGACCAACACAGGACCAACATAGGACCAACACAGGGTCAACACAGGACCGACATGGGACCAACACAGGGTCAACACAGGACCAACACGGGACCAACACAGGGTCAACACAGGACCAACACAGGACCAACATAGGACCAACACAGGGTCAACACAGGACCAACATAGGACCAACACAGGGTCAACACAGGACCAACATGGGACCAACATAGAGTCAACACAGGACCAACATGGGACCAACACAGGGTCAACACAGGACCAACATAGGACCAACACAGGGTCAACACAGGACCAACATAGGACCAACACAGGGTCAACACAGGACCAACATAGGACCAACACAGGGTCAACACAAGACCAACATGGGACCAACATAGAGTCAACACAGGACCAACATGGGACCAACACAGGGTCAACACAGGACCAACATGGGACCAACACAGGGTCAACACAAGACCAACATGGGACCAACATAGATTCAACACAGGACCAACATGGGACCTGTACGGGAACAACACAGGAACAACACAGAACCTGCATGGGACCCTGCCAACACCTCGTCCGCATTTGCTTTTGTTTCTCCAGATGCAACTGCAGTCCTGGCCATTCAGGCAGAACAGGAGCGTTCTCATGACCCAGCTTATAGCCACAGCCCACCCCTCTCACCCACGGGACCAGCACACGAAGCAGCAGCACTGTGCAAAGTCTGTCTACTGTTGCACGAGAGGTTACGTTTTTCACTACTGAGGAAAATGGGAAATGCCACACGTCTGGTATACAGAGGAACTCAGCAGGAGAGATGCACTTACTTTTCTAATCGGAGAAGGAGAGAGATCAACTTCCATCGACTCCAGTCTGTTAAACACATAGTGAAAGGCTTTGAGTGAGCCCAGGACTTACCTCTAACAACGTCAGTTGAAATACACACATGACGAGATGATGTGTAAATGTCTAAATCTTCCTCTAGCTTCATGCTGCGGCCAGAGTTTAGCCACTTAGGCATCTGATCACTGCCATTTTCCTCCCTCTTTAGGGCCACCCGCCGTCTGTACTGGGATGTAGCCTCTCCAGGACAGAGGCCGCTGGCCGGCCCGCCCTGGTTGGGCTCTCCCTGGCATTCCTCTCTTGCACCTCTGCACACTCAGCTTCTCCCTCCAGACAACCCCTTCTCTTCTCTCTGCCAACACCTGCCTGGAGCCTGCTGGACTAGGACGTTCTGAGAGTGGGATCCCGAATTGACTTCTGTGATCACTCACTGCCTGGCCACACATACCACACCGTGCACGCTCGGTACGCACTAGTTCCTTCATTTGCCAAAGGCAGACAGGAAAACATCATAGGATTCATTTTGCGTTGGCCCCCTCCTAGCCCTGCCATCCTTATGGCTCGTGATCTCTGCGGAAAGAGGCTCACTCTTTTCCAACAGCTCCAGCAAGAGTCCCAGGGGTGACTCCAATTAGTCCAGCCTGGCTGGAGTGAATTCTAATTTTAGGTGGCCTCAGCACTCATTTTGAAGACAGGTTTAACTTTCTCATACCAGAGGCAGGGCTCAGTCACCTTCAACAGTTTCCAGTTCTCCACCCGCTCCCAGTGTCTCAGAGTGGTCCATCCGGACACTTGCCTCCCAGTGGCCACCTCCCTGTGGGAGGGTGGACAAAACCCACTTGGCTGGCCCCGCTGACCCCTCACCCTTCATTGACCGTACAGATGTACCACAGTGATGCCCTCAGTCACAGCGGGACCCCGTGGAGCTTGTGCCTGCCTGCTCTAAACCCACCAATTAAAACTCCTCACGGGAAACCTGCCTGGATGACGCCCTGAGCCCCAATAAAGGTGCTGGCCCACGAGACCCCTCTCTGCCTGAGCCTTCTTTCCTGCCTCTTGCTACCTGTGGACAGAGCACTGTCCTCCCCACAGGCGCCCTCCCTGTCCAGGACCTGTAAGTAATAAATCTGAATGTGTTTCCTATCACAGGGGTGGACTGAATTTGTGCCTTCCATCTGAAGAGCTAGGAGCTACCCCAGGCCGGGTTTTCTCTGGGATGCTGGAGGGAACATGAGGTTGGGCTCCCTGTGCCAGAGTGATGGCCAGGCAGGCATAGCCTGGAGATGGGGCAGACACAAGCCACAGGACATGTGCCAGTATGAACGTTTCCTGTGTGAGGGACCCCCAGCCATGGGTTGGGTAATGGGTTCAGGCCATCCCCCAGGTGAAAGAAGGATTCCATATAAGGCACACCAGGTCAGCCCCTTAATTTCCTGTTAGGGCAGGGCTGTCAGCTGCCGGGCACTGGAACGCCAGTTGAGCGGGGGGCACGCAGAACACTGGGTCACATGATCATTCCCAAACCAATCACTGTCGCTGCAGGATGGAGTGCTCTGATTGGCCACCTGGATCACACACTTAGTTTGGGACCTGAGCCTCGCAGGGAGATGAAATAAGTACCAAAATGAGTTCATGTCCAGTCAACTGTATGGATTAGCAAAATCTGGGGGCTTGGAGAGGGGGTGGGGTTGGGATGGGAAGGCAGGTGCAGAATCGGAAAGACCTGCAGGTCCTGTGATTTCTGCAAGCAACCCACACACCTGTCGGGGGCTGATGAGTGAGGTGGCAGCAGGCATCCGTGTGGTTTTGCTGGAAGAGTGATGACGAAAATGCCAGCGTCAGTGCACACAGTGTGACTCAGCAACATGCATCTCTATTTTGTTCTCTTTCTGGCATGATTTTACTTACTTGAAACTGAACTTTTTATTGTGCTGAAAGCTGTTTGTTGTGATGATCTCATACTAAATAGATGGAGAAAAGGTATTGAATTAAATCATAAAAACTGACTTCCCCCCAGGTCATCCCAACTGAAAGTGTAAGAAGGCTCTGAATCAGTGAAATGTTCTTACTGGGTTTGCAAACGGCATTTCACATGAATTCAGCAGTTCCCATAGCGTCCTGTGAGTCGCACGGCCCTGCTCCTCCCTAGCGCTGAAGCCAAGTG
This sequence comes from Homo sapiens, assembly GCF_000001405.40. Taxonomy (NCBI): domain Eukaryota; kingdom Metazoa; phylum Chordata; class Mammalia; order Primates; family Hominidae; genus Homo; species Homo sapiens. Next base: position 1,081,823 of record NC_000004.12, read on the forward strand.
AACTCAACACCCCACTGCCATTTACATCACTGGCTCTTACAACTGCAACTGTCACTCAGCACATGGCCACTGCGGGTGTTAAAGGTGTGAAATTAAGACCTGACAACAGGAGCCACTAACGCACCAGCTTTGAAAGGCCACTAAGAGGCCAGCCATGGTGCCTCATGTCCATCATCCCAACACTTTGGGAGGCAGGGGCGGGAGGATTGGTTGAGCCCAGGAGTTGGAGGCTACAGTGAGCTGTGATTGTACTACTGTACTACTGCACTCCTGCTTGGGTGACAGAGCAAGAACTCATCTCAAAAAAGGAAAAGGAAGGGGAAAGGGAAAGGAAAGAAAAGAGAAAAGAAAGAAAAACAGGCCAGCAAGAGAAATATGGACAAGTTACTTGGTCACGTTTTCCAGTCTAGCAACCCTGGACTGATCTCCACGATGGCCAGTAGCAGAGACCACCTGCTGTGCCCTGTGACTCCCGGCCACAGAAGGCTGCTGCACCTGGGTCCTCTCTGCCTCACAGGGCCTGGTGGACATGCTGAGATGCACACGTAAGACTGGGGGAGCGTGTCTGTTTCTGTGGACACACTGAGGTGCATGACTGCACATGAGGGGTGGGGCTGTCTCCTGGCACCGAGTGCCCGTCTATGCTGGCTGGGTTTTGAGATACGAACAGTCTGCCCTCAGCAGTTTCAGTTTGGGACCAAGCCAGCTAGGAATAGGCAGTTGCACAACAGCTCAACCACTGGGGCCTCCGCTCTGAGTCACCTCCTAGAGCCTGCCCTGGCACTGCCCCTCAACATCCTCACCCAGAGTCACTTATCCTGACAGCCTGTGTCCCGGCCCGACATACAAGTTCACTTTCTGCCTCCTCTTCCCCACACAGAAGCTCCCAGAGGACGGGCACTGGGCGTGTTTGGCTTACTCCGAATTGCCAGCCCCCAGAACAGTGCTGAGAATGCACCTGGTGCTCAGTAAACACTGGCTGCTGCGTGGCTGACTGTGGTGGGCGGAAGTACCTGAGCCTTCTGCGTCTGGCAGGGCCGTGGCCTGGCTCCTCTGAAGGGCACTTGCTCCTGATTCCAGACAACTCTAAAATGCACTGTTTCGTGGGAGCAAGAGGATGATGACAAAAACAACAATGACAACAAAAGTGGGTGGCACGAACGCCACCACAGTGAGGCCGGGCAAGACGGGGTCGGGGGCGCAGCGGTCTGGGGCGGGTCAGCTGGGCTGGCAGAGCACATGGGAATCCTCTCTGGAGGAAAATGCAGGCGATACCAGGTATGTAGAGAGTGGGATTGGCCTGTGCAACCTCACCAGAGATCAGCAGAAATATACCTCCCTCCAGCGAGAGTGGAAGAAAAGAAGGCAGATTTGGATTCCTGAGGATATCAGGTAAGGAAAATAAAAAGGCTGCCTGTGAAATGACTACATAAAAGACGAAGATGCAACAATGAGCAAGGACTATTTTCCAAATGGTGAAATGAGCAGGAATGTTCTCAAAATGTTAACTGTAATGGACAGAACAAAAACTCAATGGGGGCCGGGTGTGGTGGCTCACACCTGTAATCCCAGCACTTCGGGAGGCTGAGGTGGGCGGATCACCTGAGGTCAGGAGTTCGAAACCAGCCTGGTCAACATGGTGAAGCCCCGTCTCTACTAAAAATACAAAAATCAGCCAGGCGTGGTGGGGCTGTAATCCCAGCTACTCAGGAGGCTGAGGCAAGACAATCGCTTGAACCCGGCAGGCGGAGGTTGAGGTGAGCTGAGATCGTGCCACTGTACTCCAGCCTGGGTGACAGAGTGAGACTCTGTCTCAAAAACAAACAAACAAACAAACAAACAAACAAACAAACTCAGTGGGGTTCACTGGCTTAACCTGAAAATCAGGGAGCTGGAAGAAGCAACCCAGCATGTGACCAGGTGGCCTAAGACGACGGAGATCACAGCAGAGGCTGACGTCGAGGGTGGGGAGCTGCAGGTTGTGGCTGGGGATGCAGAGGGTACTACTTGAAAAGATAATGGGCAGGAATTTTACAGAACTGATGCAAAACACGAATCCACAGAATGAAAGAAAATTATACACCAACAAGGAAAAAAATGAAAGTAATTCCACATTTTGTGCATTTTTTTTTTTTTTTTTTGAGAGACGGAGTTTTGCTCTTGTTACCCAGGCTGGAGTGCAATGGCATGATCTTGGCTCACCGCAACCTCTGCCTCCCAAGTTCAAGAGATTCTCCTGCCTCAGCCTCCTGAATAGCTGGGATTACAGGTGTGCACCAACACATCTGGCTAATTGTGTTTTGTTTTTAGTAGAGATGAGGTTTCTCCATGCTGGTCAGGTTGGTCTCAAACTCCCGACCTCAGGTAATCTGCCCACCTTGGCCTCCCAAAGTGCTGGGATTACAGGCGTGAGCCACTGCGCCTGGCCCCTTTGATGCATTTTAAGTATCTGCCTTTCCTCTTGTGATGCTTTAAAGGAGGAATTTGCAAATGTTTCTGCAAAGGGCTAGCTAGTAAATGTAGGAGGCTTTGCTGTCCACATAAGGTCTCCGTTGCAATGCGTTTACAATCTTCTAGAAATGTAAAAGCCATGGTCAGCTTGGCAGCTACATGAAAATACATTGTGGCCGGGTGCAGTGGCTCACATCGGTCATTGCAGCACTTTGGGACGCTGAGGTGGGAGGATCACTTGAGCTCAGGAGTCCAAGACTAGCCTGGGTAACATAGTGAGACCCCATCTCCACACAAAATAAAAAAATTAGCTGTGTGTGGTGGTGCGTGCCTGTGGTCCCAGCTACTTGGCAGGCAGAGGCAGCAGAATCACCTGAGCCTTGGGAGGTTGAGGCGTGAGCTGAGATCACGCCACTGCACTCCAGCCTGGGTGACAGAGGAAGACCCTGTCTCAAAAAAAAAAAAAAAAAAAAAAAAGCGAAGGAAAGGAAGGAGAAGAGAATACACTGCAGGCTGGATTTGGCCTGGAGTTTGCTTGCTGATGCCTGGAACACACCCTTCACAACACAAGCCCATGGCAACTCTTAGAACCCAAAATAACGACAGGGGAAAGAATCCCTTTTCACCAGAGGCAATCAGAACCTCGTGTCAGGAGCAAGGCCACCAGCCAGTGTGACTGGCGTCACCAGCTTCCCACAGGCCCCACGGCCCCAGTGAGGCCATGCCATGCTCAGCTGCCTGACACAGCAGGGAGGTGGGCACCTGCACACACGCTGGAGGCTCACCCACCCCTACACACACAGCCAATGGGAGGCAGACAGGGCTCCTGACTCCTCGACCTCCATGTTAGTAGCAGCCAGCAAACGGGGGCTTGTGACTATTCAACGCGTCTCGTAGAATCTAAGGCATTGCTGAGCGTAATATGTGCCACATCTGTGTATGACTGTGGTAACTGAACTCTGGCCTGTTATTGATTCCAAATTCCAGAAATGGAATGCAGTAAAACTGTATTCAGAACAGATGCAATACGGCAAAAGCACGGATGAGCTAAAATGTACAAGAAAGGAGGGTTTCAAATGGCTAGATTTTCCAGATATTGAAATGTAATGCTTTAAGTCCCCATTTTGGTTAATCCTAGCAACTCTGGATGTTTCTTCCTAAGATGCAACACCCATTCACAGCAGTGCCTTTATACACAGAACATGCCACATATATGTACCTTTCGCAAACGGCTACGACTCCTGGCAGAAAGCAGGCAGCCAGGCTGCAGGTGGAGTCCCGCAGTCCCTGGCTGCAGGGCCACCCCACCTGTGCTGGGTCACTCTGAGAGGCCGGGGGCACCTGCTGCTCTCCCAGGCCCCTCCCACTGCCTCAGCAATCACTGGGGCACCTGCCCCAAGGGGAAACCATTCATCTCTTTTTCACTTTTTCTTTTTTGTCTCCCTTCTTCCCTTCGGTTTTCCCACAGCATTTTTGCTCTGATGAAAGTTTCTGGTAAATGAACGAGCTCTTCCCTCTGCATCTGCAGTCATCTTTCATTCTTGATCTTGGAGAGCCAGACGACCAATGCACATGGCAGTGGGTGCCTCGACTGCGCACTCACGGGGGGTGGGGCGCCTTACCTTTGTAGTTGTTCTATCTGCAGCACTGACTTCCTAAGGGATTCTTCCAACCTAGAAATCTAAACATAATTACACAACCTCTTGTTATCAGACAGGCTATGCTGAGTGACATGTGACCCTCTAAATTTCTTAAACCTTGAATCAGAATGTGGGTTACTCTGCATGGAGTTGCCCTCACGCTGCTCAGGAGTAAATCTGCCTGGAGTTCCGCCCATCAGACACTTAGGAAATCGGCCTTGGGGGCCATGCAGAGCGAAGTCAAACCCAAGCCCCAGGGGACAAATCTCAGTGCTGCACCCCACACAAGCCGGCAGGATGCAAATTCAGTGTCAGCCCTTCCAGGGGAGCACCTGGCCTCAAAGTCACACACAAGCACCTTCCATACACGGCCACTGCCAGCTCATCCCACGGCACAGCCTCTGCTGTCAGGCTGGAGCCCCGCCCTGTGTGTGGGAGCTGCCAGACCCCAAGAGAGTGACTAGAGTCTAGGATCCCACTGTCCAGTCTGTAATCATGGCTTATGCCCATCCTCCAGGTTTGCTGGGAGGATTAGGAGACAACATACACAAAATATAACAAAATCTGAGCCCAGGCTGGCTCCTGCAAGAAGCCTCCAGGCAGGGTTTTGGGTGGCTGTCAAGGAGTATGATGGGGCTGTGGTGGCCTAGGAGGGGTAGGGGAAAGAGGATGGCATGAGGGTGGCAGGAGAGGGGTGGGGGTGAGGAAGGGGTGGGGTGAGAGAGGAGGGGGTGGGGTGACAGAAGAGGGGTGGGGTGACAGAGGATGGGGTGGGGGTGGAAGGACAGGGGTGGGGGTGAGAGGATGGGGTTGGGGAGAGAGGATGGGGTAGGGGTGAGAGGATGGCATAGGGGTGGAAGGACAGGGGTGGGGTGAGAGGATGGGGTGGAGGAGAGAGAATGGGGTGGGGGAGAGAGGATGGGGTTGGGGAGAGAGGATGGCATGGGGGTGGAAGGACAGGGGTAGGGATGAGGGGATGGGGTGGGGTGAGAGCATGGGGTGGGGGCAAGAGGATGGGGTGGGGAAGAGAGGATGGGGTCGGGGAGAGAGGATGGCATAGGGGTGGAAGGACAGGGTGGGGGTGAGAAGATGGGGTGGGGGAGAGAGGATGGCATGGGGGAGAGGATGGGATGGCGGTGAGAGGATGGCATGGAGGTGGCAGGACAGGAGTGGGGGTGAGAGGACGGGGTGGAGGTGAGAGGACGGGGTGGGGGAGAGAGGATGGGGTGGGGGTGAGAGGATGGGTGGGGGAGAGAGGATGGCATTGGGGGTGGCAGGACAGAAGTGGGGGTGAGAGGATGGGGTAGGGGAGAGAGGACGGGGTAGGGGAGAGAGGACGGGGTAGGGGAGAGAGGATGGGGTGGGGGTGAGAGGATGGGTGGGGGAGAGAGAACAGGGTGGGGGAGAGACAATGGCATTGGGGGTGGCAGGACAGAAGTGGGGGTGAGAGGATGGGGTGGGGGTGAGAGGATGGGGTGGGGGTGACAGGATAGGTGGGGGCACCAGGATGGGGTGACAGTGATAGGATGGGGTGGGGTGACAAGGTGGGTGGGGGTGACAGGATGGGGTGAGGGTGAGAGAACCAAGGTTGGGGGGTGACAGGATGAGGTGGGGGGGTGACAGGACAGGGGAGAGGCTGACAGGACAGGGTGGGTGTGACAGGAGCAGGGAGTGGGTAATAGGATGGGGTAAAGGGGTGACAGAATGGGGTTGAGAGGTGACAGAATGTGGTGGGGGTATGATATGGTTTGGCTGTGTCCCCACCCAAGTCTCATCTCAAATTGTAATCCCATGTGTCAAGGGGAAGAATCTGGGGGAGGTGATTGGATCATGGGGGTGCTTTCCCCCATGCTGTTCTCATGACAGTGAGTTCTCACGAGATCTGATGGTTTAAAAGTGTTTGGCAGTTCCCCTCCACCCCCTCTCCTGCCGCTATGTAAGATGTGCCTTGCTCCCCCTTTGCCTTCTGCCATGATTGTAAGTTTCCTGAGGCCTTCCCAGCCATGCAGAACTGTGAGTCAATTAAACCCCTTTCCTTTATAAATCACCCAGTCTCAGGTAGTTCTTTATAGGAGTGTGATAATGGATTAATAAAGAAAATTGGTACCAGTAGAGTGGGGCACTGCTATAAATGTAACTAAAAATGTGGAAGCAACTTTGGAACTGGGTAATGGGCAGAAGTTGGAACAATTTGGAGGGCTCAGAAAAAGACAGAAAGGTGTGAGAAAGTTTGGAACTTCCTAGAGAGTTGTTGAATGGTTTTGACCAAAATGCTGATAGTGATATGGATGGTGAAGTTCAGGCTGAGGAGGTCTCAGATGGAGATAAGGAATTTATTGGGACTGGAGCAAAGGTCACTCTTGCTGTGCTTTAGCAAAGAGACTGGAGGCATTTTGCTCCTGCCCTCAATGTCTGTGGAACTTTGAACTTGAAAAAGATGATTTAGGGCATCTGGCAGAAGAAATTTCTAAGCAGCAAAGCGTTCAAGATGTGACCTGGCTTTTTCTGAAGCATACAGTCACATACGTGTTCACAAAGAGATGATCTAAAATTGGAACTTATGTTTAAAAGGGAAGCAGAACATAAAAGTCTGAACAAAATTGCAGCGCGACCATGCAGTAGAAAAGAAAAACCCATTTTCTGAGGGGAAATTCAAGCTGGCTGCAGAAATGTGCATAAGTAACCAGGAGCCAGGACGGTGGAGAAAATGTCTCCAGGGCATGTGAGAGATCTTCACAGCAGCCCCTCCCATCATAGGCCCAGAGAAAAAAAGTAGTTTTATGGGCCGGGCCAAGGCCCCCTGCCCAACTCTCGTGCAGCCTCAGGACATGGTGCCCTGCATCCTGGCTGCTCTGGCTCCAGCCATGACTAAAAGGGTCCAAGGTACAATTTGGGCTGCTGCTTCAGAGGGAGCAAACCCCAAGCATTGGCGGCTTCCACATGGTATTGGGCCTGCATGTGTGCAGAGGACAAGAGCTGAGATTTGGGAACCTCCACCTAGATTTGAGAAGATGTATGGAAATGCCTGGATGTCCAGGCAGAAGTCTGCTGCAGAGGCAGAGCCCTCATGGAGAACCTCTGCTAGGGCAGTGCAGAAGGGAAATGTGCGGTGGTTGTTCCCACACAGTGTCCCAACTGGGGTGCTGCCTAGAGAAGCCATGAGAAGAGGGCCACTGTCCTCCAGACGCCAGAATGGTAGACCCATCAACAGCTTGCACTGTGCACCTAGAAAAGCTGCAGGCACTCAACCCCAGCCCAGAAAGCAGCCACTGGGGCTGTACCCTACAGAGCCACAGGGGTGGAGTTGCCCAAGGCCTTGGGAGCCCCCCTACCCTTAAATCAGCATGTCCTGGATGTGAGACATTGGGTAAAAGGATAAATTTAAGATTTAATGGCTGCCCTGCTGGGTTCTGGACTTGCATGGGGCCTGCAGCCCCTTTGTTTTGGTCAATTTCTCCCATTTGGAATGGGAACATTTACCCAATGCCTGTACTCCCATAGTATCTTGGAAGTCATTAACTTGTTTTTGATTCTACAGGCTCATAGGTGGAAGGAACTTGCCTTGTCTCTGATGAGATTTTGGGCTTGGACTTCTGAGTTTATGCGGGAATGAGTTAAAACTTTGGGGGACTGCTGGGAAGGTATGATTGTGTTTTGAAATGTTAGAAGGATATGAGATTTGGGAGGGGCCAGGGGTGGAATGATGTGGTTTGGCTCTGTGTCCCCACCCAAATCTCATTTTGAATTGCAGTCCCCATGTGTCAAGGGAGGGATCCGGTGGGAAGTGATTGGATCATGGGGGCAGTTTCCCCCGTGCTGTTCTCGTGATAGTAAGTTCTCATGAAATCTGATGGTTTAAGAGTGTTTGGCAGTTCCCCCTGCCCTCTCTCCTGCTGTTAATGTAAGACGTGCCTTGCTTCCCCTTTGCCTTCTGCCGTGACTGTAAGTTTCCTGAGGCCTTCCCAGTCATGCGGAACTGTGAGTCCATTCAACCTCTTTCCTTTATAAATTACCGAATCTCAGGTTATTCTTTATAGCAGTATGAAGACAGACTGATACAGGGTGACAGGACAGTGTAGGGGTGAGGGGTGACAGGATGGGATGAGGGGTGACGGGATGGGATGGGGTGACAGGACAGGGTGGTGGTAGCAAGATGGCCTGAGTGGTGACAGGATGGGGTAAGGGTGACAGGATGGGGTTGGGGTGACAGGACAGGGATGGGGTACCAAGATAAGGTGACAGGATGGGGTGAGGGGAGAGATGGGGGTGACAGGACAGGGCAAGGTGACAAGACAGGGTGGGGGTGACAGGATGGAAGGGGAGTGACTGGCTGGCAAGCAGGGCCAAGGGTGATCTGTCCGCTCCAGGTTTGGGTGTACACAGAATGTTCATGGACAGACAGGAGGCAGCAGGGTCACAAGCTGGCTTCCAGACTTGGGGAAGCGGCCCCAGGTTCCCTTGTCTTTAAAGCTGGGTTCCTGACTTTACCGACTACATAACCTTCAAAGTTTTTTAAAAAGGACTTGTTTTTCAAAATGGGATGGTTGAGCAGAGAAGCCTTCAAGCTGCCTTCCAAACTCCCAAGGCCCCAGTGTTGCCCCAGGTGGCTGAGGGGATAAGTGTGGCCAGGCAGGGAGGCCCATGCGGTGCTGCACCCAAGGGGCTACTTGGTAACTACAGACAAGGGTTGGGCAAATAGGCTGCTCAGAAGGAGACAGTGACAACGTCCCCATAGCTGGAAACACACAGAGAAACAGATATTGCATCTAGCAGCCATCCCCTTTGAGAGCAAGGTGTTAATTAACAAGTCTGACATTTAAATCTAAAGGTCAAAAAAATTCAAGTGGCAATGAATCAATTCCACTTACCTTTTCTCTATAGAAGGCTAACAATCTCTTCCTGTGTTTTTCTTGAAATTCTAAAATCTGAAAAGATCATAGGTTTCAGCTGCTGACACAGATCCACGGTCTCTGTGGCTGGAGTTTTGTTGGGGGAGGAGGAGGCTGGAGGGACTCTCAGGAGAGCTCACAGTGCTTGTCTTACGTGTGTCCTGCCCCCACAGACGCCCATGGCCAGTGCTTGCACAGGCAGGGCCAAGGGCAAACACAGGGGAGGCTTAATGGGCATGATAGGAAAGTCTCCCCAGCAACCTGCTCCATTCAAGTTGCGAGTGGTGCTCTACTGCTGGGCCAATCACAGGGTGCTGTCCCTCTGATAATGGCTACTGGTTTGAGGAATGGCCTCCTGACCAAACAGGTGTGGACCAATGGCTGGGGCAAGTGGAAAGAGAGCCGGCACACAGAATGAGGCTAAGCGAGACCCACAGAGCTGGCAGAGGCCTGGTGGGCCTGTCTGCACTCCCAGGGCCAGCCATGCCTGACACCAGCACCCTCCCATTTACAGGAGCCCCGGGTTCCATGCATGCTGTCTAGACAGCTTGAACTGGGTTTCTGAGAGTACCAACATAAGGAGGAAAGAGAGTCCTGTGATTTCCTCAGAGGAAGAAAAGAGCTATTTCGTATGAGTTGAGTGTTCAGACAATGGTGCCTACCCTCTGGAAAGACCAGGCTGGAAGGGCCGACAGACAACAGGGCTAACTGTGGCTCCACTGGTACTGAAAGTCGGCGTCCTCTAGCTCCATCCCCCACTTCACTCCACCTTGCCATCTGCGATGATAACACAAGCAGGAGGGAGCGGCCTTGTCTGCCCATGGCTCACTGGCCCGGTGCAAACACAGGGCAGGCTTCTTCCCTCCTGTGGAAAGACAGGCCCAGCACATGCCAGGCCTTTGTTCCCAACCTCCTCCATGAGAGGCCATCTCCAGAGGATGGGGCTGCACAGGGGCCCTCCTCCAGGACAGCAGGGATGACAGCCTCGCGGTTTCCTGGCTGCTGCGTCCTCGGAGTGACTTGGAGCTCTAGGGTTCTCCCCTACTCGACAAGGGGACTATGTCTCCACCAAGGAGGGAAGACAGTCCTGGGTGCCACCCCGTGGGCTATGAAGAGGAGTGGACAGAAGGACTCCGCAGGTTGCCCTGACCCCAGCTCTTGTGCACATTGCAGGCCATGGCCAGGGCACCTTTCCCACCTTTGCCGACGCTTCTCAAGTCCTGCTGCCTGTCGGGAACACCTGCACACGCCCCTCAAAGCCACACTCAATTGTGCCTGTGTGGGAAGCTTCTCCAAAGCACCCTCAGCAGGAACATTCCACCCTGCAGGCAAGCGCCTCTGCTTCTCAGCTTCACATGTTCGTGGAGGAACCTACCAGCAGACGCGCCTCATCCCGGCTGTGGGGGTGCCTGGTCTGGCTGTTCTTAGAGAAAGGCCTTGGGGAGACGAGGTCAGTCTGTGGCTGATCCTGATTTGGCAGGGCAGGTGTTGCTGCAGCAAGGACTGGGCTGCAGGGAAAGTCTCCAAGGGGACCTGAGCAGCAGATGGGGTGAGTTCTACTGAGGGTGGAGCTGGGGAGCCTCACATGAGCTTGGGGGGCAGCCAAGACCCACTTGTCTGGGTGTTGCAGGGTCTACACCAGCCTCCAGGACTCCATTAGGGGGAGCCACACAGGCCTGCAGCCTCATGCCGCCTCCGTGGTTTGTCTGGCCTGGCTCTGACCAATGTTGGGGCCCAGAGACTTGAGACACTGGGTGTGGCCTCAGAAGAGGGTAGATTTTAATAATAAAACAAAGTTTAAAAGGGACAGTGAGTGTTTATCTTGCAGAGAATATGCCTCTTGAACTGAGCCAGAGAAACAGGTCAATGAAATCATTGCAAAACTCCAGGGCTGCGATGGTCACAGAGGCTGCGCTGGGCCAGGTCAGCCCAGGGCCCCAAGGAAGAGCTGCCCGGTGCTCACGCGTGCTTTGCCCGCATCCTGCGAACTGGGAGGCCGCGAAGGCCTGAGAGTCAAGGCAGTCGGGGGAGAATGCAGGTCACTCACGCGGACTCTCGCCAAGAGGCCAGGAGAGGCGGCTGCCTGGTCCGGAGCACACTTCTCACTCTTCGGTTCAATACCAGTTCTCCTCCATGGAGTGGCCTGTGCCTGCATTCGTCCACATGAGCTCCAAACTACGCCAGGACCAGGGTCTGCGTGCTCAGTGCTGACGCAGCCTGTGGTAGGGCAGAGGCTGGGTGGATGGAACGGATCTTAGAGGATTACTGGGAAGAGGAAGATGTTTAATTGTTACCAACTAGACTAGGAAGGTGGACCAGGGCAGGCAGTGGCTGAGGTGGTTTGTTGACGCTGTCCCAGGGCAGGTCCTGAGGCCTGAGCCTTGGTGCTCAGAGTTTTGGTCTTGGGCCAGTTTTGCACTCTTAAAAGTTACTGAGGGCCCCAGAGAGCTTTGCTTATGTGGGTTTTATCTGTTGGTATTTACCCTATTAGAAATTAAGACTGAGACAAATCTAAAAGTATTTATTAATTCATTTAAAAATAACAATAAATCCATGATGTGTTAACATATTGTAACAAATGCCAATATTTATGTTACGTTGATATTAGAGCATAAATGTTACAATACCACCTCACGTCACACAGCTGCGGGAAAACTCCACCCTGCGTTTGTGATGCTCACCTCCACAGTGTAACTGACAAACAGTGGGGCCACGAGGTCACTGGGCAGAGCCTGTGACCTCCACGGCCCATGCCGGAAGCCTGAGAGGCACGAGAGGCAGAGCAGACAGGTGGCTGGAGGGGCTGGCCGGGTCTGCTGGGTCTTCTCTCCTGAGACAGCACCTGGCCTCTGCAGCACTTGGCAAAACCACCCTGGAGCGCACGGCCTGTGGCTCTGATGTCTGTGATAACAGACATGTTTTATGAACTCAAGCAACTTCTGGCCCCAAGGGGACTTGGTGTGAATGAGGGTCCTGCTGGGATGGAGCAGGGTGAGGGGGTGAGGTGCGTCCTGGATGGTGTTTCCCTGGGCCTCTGGCTGGCTCTGGGACCGCCGGCATCCTGGTCTGGGTGCCCGTGTTGTGCTGACCCAGTGTTCTTGGGGATCTCTGGCTGCTGCTTGGCTTCCATGGGTCGAGCCTCTGGGCACCTCCTTGGAGGATGTGGCTGGGCATAACTTGAGACGGCAACAGCCTCGGGAAAGCCTGAGATACTGTGGGTGATTCAGGCTGTTTCAGAAGCAAGGAAGCTCCCAGAGGAGGACAGTCTTGGGGACCTGGCTGACCACAGCCTGAAGGCACAAGCCCATGAAGGAGAGTGCCATGCAGGGGTCCATCCTCAGTCTCCTGCCTCAGATCCTGGCTGCCCCCACTAGGCCTCTTTCCCCACAAGGCAGGTGGGGTGGCCAACGGTGGGAGCTGCACTCTTCACGGAAGAGGGAAAGGAAGTGCAGGGCGGGGGCCAGGGGAAGGACCCCTTCCTCTCCTGGCAGCTTTCCCCCAGACTGGTGGACTGCAGCTGTCCGGTGACATCCAAGGAGGCCAGAAGTGCCACTCAGCATGTGGGGGTGGGCACAGAGGACAATGACCTGCGTCAGAAGCTGGGGGTGGGGGAGGCTTGGAGTGGAGGCGCGTGCTGACTGGGAGGAGGGTCAGGAAGAAACAGGTAGAGAATGGACAAGCCGCAACTGAGAGGACTGGCACAGCAGCTGGTAAAAGCTGCCAGGGGAGGGGACCATGGAGCCAACACTGCCACAGCAGGGGCTCAGCTGCCAGGATGGGGGCCCATGGGGCCAACACTTCCACAGCAGGGGCTCAGCTGCCAGAAGGGGGGCCCACGGAGCCAGCATTGCCATGCAGGGCTCAGCGGGGATTGGAGGCCTGGGAGGCAGAAGGCCCTGGGTGACTGTCAGGGAAGGACAGTGTCAAGAAGCAACCTGCTGCCCTGAACCCAGAGAACCCTGATCTGGTGGGGAGGGCTCCCAAACCTGAGATTCTAACGTGTGAATATGGGGAGGGGGCATCTTGCGCAAAGGACCCCAGAACTGACTGAGACCACTTTGTCTCAATGTGACACCAAAAGCAAAAACAATAAAACAGACCAAATGAACATTGTCAAAATCAGAACCTTTTGTATGTAAATGTTTCACCATTAAGAAAGTAAAAATTCAACCCACAGAAATATTTTGGCAGAAAATATTTGCTGATCAAATATCTTCAAAGGAACTTGCCTCCAGAACACAGAAAACACATGGTCTCAGGATAGCGCACCTGGCTCATCACGGAACCAAGCACACTCCCCACAGCTCCATGGTCTCAGGATAGCGCACCTGGCTCATCACAGAACCAAGCACGCCCCCCACAGCTCCATGGTCTCGGGATAGCGCACCTGGCTCATCACAGAACCAAGCACACTCCCCACAGCTCCATGGTCTCGGGATAGCGCACCTGGCTCATCACGGAACCAAGCACACCCCCCACAGCTCCATGGTCTCGGGATAGCGCACCTGGCTCATCACAGAACCAAGCACACCTCCCACAGCTCCATGGTCTCAGCATAGCGCACCTGGCTCATCACAGAACCAAGCACAACTCCCACAGCTCCATGGTCTCGGGATAGCGCACCTGGCTCATCACAGAACCAAGCACAACTCCCACAGCTCCACGGTCTCGGGATAGCGCACCTGGCTCATCACAGAACCAAGCACAACTCCCACAGCTCCATGGTCTCGGGATAGTGCACCTGGCTCATCACAGAACCAAGCACACCTCCCACAGCTCCATGGTCTCAGCATAGCGCACCTGGCTCATCACAGAACCAAGCACACCCCCCACAGCTCCATGGTCTCGGGATAGCGCACCTGGCTCATCACAGAACCAAGCACACCTCCCACAGCTCCATGGTCTCGGGATAGCGCACCTGGCTCATCACAGAACCAAGCACACCTCCCACAGCTCCATGGTCTCAGCATAGCGCACCTGGCTCATCACGGAACCAAGCACACCCCCCACAGCTCCATGGTCTCGGGATAGCGCACCTGGCTCATCACAGAACCAACCACACCCCCCACAGCTCCATGGTCTCAGCATAGCGCACCTGGCTCATCACAGAACCAAGCACACCTCCCACAGCTCCATGGTCTCGGGATAGCGCACCTGGCTCATCACAGAACCAAGCACAACTCCCACAGCTCCATGGTCTCGGGATAGCGCACCTGGCTCATCACGGAACCAAGCACACCCCCCACAGCTCCATGGTCTCGGGATAGCGCACCTGGCTCATCACGGAACCAAGCACACCCCCCACAGCTCCACGGTCTCGGGATAGCGCACCTGGCTCATCACGGAACCAAGCACACCCCCCACAGCTCCACGGTCTCGGGATAGCGCACCTGGCTCATCACGGAACCAAGCACACCCCCCACAGCTCCACGGTCTCGGGATAGCGCACCTGGCTCATCACGGAACCAAGCACACCCCCCACAGCTCCACGGTCTCGGGATAGCGCACCTGGCTCATCACGGAACCAACCACACCCCCCACAGCTCCACGGTCTCGGGATAGCGCACCTGGCTCATCACGGAACCAAGCACACCCCCCACAGCTCCACGGTCTCGGGATAGCGCACCTGGCTCATCACGGAACCAAGCACACCCCCCACAGCTCCACGGTCTCGGGATAGCGCACCTGGCTCATCACGGAACCAAGCACACCCCCCACAGCTCCACGGTCTCAGGATAGTGCACCTGGCTCATCACAGAACCAAGCACAACTCCCACAGCTCCATGGTCTCGGGATAGTGCACCTGGCTCATCACAGAACCAAGCACACCCCTCACAGCTCCATGGTCTCGGGATAGTGCACCTGGCTCATCACAGAACCAAGCACACCCCTCATAGCTCCATGGTCTCGGGATAGTGCACCTGGCTCATCACGGAACCAAGCCACACCCCTCACAGCTCACCTGGGAGGTTTCCCTGGAGTACTTCTTACACAGACTGTCTATGCTCATGAAGAATGCCTGGATATCTGCGTCGGTCTGAAAGAGAAAGAAATGACTCTACATTTATTGTGTCTAATAAACGCTTCTGGCCCCCAGTTAAAAACTGTACTTGAAGACCTAGAATTAGCTATAGATGACTCAAGTGGCCAGCACATTGTGAATGGCCTCTCAGGGGCCCTGCCAGGGACAGCCTCGATCAACAGGACAGCCCCTCGTCCTGGCCACTTCCCTCTGAGGGCTGTGCCGGACAGTGGTGAGGGCCAGGAGGCAGAGCAGCCTGCCTGGCAAGGACACGCTCCCTCCTCAAAAGGGTCTTAGTGAGGGCAGAAGGTCACCATGAATGAAGGCCTCCAGCCCAGCCTCCTCCTTTAGTATGGAGACATACTAAAATCAGAAGGATGATCTAGGCTGACAAGCATTAAGTCACCACTATGTAGTCACAAGTACATGTCGAGTTATTTAAAAAGCAAATGTAAGGACCTTAAGAAAGGACACAGGTTTAAGAAACAGCGTCTCGTAGGTCGGGAGCGGTGGCTCAAGCTTGTAATCTCAGCACTTTGGGAGGCCGAGGCGGGCGGATCACAAGGTCAGGAGATCGAGACCATCCTGTCTAACACAGTGAAACCCCGTCTCTACTAAAAATATAAAAAAATTAGCCGGGCGTGGTGACGGGCACCTGTAGTCCCAGCTACTCAGGAGGCTGAGGCAGGAGAATGGCATGAACCCAGGAGGCAGAGCTTGCAGTGAGCCGAGATTACGCCACTGCACTCCAGCCTGGGCAAAAGAAACAGCATTTGGTTACAAGCCCTCATGCAGACGCTCCCAACTTCCTTCACAAGTGCCTTCAGGATGCCCTGCCTCACCTCCCTGCACCTCTGGCCTTCCCTCACTTTCCCCAGCCAGGACCACATTAGCACAAAACACTAGGCGACAGCTGTCCTAGGCATGGAGCTGCCGTGAGCTAGAATCGCTTGAGCAGTCCAAAGAAAAGAGGCTCACGCCTGTCATCCCAGCACTTTGGGAGGCCAAGGTGGGCAGATCGCTTGAGGTCAGGAGTTTAAGACCAGGCTGGCCAACATGGTGAAACCCCATCTCTATCAAAAATACAAAAGTTACCTGGGCGTGATGGCAGGTGCCTGTAATCCCAGCTACTTGGGAGGCTGAGGCAGAAGAATCGCTTGAACCCGGGAGGTGGAGGTTGCAGTGAGCCGAGATCATGCCACTGCACTCCAGCCTGGGCAACAGAGCAAGACTCCATCTCAAAAAACAAACAAACAAAAAATCCAAAACCAAAAACAAAGAAAGGGACAAACACCAGAATGACAAGATGTAGGAAGAACCTCATGCCTCCTCCCATTCTGTGGTTCAGGACAGTGAGCGCATAGAGTCAAGACAGTCATCTAAGCCCATCCACCTACCTACCAGTGGCTCCCCAAATCCCACTGAAATGATAGTAAAATTTAGGAAAAAAATACTCTATTTGTGGTAGAAAACAGGAAATGATATCTTGAATTGACCAGACTGAAGAATTCTAGAAGACAGAGTATAGACTGGCTTGGATCAGGATTAAGGCACCAGCTCCAAAGCCTGGGGCAGGTGCAGATGAAGAGGTCCTGGAATCCACTCCAGAATCCACTCCCAGGCTCCCAGAGGCAGAGGCCAAGCAGAGCATCCTGGAGGTGAGCTCCTCTGTAACAGGGGGACTGAGACCCAACAGAGGGGAGACCTGGCTCTGGCTCGGATGGGGTAGGAGCTCCCGTGTAACACCCTCCTATACACACCAAACTGCAAAGGCACAAGCAGTATGTCCAACACCACAGGCATCAGGAGCTCAGAGTCTGGCCTAAATCCAGCTCTGCACACCCTTGACCTGCAACCCTGGTTCTCCACCTAACTCCACCATGCCTCGGTCTCCCTACGTATAAAACAGAAGCAGAAACAGCACCCCCTCAGCCCCGGCCATGGCAAGTAGCAGGTGACACAATACAGAAAAAGTGCCCCCAGCAGAGCGTGGCCCATGTGAGTGCGCAGGGAGCGGGAACTGTCACTGTTATCTAAGGTATATTATAAATACACAGATGCCTCAGAGACAAGACCAAGAGCTCCATGGACCAGAAATGGGAGCAACTGAAGAAGCTGTCACAGATCGATCTGGTTCCATGGCCTTCTGGGTGAGGGGGACTGAGTCATTCTACACATGACAGACACCCCAGGATGTCCAGAAGATGAGCCTAGAGCCAGAACAGCCAAGAAGTCTACAAAACTAACAAATGGCATCACAGCACAGATGCACAGACCTCAGTGAGGCCTGAGCGGGAGAACACAGGCAGCCATTCCTCCACCCCGGCACTCACATTGCAGAGGGCCGGCGATAAGCCAGGTGCCGGAATTTTCAAAGTGCTAAGATGCATTCACTTTCAACAAAGAATTCTGAAGTCTGTGAAAATGTGCTTCAAGAAAAAGACATTTTTTTAAAAACAAAAACTGAAAACACTAACAGCCCAGCACTAAAATAAATAATAAAGGAATTCCCTGTAGGTAAGAAAAATAATTCCTGATAGAAGCACAGAGATTCGGGAGGCAGCGAGGAGCAGGGAAGAGGGGGAAATGGGGGAAAATCTAAGTGAGTATTAACTGTCCATGGCAGCACTGTATGGTGGGGCCTCCTGCAGTGAGAGCCAGTGTGGCTCCAGGAGCGGGGCGGGGAAGGCCAGGAGAAGGGGGATCGGTGAGAGCTGAGGCCCTCGCATCATCAAGAAAACTGAATTTTTGTTAGACTTTTAAAAGTCAAGATTGCTCGCACAATCCCCAGGAAAATCACAAACGAATGTTTTCTTTTCGTATTTAATTTTTAAAAGGGGGGTGTGTGCGCCACAATGGTACAGTAACGAGGATACATAGTTAAATCTCACAGCGTGACTGAAGGCCTTTGCTGCGTCTGACGTCATCATGGCAGAGGGCGTAAGGAATGGAGGAAATCAACCCTGGTGCAGAGCAATCGAGTCCACAAGGTCCGACGGCGCAAGCGGACACGGGTACCCCTGTGCGGGATCCACGGGGCTCTCCTCACGCAGCTGTAAAGGCGTGCTGTTGGTGACTCGCTGTCAGACACAGGAAAGGGGCGCTGCAAAAGAGGGCTCTTATCATCATGGAGGCTGATGCAGCCACTGCCGCTAGGCAGGAACGGGGTTCTCTGACTAGGAATGCCAGCCCTAATTTACTGTCTTGAAACACACAGATTGTACTGGCTACAGCACGATACTGTCCTTGGGGCGCCAGGCTTACACAGGACTTCCTTGCTAGAGTCTCGGCTGTCAACACTAATTTCATCTTCTTTTGCTTGCTGCCTGTGTGGACTTTGCACGGTTTCAGAATCGTACCAGGCTTACTGCTTTCCCGTGATACTTCTAGCGTTAGGTCTTGTTTTGTGTTCCTGTCAAACATTCTGAAATTATTGTTAAGACCCAGTCACAACACCGTCAGATCCATTCCAACAACACTGAATTTGTCAGACACATGGTCCTTTTCACACAGTGCACAGCTTACTTCCGAGCTACTGGTGCACCTGTTACATTTCCACAGGCATTTTCCATAATTTTTTTTTTTTTTTTTTTTTTTTTTTGAGATGGAGTCTTACCCTGTGGCCCAGGCTGGATTGCAGTGGTGCGATCTCCGCTCACCGCAACCTCCACTCCCCAGGTTCAAATGATTCTCTAGCCTCAGGCTCCCAAGTAATTGGGATTACAGGCGTGTGCTACTGAGCCTGGCTAATTTTTGTTATTTTCAGTAGAGATGGGGTTTCTCCTTGTTAGCCAGGCTGGTCTCAAACGCCTGACCTCAGGTGATCTGCCCGCCTCGGCTTTGCAAAGTGCTGGGATTACAGGCGTGAGCCACCGCACCCGGCCGCGTTTTCCATATTGAAGTTCCAACTTTTGACTAACAAATGGTCTCTATCATCATATTTGACCACTATGGCTGAATTTTACGTCAGAAATTAGATGATTTCAGACAAAAATGACCCATTACTGGAATCATCAGGTTCTTCAGTGTAGATGCCTATCACAGAGGGCAGACGCTCTCATGTCACATGAGCAAATAGTTCCTTTACTGCTGCTAGATACAGATGTGTTATAGCTGTTCAGATGGAATTCTGCGGCTGAAATCACCTGTTAGCTCTTCCATATTGTCAGGCTTGATATCCACAATATTAAAACTCCTGTCTATAATTTCCAGATGCCAAAGACTTGATTTTGATCTGCAAATCACCTGCAGATAAATATGTTTCAAAATCTCTATTAACAGGAATTGAGTTGGTGTGACCAGTATGAGCATTGGCAGATGCTCTTTGTGGAGTGACTGCGACCCCTAGACCCACGGGCCTAACGACTGGCACTCACAGTGCAGTAGCCGTGGTGGCATCTCTACACACCCCATCTTCCTCTTCAAGTTATATCCTTCTGGTCTTTTGTCCCTTTCACTGATTTTCCATAATTGTATTGTTTTATTATTGGTAGACAATACTGAGCAGAATTTTTCTCAGGGAAACCACCTAGCTTTGTTGAACTTTTCTTCTCTTTCTAAACTTTTCAAGTGGTCAAACTCTGGCTCATCGTTCTGAAAGGTCCTGTAAACATGGTATTCCCTTCTGCTTAAGATGGGATTTTGTTCATCTGCTCCTGTTGAAGGATTATGACTCTGCCACCTGTATCTCCAGTTCCTACTAATTCTCCAGAATGAATAAGTTCTACTGGGGAAGAAAAAAGCTAATGAAATAGTTATGGTCAATAGTTATAGAAAAATTAAAATTCCACACCACTCGTGACATCATCTGCTACATCGTCATCTATTGCTCCTTTCACCTGAGAAACCTCTACTGAGTGTCATCCCTCCTCCAGCTCCTGCCATAGGGAAACAAAAATACACATATGGCCCCATTATGTTTCACCTTGTGAAGGGCTCTTCCTTCTCAGCGCAAAAATATCTGTACATACACCTAAGAAAGCTTGCAGCAGGGGGTAAACTACTTTCCTTGACCTAAATGTTGGTTACACATTATGATTCTGAAAAATTGACTGAGGTATACACTCATAATGTGTGTACTTGGCCATGTGTTAGCTCACAGAAACTGTAACTAAAAACTTGCAAATACTTAAAAATGAATATACTTCTAGGTAACACATGGGTCACAGGAGAAACTGAGTAAAAATATCAAAATTCAAAGATAAAAATATAGTATCATCAAATACATATACTGCAGGCAAAAATGAACACAGAAGGGAAGTTATGACCCTATAGTGTAATATTACAGAGGAAAGGTTGAAAATTAATCCTAAGCACCCATCTTAAAGAACAAACTAAATCCAGACAAAAAGGAAATGATAAAGAGAATTAACAAAATAGGAAACAAATATAAAATGGACACGATCAACAGAGCTAAAAATTAGTTTTTGAAAATACAGTCATCCTTCAGTATATGAGGGTAAATTGGTTCCAGGACCCCAAGTGTGCTGAAATCCAGGCATACTAAAGTTCCACAGTTGGCCTTGTAGAACCTGCATACAGGAAACGTCAGCCCTCCATCTGAGCAGGTTTTGTATCTCATGAATACTGTATTTTTGATCTGCATCTGACTGGAAAAATCTCTATGTATACATGGACACACACAGTTAAAACCTGTGTTGTTCAAGAGTCCACAGTACTAATAAAAATCACTAACATTCATCCTGGCTAACAGGGTGAAACACTGTCTCTACCAAAAATACAAAAATACAAAAAAAAAACACAAAAAAACAAAAAAAAAACACTTTGGGAGGCTGAGGCAGGCAGATCACGAGGTCAGGAGATCGAGACCATCCTGGCTAACATGGTGAAACCCCGTCTCTACTAAAAATACAAAAAATTAGCCGGGCGTGGTGGTGGGCCCCTGCAGTCCCAGCTACTCGGGAGGCTGAGGCAGGGGAATGGCGTGAACCCGGGAGGTGGAGCTTGCAGTGAGCCAAGACTGCGCCACTGCACTCCAGCCTAGGCAACAGAGCGAGACTCCGTCTCAAAAAAAAGGCCGGGCACGGTGGCTCACACCTGTAATCCCAGCACTTTGGGAGGCCGAGGCGGGTGGATCACGAGGTCAGGAGATCGAGACCATCCTGGCTAACAGGGTGAAACCCCCGTCTCTACTAAAAAAATACAAAAAAAAAAAAAATCACTAACATTTGGCACACTGGTCAAGAGAAAAGAGAATTCATAATACCCACTGTTAAACAAGAGGCATCATTATGGAACTTACAGACATGAAAAATATGAGTGGATAACAAGCATATTGATGACAAGAAATTTGAAAATTCCAACGAAATGCACTAATTCCTAGAAAAACACAATTTACTTAAATTGACTCAAGGAGAATTAGGAACTTTAAACAGTTCGATGTCTAATAAAGATATCAAATCCCTAGTTTAAAATCTTTGCACAAAAAACTTACTGGGCCTAAATAGTGTCACTCCTGAATGCTACCAAACATTTAAAGAAATAACCCCCATCTTACAAAAAATTTTCCAGAGAAGAGAAAAATAAAAATAATTTACAACTTGTTTTATGAAACCAGAACAGACCTGATTTACCAAAATGTGGAAAGAGCATTACAAGAAAAAAAACTTACAGGTCCAGCTCTCATATGAACATAGGTGCAAAAAACCCCATGCAAAATAGTAGCAAACTGAATTTACTTACATATACAAGCTACCTTGTATCACTACAAAGTTGAATTTGTTCCTAGAATCTAACGTGGGTTTCAAATTCTAAAAATAAATGCAACTCACCACATTAACAAAATAAATGAGAATAATTAAATGATAATCTCGACAGCTATAGAATAAGCTAATAAAATATTTATAGTCAATAATCACAGAAAAATTAACAAAATTCAATACCATTCATGATGATTAAAAAAGAAACCTTAGCAAAAACTTGATGCACATATAATACTTGATGAAATACTGGAAGCTTGACCCTGAAATTAGGAAAATGACGAGGGCGCCAGCTAATGCCACCGTTTCTCCTCAGCACTGTACTGGAGGTCCCAGCCAATGCTGTAAAAAAAAGGAAGCGCATAAGGAATAGAAAGAGAGATCTAAAGCGTCCTTATTCAAAGATAACATGTTGGCGTATGTAAATGTTCTAGCAGAATCTACACATAAACCAACAGAGTTATCAAGTAAATTCTGCAAGGTCACTAGAGACAGTTAAGAAAATCCATTGCATTTTTATATACTAGCAATAAGCACTTGAGAAAAATTGTTTAAAACTACAATAGTAGCAGTCCAAATCATTGAATACCTAACAGAGATACTAACACTGTTGCACAAAGCCTCCCTAAAGAACAGTAAGTCCACAATAACAATCCCAACAGGATTCTGTGTCTGTGGAAATTGACGACATGCCTCCAAAATTTATGCGGACATGCGAAGATGAATGTAGGCCAACTGGTGTATCAGACAACCCCCAAATCTCAATGGCTTATTGTGGGGACACTTGTTTCTTGCCCATACAATAGTTCAAGACCAGGCTCAGTGGGTGGCCTTCCATACAGGCCCTGGGCTCAGGTCACCCCGCCCCCAGCAGCTCTGCCCTGTTCTCCAGGGCTTCTGTGGTGACAGAAGGGCAGTGGAGGGCTGTCCAGGAGGCTGTTTTTATGGGCCAGGCCTGGAAGTGGTCTTCATTGCTCCTGCTTGCATTTCAGCATGGGAAGGTAGGTGGGGAGAATGAGTACAGCCAGGTGCCCAGGAAGAAAGGGAGCAGGCGTGGTGATGACTGCCCAGCCTGGCCTGGTCTGCCATTCTGGTCACTGGTATCCAGGTCACTCCTCCCTTAGACAGAAAGTCACTCCCCCAGAGTGGAGCGCCCCCACCACCACTGTCACTGGCCCAGCTCAGATGCTGGGGCAGCATGTGGCCCCTTCCCTCGGGTCCCGATTTGGCCTGCAATCTATGAGCTAGAAAGACAATGAACGTGTCTGCATCCTCGCCATGACCTGACATCTAATGGCGGCACGGGGCAGGACAGCTAAGAAACACTCCCCACCACACCAAGGGAGGAGGAAGAACACAGGTGCACGTCATGAGGCATTTGAGGATGGGTGCTGGGGGCTCCTCCCCCAGGGAGAGCCTGGGCTGGACTGCAGCTCTGCCTTCTGGAGGAGCTCTCTTGTCTGCTGTCTCCAGGCCCTGGTTCTGCCTGCTGGGGTTCCCATCAAGTGAAGCGAGGCAGAAGTGCTGCCTCAGCTTTCAGGGCCTTCACCCTCAAGACTTATCTCTTACCACTTGGAACTCAAAAGCAACTGGCGTGTCCATGACTGTGGGGCATCCTCGTCCTTCACCTCCTTACTGTGGCTACTCCTTTCCACGTGTGTGTGTAAAAACCGGCCCGGTCTAGCTTACACTCTCCCTCCTCAAGGAGGCAGATGCAGGGGGAGCACAGCTGCTGCTCTGCTCCGCGCTCACCGGAGTCTCCCTTCCTGGCGGCCCAGCCACCCACCACATCCCCAGGCACTGGCTTCAGTCTGCTCTGCTCCCTGGCCATCCACCACCCAACCAATACGGTGGTGCCCTATTCTGTGCGTTCAATCGTAATGGAGCATTATAATGACAAACAAATCAATATATAAAGATATCTCAGGTGGTGACACACACTGCGAAGCAGAATAATCCAGGTCAAGGAACACAGCGTCAGAGGGTCACTTTTACATGGTAGTGTCTGTCACAATCAGGTCTGGGGAAGTCCACTTACAATGTGTTTTGTTTTAAAGAAAAAACAACATGAGACTGGAAACCATCAGAGGGTACTGCACTAAGCGAGGATAAGAACTGCTCTGTGAAACTGATTTCACCGAAGTGCTCACACACGGATGCACCCACGTGCAAGTGCACATGCTGGCATAATATAAAGCGTCCTTCCACCGCAGGTCAGGGTCAAAGAAGCCAGCATGAGCCAGAGCTGTTGGTGATGTCTCCTCACATTCCATAGAGACTTAAGGCTGTGGGGGATGGAGCCTGTGGCCATCTGGGAGGACATTCCAGTCAGAGGGGACAAGAAAGCCAGGCACTGAGGCGGACGAAGACCCTGGCTCCTGCAGGGGCTGCAGGCCAAGCTGGCTGCCTGGGGACCACGAGGCGGCCAGAGGCCAGGCCACAGGGCCTACATGCATGGGGGACTTTGGCGCTTACTCCTGGAAAGTTGGGATGCATTTAAGCAGATCCCTCTGGCTGCAGGGTGAAGAGGCTCTAGGAAGCCAGAGTGAGAGGAGGAGGAAGCAGCAGCTCCTATAGGGGGGTGAAGCAACAGGGAAGGGAAGACCAGCATTCGGAAGACACTGCGGAAGAAAGAGCCCACACGGTCTGTGATGGTTTAGAGAAAGAGAAGCAGGAACAACTTCTACATGTTAAACAATTTTACTTACACACACACACACACACACACACACACACACACACACACAGTCACTCAGACACAGAGAAAAGAACACACGCCTTTTTAAACACCAATCAAATATGAACAATTACTGTGTATTAAACCACAGTGAAAATCCTGATAATTAAAAAACCCACATAGCCATATTCTCTCATCAGAATGCCATAGGACTAAAAATTAACGATGAAAATGACAGGGAGCTAAAAGCTAACCACTTAGAAACTAAAGCATATCCTTTCAAATAATTCCTGAGTTAAAAAAATAAAGACATATTAGAGATTATTTAGAAATCAGAGAAAAGCGGTACTCAAAATGATACAGAATAGCAGTGCACAGAAAGACACGGATGGTCTTAAATATACTTACTAGGAAACAAGAAAGTAAGTAAATGACCTGAACATTCCACTCAAGCTAGAGAAAGGTTAAGGGCTCACCAGCCTCCAGCCCGACCGTGTACAGGGCTTAGTGCGAGGGTACCGTGCGAGGAGCAGAAGCAGGCAGGCACTGAGCCTCTAAGCTGCCACATGTGTGGAGGAAAAGAAAGTATTTTCTGTTAAAAGTGCAAACATTTATATCTTTTGCCCTTGCTTTTTCATTACTTCAGGAATTTATGCCACAGAAATATTCTTATAAGTGTGGAGAGATATTGGTTAAAAATGTTCACTGGAAGGTTGTTTGAAACAGCGAAAAACCGAAAAAATCCAAAGGCTCACTGATAGGAAAATACTAAAATATAATGCAGTCCTTTTAAGAGTGAGTGTGCCCAAAATATAATGTCAACTGAGAAGATACCATTTTTTTTTTTTTTAGACTGAGTCTTGCTCTGTCGCCCAGGCTGGAGTGCAGTGGTGTGATCTCAGCTCACCACAGCCTCTGTCTCCTGGGTTCAAGTGATTTTCCTGCCTCAGCCTCCCAAGTAGCTGGGACTACAGGCGTGTGCCACCATGCCCAGCTAATTTTTTGTATTTTTAGTAGAGACGGGGTTTTACCATGTTAGCCAGGATGGTCTCGATCTCCTGACCTCATGATCCGCCTGCCTCAGCCTCCCAAAGTGCTGGGATTACAGGTGTGAGCCACTGCGCCTGGCCGAGAAGACACCATTTTTATGAAAAGGTAAATCACAATAACACACATAGAATAGGTACCAAACTCCTGGTCACTGTCATCTCTGGGAAACAGGATCTGGGGACTTACACTTTTTTTTTTTTTTTGAGACAGAGTCTCGCTCAGTCACCCAGGCTGGAGTGCAGTGGCGCCATCTCACTGCAGGCTCCGCCTCCCGGGTTCACGCATTCTCCTGCCTCAGCCTCCCAAGTAGCTGGGACTACAGGCGCCCACCACCACGCCCAACTAATTTTTTTGTATTTTTAGTAGAGATGGGGTTTCACTGAGTTGGCCAGGATGGTCTTGATCTCCTGATCTCGTGATCCGCCCATCTTGGCCTCCCAAAGTGCTGGGATTACAGGCATGAGCCATCACGCCCGGCAGGACTTACACATTTGCCATTATAATTTTCTGTACTATACGAATGTTGTGTAACTTTGTATTATGTTTGTAATCACAAAAAAACAACTATTATATTTAAATCATCAGACCAAATGCACATTTTGGAGATCAGGCAGAGAAAAGACCAATCATTTGTTTATACCAATAACAAGTTAAACTGAATATTTTATAGAGAGAACAAAAGGCATTGTTTTAAGCCTGCAGCAGTAATTGATTTTAAACTTACTTTATGAACAACACTCTTAATTATATATGACCCCTATACAAATCCAAACTCTATCACCCTCTTAAGGTGCCTGTATTGTGCTGCAGAAATCTATTTAACCCACTTTCATTTCCAGGAACACAGCACGATTCAACAACCTAGGAATAAGGTCAATCTATAGCTAAGAAAGTTTTAAAAATTAAGTTTTAAAAACTAAATCCTAACTGCATTTTGATTACTCAGATATCTTTGTTAACGGAGCAAAGTGACTGAAAATTTTAGACACCACAAATGACTAAAAATTAAATATCAAATTTAAAAGGAAATATGACTGTGATTAAGATGCAGATACGACACATTTCAACTTACATGCTTTGAAAGCAAAACTGTACGACAAGGAGCTTTACAAATCAAGCATTCATTCTTTTTACCTATAAAATAAAAATAGGCTTTATTATATTAGACTGACTACTACTTTTAAATATGTATACATGCAGACTTTACAATGTTTCTCCAAGAAATAGGCAGGATTGTATCACTTACAGGTTTTCATGTTCTGACAGGATGAGGCTGTGGGTACTGGTACAGTTGGAAGGATTTATAGAACTAACATTCTTTTCCCCTCTTTTGCAAATATGTACAAAAACAGTGACCATAAAGATCAACAACACTTAAGGCTAAGTCTATCCCAGGTATTTATTACAATTAGGCTTTTTTAAAATTAAAATTAAAAATTTTTTTTGAGACAAGGTCTTGTTCTGTTGCCCAGGCTGATCTGCAAGTGGCATGATCACAGCTCACTGCAGCCTTGACACCCCCGGGCTCAACAGTCTTCCCCTCTCAGCCTCCCTGAGTAGCTAGGACCACAGACGTGTGCCGCCACAGCCAGATAATTTTTAAATTTTTTTGTAGAGACAGGGTCTCACTATGTTGCCCACACTGGGCTCGAACTCCTGGGCTCAAACAATCCTCCCACCTCAGCCTCCCAAAGTGCTGGGATTGTAGGCGTGAGCCACTGTGCCTGGCCATAATTAGCCTTTTTTTTTTTTTTTGAGACAGAGTTTCACTCTGTCACCCAGGCGGGAGTGTAATGACGCGATCTTGGCTCACTGCAACCTCCACCTCCTGGGTTCAAGTGATTCTCATGCCTCAGGCTCCCAAGTGACTGGGCGTACAGGTGCCTGCCACCACACCAGGCTAATTTTTGTATTTTTAGTAGAGACAGGGTTTTGCCATGTTGGCCAGGCTGGTCTTGAACTCCTGACCTCAGGTGATCAGCCCACATCGGTCTCTCAAAGTGCTGGGATTATAGGCATGAGCCACCATGCCCAGCCTATGATTAGGCTTTATAGTGATATCTTAATCTAAAATTTTTAACTATTCAAAATGAACCTCAAGCTTGATTTTCTCACTAGTCAACTTGGAGCCCAGGGCTGACCAGGCACTATGAGCCTTCACACTCCTGTCATTCCAGGGAGGACATCAGGTCCAAACCTGAACAAGCCCGGTGGCTTTGTCCCCTCCTCTGGGCCAGTGCAGCTAAGAACTAGGAAAAAAACATCCCTTAAGTGAGAGGTGGATTCACAGACTTGAGGATTCCAACGCTGCTGAGTCAGCAACACTGCTGGGCAATCCTGCTTTTCCTGGGTATTTTCTGCCCCATTCCCCATGGGGCTGCTCAAACCAGGGCCCTCATATCATCTACTCAGAAGCAGCCCTGGCTCATGACCTACCTCAATTTCTCTGCCCTCTCCTCTAGACTGACCCACCACAGAACAACCCACTTCACGCTACCTCCTTCCTTTCTGCCTTGGAGGCAGCATCTCTTCCAGCCCAAGCCCAGGCTTTCACTTGTGTATCCATACTCGCCTCAGTGTCCGCAGCTCCCAGCACACAGAATGGTGTCCTACTGTGGGGTGAGGGGGTCCCCTTCTAACAGCCTCCAGAATTGTCTCCTTTCCTCTCTTCTTCAAGTTGCCCTCATGCTAAAAACATCTACCCTTGACAGTAGGTCCCCTCCCTTCTAGCTCTTTAAGTGCAAATTCTGCAGCAAGAAAATTCCTCTTATGCACCATCACAGCTAGGAGTCATGCAGTAAAAGATTAACAGAGCCGACTCATAAAAATCGAAAAGTTCTTACAAGGGAGGAGGATTAACAGACATGACAGAGAGGAAATCACGTGCGGCCAAAAGACAAAGGGATTGATGCCTGATCTATAAATAGTGCTCACTAGTCAATTAGAAAGAAACACCTCAATAAAAGGCTATGAGGAGACCTGAATAGGCATAGGAAAAAATGCAAACAGCCAATAAACACACAAAATGAAGGTCAAGGTCACTAGTAAGAGACACCAAAGAGGAGAAAACAACAGGTGCTCACGTGTCACTACAGGGAATAGAAACAGGCACTTCCTTTGTGCCTGTTTGGGTCGCATTTGGGTCAGTTTTCATGTGCACATCCGCAGCCTAGCCACTCCACCCCGAAGAATATATTCCAAGGAAAAAAATCAAGTAAGAGAACAAGTGGTGTCTCATAGCAAAACGGCAGAAACTATGTTATGGTATGATAGCCAAAAGATGTATCATGCAACCTTAAGAATGATGATACAGACTTATTTTAACACGGAAGGAGGTCTATGTTTGAGTAAGTAATAAAAGCAGATTACTGAATGGTAGACACACTATTGCTTTTGTTTTAAAAATCTGCATCTATAGGAAATGCTTGGAAGGATATACACCAGAGCTAAACAAGGGCTTCCCTCTGAGTGACACACCACTGGACAGCTACAGAGCTACAGTCAAGGCTCTGCCCAGAGCCTCCACCCCTTTTCACCACTTTTTTGTGTGTCTTTGGATTTGGTGTGGTCCCGACATGCAGCATCTGTGGCTTTTTGGAGGAATGCACTCAGACTACTGGAATCTGTGTTGACCTCAGGCTTTAAGAGCTAGGCAAACCTGTGAATCTATACCTGCCCCAGGCCCTTAACCAGTCACCTGCCAACGCAGAGTATGCTGACCTCAAAAGCTATGACGCTCTGAGCCCTGTCTTCACACTTCCCAGCACCACGAAGGCACACGCGTCTCCATCATTCCTAACAATGTTATCTTCGGGGAACATTATCTTGGGTCACCAGTGCCCTCCTCACTGGTCCAATGGACACTTTCAAACACCAATTCCTTGACTTCACTGGGATGTCCAGTTCATCAACATCTCTTTTTTACCTGACATCTTCTTTACCTCCTTCAACAAATGCTCTTTCCAACAAGATAGTCTCTTCTAGTTTCCTTCACCTTTGGGGCTCTCCACACTCCAATATCTAGGATTATAGGATTATTATCCCGTATTAATCGCTCCCCAAATGTGTTCCTGGCTGTCTTGAGTTCCAGACCCACATGTGCAACTGCCTCTTGTCTTCCCCTGGATGGCTCTCACAGGATACAGGCCGTGTCCAGACATGAGCTCAGGGGCCCTGCACCCCACCCTGCTGTGCCCCACCCTGCTGGGTTCCCTCCCGCTGGGCTCCTCTCCAGTGTTTTGTCTAGCAGTGAAACCCTGTCCAGTTCTCTAGCCCTTGTCTCCGACTCATGTCTGCTGAATCTACCTAACTTCTCCTGAACCTATCACTTCTCCCCATCACCTCTCATGTGCTCAGCTGCAGTCTCTCCCACAGTTTCTATCTCCCTCCAATCTACTTTTCACCTCGCTGCCCGAGACACTTTTGTTTTTAAATACACACCTGAAATCAACAACTCCACTCCCAGGTTACACACCCAACAGAAATGTGTACCTAAGATCACCGAAGACAGGAGCAAGAAGATTCACAGTAGCATTATTTCTGCAGCCAAATCTGCAAACAACCCAAAGGGCCATGGACAGTGGAAACGATGAGTAACTTGGGGTGTATCCATACAATGGAACACCACACAACAATGAAAGTAGATGAACTACAGTTACATACAAATACAATGATAAACTTTGCTAATCCCACATTTCGGGAGGCCAAGGCCGGTGATTGTTAGAGGACAGGAATTGGAGACCATCCTGGGCAACAAAGGGACCCCATCTCTGTGAAAAATTAAAAAAATCAGGGGTGCGTGGCTGCACATGCCTGTAGCCCCGCTACCCTGGAGGCTGAGGTAGGAGAATCACTTGAGCCTGGGAGGCGGAGGCTGCAGTAAACCGAGATCCCGCCACCGAACTCCAGCCTGGGCGACAAAGCTGAGCTCTGCCTTGAAAGAGGCAAAGAGAAGGAAGGGAGAAAAAGGAAGAAAGATGGGGAGCCACAGAAAGCGGCTTTGCTGTAGGGCTGGTTGTAGGGCTGCATTCACTAAGGCTCCATGGGTCTAAGGCCAACTCCGAGGATGGAGGTCAGCACAGCTGGCGTCCCCTGGGGCTGGAGGGCTGTGAGCCACCGGCACCCAGCTGGCTGCTTTCACGGGGAAGTTCGCTTGGTAAAAGCTCACTGTGTTTTTGCTTTTGTTCTTGCATAAACATCAGTTCAACACAAAATTTTCACAGAAAGAAAAACGCCTCCCTGACAATGCGACTGTCCACTTGACACCAGGGCCCCGCGCTGCCCATGGAATAGGGCCAGAGTCCTCCACTGGCGTTAAGGTTGCCGCCTGCCCGCTTCTCCCCCAGGTCCTCCAGGCGGACCCGCAGCCTGCAAGCCAGAGCCCCCGACTGACAGGACTCGTGGCCCGACCCCTGTGTCCCCCTCATCTTGCATCCCGCTCCCCCCGGCGGCCCCTCCCCTCCACGGCCCCTTCCTGCCTGCGGACCCTCCCCCACGCCCTCCTCCCCTGGCGTCTCCCCTCCCCCCATCTCCTCGGTATCCCCCTTCCCCCCCAAGCCTTGACCCCCCACATCCCCCACCTTGCCCCCCTCCTCTGGCGTCCCCTTCCTCCCTGCAGCCCCCCACCACCTCCGGCGTCCCCTCTTTCCCCACCCTCCCGCAGCCCCTCACTCCCCCGCTCCCTCCCCACCGCTTCTCCAGTGTCCCCCTCTCCCCACGGGCCCCTCATCACGCCCGCGGCCCCCACTCCCCGGTGGCCCCTCCTCCGAATACCCCTACCTCCGCGGCCTCTCACCCCCCCATGCCCCCCCCGCTCCATGCGCCGTTTCTCCCCCTCGGCCCCCCACGCGCCCCCGCGGCCCCTCCACCCCAGGTCCCCCTCCCCTCAGAGTTCCCCTGCTCCTCGCGGCCTCTCCCCTGGCATCCCCCTCCCCCTGCCCCCTCCCCCTTCTCCACGCGCCCTCTCTCCTCCGCAGCCCCCCACGTGCCCCCATGGCCCTCCCACCCAAGTCCCCCATCCCCCGGAGTTCCCTGACCCCCTTGCCGCTCCCCTCCCCTCTCCAGCCTGCGTTCGGGAAGCCCTGACCTTTGCCGAGGCAGGCGTCGCAGTACACGTGCCCGCAGTTGGTGAGGCTGAAGCACGACGTCCTGTGGGGCGGCTGGAAGCAGCGATTACAGAACACCCAGTTGGCCATGCCAGGCGGGCGACCGCAGCGGCGAGGCCGGGCCCACGCGAAGCCCACGCAAGGTTGGGACCAGCCTCCCCGCGCAGGGCCCGAAGGCGGGCAGCTCTGCGCCTGCGCAAAGTCGACGGCAGCCCTGCGCCCGCGCACTGGAGCTCGCGCCCTCCCGCCAACCTCGCGGGTTCTCCCGCAGCACCTGGGAGGGCGCGTGTGACTCGTCTCCCAGGTCGTTTGGGCTGGAGTAGGCGGAGGAACGCACCGCGAGCACCAACGTCCCGCCCCTGTCTTGGCGGTCCTCAGGTGTTTTGTGGAAGCCGGGCCTGGGTGGCGGGCGCGGGGAATGGCGGCTGCGCTGAGGAGGCGTCGCGGCGCGACAGCAGTGGGGGAGGGGGAGGGGGAGCGCCGAGGGCGGGGGATGCGGGCCAGGCCCACCTTGAGGGCCGGGAGCTGGGCCGGAGGCCAGGGCGGCCAGGGTAGTGCGCTGGGCGAGGCAGGGGAGGAGTAGGGGAGAGTGGGCGTGGGGGCCCTGGGGGCCCGGGGAGCGGGATAGGAGGGAGGGAGGGATAAGTGGGTGTGGGAGTTGGGGTGGGAGCGGGAGTGGGGATGTGGGAGTTGGGGTGGGTGTGGGGGCGTGAGGCGGTGGGGGTGGGGTGTGATGAGGCGGTGGGGGTGGGGGGGGCAGTTGGGGGTGGGGGCCAGGCCGCGCTGCACGCTTTGGGACTAGTGTCCAGGTGGCCGCTGGCGCAGAGACCTCAGCACGGGAGGCCTGAGCCTGCTTCCCTCTGAAACGGAAGGCGTAGCTCGGGAAGGACCTCTGCTGCTTCCAGGTTCCAGCATGGGGAAGTGACTTTTTATAAAATTGTCCTCTGCGTGGTTTTGAGAGTTTCCACCCGCTGGGACGCTGCAAAGCTCGGATCGAGAGGCTCAGGCAAGTGCTTGTGCCGGGAGAGCGCAGGGTGAGCGCTCCCGGTAGCTACGGGCCAAGTGACCCCTGCGCCCCGAAAGATGTGAGTAAAATACAGCTGTTTCCAGGGCCTCGTATGAAAACCTTCTTAGTAATTTTATATTGATTACATGTTAACATGATATTTTTGATATATTAGGTTAAATATATATCAGTAGCGTTGATTTTACCCTTTCAAAAAATCCTTTTCAATGTGGAGACTAGAAAACTTAGAATTACGTATGGGCTGGGTGCGGTAGCTCACGCCTGTAATCCCAGCTACTCCGGAGGCTGAGGCAGGAGAATCGCTTGAACGAGGCGGAGGTTGCAGTGAGCCGAAATCACACCACTGCACTCCAGCCTGGGCAACAGAGTGAGACTTCGTCTCAACAACAACAACAGCAAATTAGAATTATGTATGTAGCCCACTTTTATTTCTGTTAGACAGTGCTGATCTCTACCAAGTTTAAAATAGCAAGACCAGCAACGTGGCAAAACCCCGTCTCTACAAAAAATACAAAAATTAGCTGGGTGTGGTGGTGGGCCCCTGGGGTCCCAGCTACTCGGGAGGCTGAGGTGGGAGGATTGCTTGGGCCCTGGAGATCGAGCCTGTGGTGAGCCTGACGGCACCTGTGCAGCAGAGCGAGACTCAGTCTCAAAAATAAGTTTAAGAATAGGATGAGGTGCCTAATCTATCAAATTCAGAAGCTGCATTATAAAAGCATTCTCTCAATGTTATAATGATATAACGTTAATCTCAATCTCTGGTATCTTTGAAATCATAAAAATAATACACATATATGCAGGTATTTTGATTTATTAACTCAAACATTATGCAGATTATTTGTCCTTATTGATAATATTTTAAACAATCTTCTTAGCTATAAAGAAGTCTTTCAGGTACTTCATTTGGAAAATTCCGACTGAGATAAAGATTAATATTTGTGCAAAAGCCCACCATAAAACATTGCTATTTGTATCTTCACTGGTCGTTCGAAAATTTTCTTCACGGTCCTATGCGGAAAAGAAGTAGGTTTAGTGTCATAAAGTACTTAACTCACGATTTTGAGGGGAGGGTTGTTGTGGGCATTCAAGGTATTTAATATTACCCAATTAATATCTTACACCAACGTATCCGTGCAGTCTGCTTTTCTAAACCAGAATCTGTTGCTTAGCCAAGTATAAGAGAGTAAAAATCAACCTTATAAAAGATGGTTTTGTATTTTGGTGTAAAATATCAGGAATTTGACCTATTCGTATATTTTATTTGCTACCATCAGGCAAAGCGAATATTACCCAATAGTGGTAGATTTCATCATTTGAGTCCAGCCTTTATGCCAGGCATTAGGCCAAGCACTTGCATGCCTTATTTGCTTGTCACACCTGTCCTTATCTTCCTGTTAAGGAAACTGAAGCTTAGAGATGACACAGATTACTGACAGGTAGTTGAGATTTAAGCCCATATCTGACCAATATCCACTTAGTGTAGTGACTCAAAAAGCACCTAATGTCATAAGAATAAAATTGTGATTTGGAAAGTGAGCATACGTGAGCCTCTACAAATACATGGGATGCATTTGGAAGCATTTATTCATTCTGCAAGCTCACACCCTGTGCTACTGGGGACTTCGTTAGGCACAGGGCATAAAAAGATGAATGAACTGAAATTCTGTTTCCTAGAGGAGTTCATAGTCCAGCCGACAGAGTGAAGAAAAATTGCTCTCTCTAGTCCCTGTGAATCCACACCGTTCTACCTCAGAGAGAAAGTGAGGAACAGGCAGTTCACTCTTTCCTTGGTCCAGGGGCTTTGTGTTGAGAAATGCGTTGCTGGTAGCAAGAGATAAAATAAGTTGAATAGGCAGACTGACCCTTTGATAGTTTTGTTCTTTGACTATTTGCTCAATTTGTTCAATTAGATGTTCAAGCTTGAAGGTAAGTTCATTAACTTTGTCCTTTGCTTGAGCAATGGCCGCATCAAGGTCGTGTTCTCCAACTCGAATATCTAAGTGGATCCGCTGTACAAACAGTAAAAAGGAAAAAACGGCATGTTTTTAAAAACAGCTCCACTCTTTTTCCTTACTTTCTCACTCTTGTATCCTCGTCCTTCCTTTTTCTCCCTTCCCCCTTTTCATAAGCAGGGCGTTGCTTCACTCTTCAGCTCCCTTTTTTCCCTCACTGCCACTCTTTCTTATTCTACTTGGTAGTCTTTCTTGTAATAATAATGCATTAAATGGTAAATTACTGACCTTATAGTATATTTATACCTTCCTGAACATGAAATTAACTATTAGGTAAATGACTTTGGTGTGGAGAAAATTTGATTAATGTTCTGAGGGAAATTTTCTTTACATATAACTAAATTTCTTAAGCTAAAGTACAAATTGTTTCCATCAGTTCCGAACACATTTAGAAAATAGCCAGTCACCATCTACCGTGTAAGAGTTTTATTTATTAGAATTCCATTATTAATTCACCCTTCAGCCTTCACTTGTTTTCAAGCCTCAATAATCACAGCTCTTTTAACCTTCCCTCACAGCTCTTATTTTTCAAACCCTTTAATCAACTTCATGGCTCTCCTTTGAACCCCTTCCAAGCTCTCCAGCTCCCTCTTTGGTTGCTGCGCTGAGATCTGGGCATAGGACTTTAATAAGTTTCTAGCCAGTTTGAGTGTAATGGTTCTGCATACCAATGTCATGCTTGAATAGTGCTGATGCTGTGTTCATCAACAAGGACATGGGAAGCATATACTCACCAGCCTACTCCCTCCAAATTACACAAGCCTTGTAGAATTAGATTCTAAGCAAATGGTGTGTTCACCAGGTGAATGTGAAGTAAAATAGAATGTCCCTTGCGGGCCGTATAACTTCGACAATATTACCTAGGATTAAGGATTTCCATAAATTGAGTTTATTATTTTCTAGTTTCCATTCT
This sequence comes from Homo sapiens, assembly GCF_000001405.40. Taxonomy (NCBI): domain Eukaryota; kingdom Metazoa; phylum Chordata; class Mammalia; order Primates; family Hominidae; genus Homo; species Homo sapiens. Next base: position 1,117,327 of record NC_000004.12, read on the forward strand.
TAAAAATAAATCTCTACAAATTATCTAGCAAAAAATTGTGCCATTCCTAAAACAAGAAATCAAATGGCTAATAAACATGAAAAATATTCAGCCTTGCTAGTAATTAAAAAATTCAAACTACAGTAAGATAGCCCTTGTTCATTGTCAGATTGACAAAGATTTAAAAGTATCCAGGGATAGTATGGACAACTTTTGTCCCACAGAATATCCAAGAACTGTGGGACAACTACAAAAGGTGTAACTGGACACATAATGGGAGTACCAGATGGAGGAGAAACAGAGAAAAGAAGAAATATTTGAAGCAATAATTATTGAGAATTTTTCCCCAAATTAATGTCAGATACCAAGCCATAGATTCAGGAAGCTCAGAGTATACCAAGGAGGATTAATCCCTTCACCCCCTCAACCCCAAAATGAAACCAAAAAGCTACACCTAGGAATATCATTAAAACTGCAGAGAAGCAAACACAAATAAGAAAATCTTGAGCAGCCAGAGGGGGGAAAACCTTACTTACAGAGTAGCAAACGTAAAAGTTGCATCTGACCTGTCCTCAGAAGCTATGCAAGCAAGAAGAGAGTAGAGTGAAATATTTAATGTATTGGGAATAAAAAAATGACCAACCTAGACTTTGGTATCCTGCAAAATTATCCTGCAAGAGATAAGGGAATAAAGCCTTTCTCAAACAAGTAAAAACTGAAGGAATTTTTTGGTGGTAGATCTGCCTTGTAAGAAGTGTTAAAAGAAGTTCTTCAGAAAGAAGGAAAATGATGTAGGTCAGAAACTCAAATCTGCATAAAGGATGAGCATTAGAAAAGTGGAGGTAAAATTAAAACTTTCTATTTTCTTATTCTTAACTGACCTAAGAAATATCACTTTATTCAAGATAATAGCAACAATGTATCGAATGGTCATATTTTACCTGTAAGTGAAATTAATGAAAGCCATGATAAAATCAGGGGCAGCAGGGAAGAATTAGGAATATTTTGTTAATAAAAGGCACTTGCGGCTGGGCATGGTGGCTCACACCTATAATCCCAGCACTTTGAGAGGCTGAGGCGGGTGGATCACCTGAGGTCAGGAGTTCAAGACCAGCCTGGCCAGCATGGTGAAACCCTGTCTCTACTAACAAATGCAAAAAATAATTAGCCAGGCGTGGTGGTGGGTGCCTGTAATTCCAGCTACTCAGAAGGCTGAGGCAGGGAGAATTGCTTGAACCTGGGAGGCAGAGGTTATAGTGAGCTGAGTTCACGGCAGCCTGGGTGACAGAGTAAGACTCCGTCTCAAAAAAAAAAAAAAGGCACTTCCTGTGAAGTGGTAGTGTATAGTGTTATTTGAAATTCGACTTGGACTAGTTGTGAATGTATATGGCAAACTCTAGGGAAACTTCATATGCTAACAGAGAGCACGGAATCACAGAAAATGCTCAATTAAAACCACAAAAGGCATGAAAAAGAGGAGAAGAAAAAAATAATGAGGGCAATGAATAGAAAATGGTAACAAATATGGCAGATACTAATCCAGCTATATAAATCATCACTTTAAATGTTAATGGTCTGTGTCCTTGGCCTGGGTAGAGTGGCACCTAGTTGGTGGTGCCCATATTAGCCAGGGACAAAGCAACCCTTTGTTCATCCCAGCTTGGCTTTTGATCTGTACCTATACCTGGTTCATGCCTTAGACACATGGAAAAAAAATGTCAATGGTCTAAATACACCAGTTAAAAAATAGAGTGGATCAAAAAAATGAGACCCAATTATATGTTGTCTATAAGAAAATCATTTGAAATGTAAAGACACATAGATTAAAAGTGAAGGGATAGGGAAAGATACATCATGGTAACCTTAATCAAAAGAAGGCTGGAGTAGCTGTATTAATTTCAGGCAAAGTAGACTTCAGAAGCAATGGAAATTATCAGGGATAATTACATAATGGAGCAATACATAATGATAGGAGGGTGAATTCTCTAAGGAGACAACAATCCTTAACATGTATGCACCTGACAATAGAGCATGAAAATATGTGAAGTAAAGCCTGATAGAACTGCAAGGAAAAAATAGATGAACACTTTATTATAGTTGGAGTTTTCAGCCCCTTCTGTCAGAAATGGACAGATCCTGCAGGCCAAAATTAGTAAGGACATCGTTGAACTCAGTGGCACCATCAGTTGACTGGAGATAATTGACACCTATGATTACTTTATCCAGTGATAGCAGAGGACACGTTTTTCTCAAGTTCACATGGAACATTCGTCAAGATAGACCACATTCTGGGCCATATATCACACCTTAAAGAATTTAAAATAATAGAAATCATACACTGTATGTTTTCAGGCCTCAATGGAATTAAACTGGAAATCAGTAACAGAGAGATAGCTGGAAAATCGCAAAATACTTGGAGATTAAACAACACACTTCTAATTAACACATGGGTCAAAGAAGAAATCTCAAGACAAAATGAAACTACAACTTACCAAAATTTGTGGGATGCAATAAAAGCAGTGACTAGAGGGAAATTGAAAGCATTGAATCCATATACAGTTGGCTGTCTATAATGCCAGGTTTCACATCCATGGATTAAACCAGCCATGGATTGAAAATATTTGAAAAAAATATATGTGACAGAAATAATACAAGTGAAAAACTACAGCATAACAACGATGCAGCATTTACATTGTATTAGATATAAGTAATCTAGAGGTGATTTAAATTAATGGGAGGATGTGTACTAGTTACCTGCAAACTACACCATTTCATATAAGGGACTTGAGCATCTTCAGAATTTTGTATCTTTGGAGAGTCTTGGAACCAATGCCCCACAAATACCAAGGGATGACTGTATTAAAAAACGAGATCTAAAATTAATAATCTAAGCTTCCACCTTAGGAAACGAGAAAAAGAAGAGAAAATTAAATGCAAAGTAAGCAGCAGAAGAAAAATAATAAAAACTATAGCAGAAATCAATTAAAAACAAGAAATAGAAAAAAATCAACAAAACCAAAAGCTGATTCTTAGAAAAGATTTAAAAGCTTCTAGCCAGGCTAAGAAAAAAATGAAGATGACACAAACTACAAATATTAGAAACAGAAGAAGGGGCATTACAAATCCCATGGACATTAAAAGAATAATAAAGGAATACTGTGAACAAGTCCATGCCCACAAATTTGATAACCTAGGTGAAACTGACCAATTCCTTGAAATACGCAATCTAATAAAATACAAGAAGTAGGCAGTCTGAATAGGCCTATATCTAGTAAGAGGTTGAATCAATAGAAACTTTCCAAAGCAGAAAGCACCAGGCCCAGATGGGTTCACTGGTGAATTCTAACAAACATTTAAGGAAGAAATTGTGCCAGTTCTCTACAATCTCTTCCAGAAGATAGACACAGAAGGAATACTTCCTGATTCATTTTATGAGGCCAGCATTACCCTAATACCAAAACCAGACAAAGACATTATAAGAAAACTACTGATCATTATATCTCATGAAGATAGATGCAAAAACCCTTAACAAAATATTAGCAAATGAAAATCCAACAATATGTAAAAAGAATTATATACCACAACCAAATGGGTCTTATTACAGATATGCAAGACTGGTTTAACATCAGAAATCAATTAGTGTAATTCATCACATCAATAGGTGAAAGAAGGAAAAATCATACCATCATATCAATAGATGCAGAAAAAACATTTAACAACAGCCAACACCCATTTATGATAAAAATGCATCAAACTAGGAATACAGGGGAACTTAATTTGATGAAGAACATCTACAAAAAACCTATAGCTAATACACTTACTGGTCAGAAACTAGAAACCTTTTCTTGGTGGACTGGAAGTCCTAGCTAATGCAGTAGAAGGAAATAAAGAGTTTGGGAAGGAAGAAATAAGCTGTCTTTGTTCACAGGTGACATGACTGTTTATGTATAAACCCAAAAGAATTGACAAACTGCCAGAACTAGTAAGTGATTATAGTAAGGTTGCAGGATACAAGATGAATATAAGAAAGTGAATCACTTTCCTATATACTAACAATGAACAAGTGGAATGTGAAATAAAAAGCACAGTATCATTTACATTAGCACGCTCCCTCAAATTACTTATTTATAAACCTAACAATATGTGCAAGACCTATATGAGGAAAACAAAACTGGTGAAAGAAATGGAGAGAAGTCCATGTTCATAGATAAGAAGACTTATTATTGTCAAAATCTCAGTTCTTCCCAACTTGTTCTATAGATTCAACAGAATCCCAATACAATTCTAGCAAACTATTTTGTGAATATTGACAAGCTGATTCTAATATTTATATGGAGAAACAGAAGACCCACAATAGCCAACACAATATTGAGGGAGAAGAATAAAAGAGGACTGAGACTAACCAACCTTAAGATTTACTGTGAAGCTACAGTAATCAAGACAGTGTGATATTGGTGAAAGAATAGACAAATAGATCAATGGAACAGAATAGAGAGTTCAGATGTTGTTTCAGGCAATTTCGATTTTCAAAGAATGAGTCTTCTATGTGTTTTAAAAAAAACAGTGAATGGGTTTTAATGTGATAGTTTTTGGCCCAACTAAAATTTGGCTCTGGGTTTAATGTGCTTTGGAGACATTTTCAGATGGTCATTAAGGATTATTGGGAAAGTATAGAATTGGGGTTTGATATAACAAGGAACAGAAAGTATGGGCTAGAAGCATAGATGTGGGTGTGTAGGGAGGAGAGGGTAGCTGTCTTGACAAGTGGCTGGAGCTAGGAAAACAGTCCCAGTGGAATTATTGTCAGTGAGGTGCCAAATGTGCCGAGAGATAACTATTGAACAGGTGAAAATCAAGTGTCCAAAAATCCAACTGGATTGGAGTCTTCAGCACAGCTCTCTGTCTCCACATAAGTGGGGGTGTCACAGTGTCTTCCTGAGCTTGGGCCAACCAGTTATCCAGTTTCATGAGAATGGGAGTCCTGTCCTGCCTACTTCAAGCACCCTTTTCTTGCCAGCCAGAAAGAGGCCTATTCTATTCTACAAGTCTTTGGTCCACCACCATTCTGCTACCCCATGAGCACAGCTCCAGGACTAGATTTGAGTTAGTGGGCTGAGAAATTCATTGTCTTGAGCTTACATGGTGGGGGATGGATATCTCTGTTATATCCATTGTATATATGAGAAAACAGCATCAAAGCAGTCAAATAACCCGTCCAAGGTTTTAGCTTATATGTGACAATCCATGCTTGAGTTTGATTCTGACTCCAAAATCCATATTCTTTCCACATTTCCTGGTGACTTTTGTACTCCTCTGCTAACTCCTGGTGAGTAAGAGGTATGTAAGACCAGACAGTCCCAGAGGCTGCTGCATTATTAGAGAACGCCTATGCCAAAATGGGAGGAGGGAGGAGTTGGCTTATCTGACCCTTGTGCTTGGGTGGGGCTGCAGCACCAGCAAAGTAGATGGGGCCTGGTTGGTGTAAAACCACAGGATGCTTTGGCCTTAAGGTCCCTTTTGCCTAGCAAGATCGGCAAACCTGAAGATGACAAATCTGGGAATCCTCATTTCATTTTTTAAAAGCTTTTTGTATTATGAAGCCTGTCTCTGCTTCTCAACTAAACTATAGGCTCATTGAGGGCAGGCACTTTCTATGTTTTTATGTCATGCTATCATTCAGTGCTATATGCATTAAAAATTGTTAATTCTGGTTAGTGAGTGCTTCTGTAGAGATTTTAAAACTGGGCTACATGATGCCTGAATTTCTGGCAAATGAAAAATTTTAGTAACAAAGTATAAAAGAATGTTTTACCTCATCATTGTAAGTTGTAATAGTCACAAACATTCCCAAACCAGGAGCAGATTCAAGGAACGTATGTCTGCCTATGTCCCATTGCTGTATCTTGAAAGTCCCTGTTTCAAAAATGTAAGACATTACAACATGTAAGAAACAGTAATAATGTTTATTAGATGTTACTGTTAAATTAAATGAATTTATCTTTCTCAGTTTACCTAAATCGTAAAACACTCTTAGTCTGAACAGCTATAGCTTGGTGATTAGGTATCTAACAGAGTAGAGGACTCTGGAGTATAGAGGAAGACTTGAGTTCTTCATTTCTCACTCTCGTTTACTAGGTAACTTGACAAATTATTTCACCACTCCAAGCCTCCATTTCCTATTCAGAAAAATAGGGGTAATATAGATCCCTCTCAGATCTCAGTTGTGAGAACTGCCGAAAATAAGCCTATGAAAGGTTTCCACCTAGAATGTAAACTCCATGTGAGCTGCCACTAAGAGATGGAACTCTTGGACCTTTTCCGAAACCTCCCCAGTAGTTCTCCCTGCTTTAACTTCTTTCTCCTGTAACTTGATCCCATACACTTCCAGCAGAATTCCTTGCTAAAATATCAGTGTAGTCATGTCAAATCTTTCGTTTCATTGTCTCCAGAGGTTTCTGCTGAAGGTTGGATCTGAAGGAGTCTCTGGCTATCTCCCATTAGTATGTGTTAGCTATCATATGACTTAACTTCCCTCATGTGCCCTTGAAAGGTACAGTGGGAATGAAAACCAGGTAACATTTGTTGGACCCATATTATGCGCCAGGCACTGTGCTAAACACTTAACATGCATCACTCTTGTATAGATTTATGTAACTATAATATGTGCTTATAAAGTACAAATATTATAAAATTTTATAAAAGTGGGAGAAAAGGCACTACACTGTCTGGGTTTGAATCCTGACTCTACTGCTTGCTAGCTATGTGGGCAAATTAATTTTTCTATACTTTAGTTTCATTATATCTAAAATCGTTATAAAAGTAGTATTTACCAGCTGAGCACGGCGGCTCATGCCTGTAATCCCAGCACTTGGGGAGGCTGAGGCAGGCAGATCACTTGAGGCCAGGAGTTTGAGACCAGCTTGGCCAACATCGCGAAACCTCATCTCTACTAAATATACAAAAACTAGCCGGGCGTGGTGGCGCATGCCTGTAATCTCAGCTACTCAGGAGGCTGAGGCATGAGAACCGCTTGAAGTGGGAGGCAGAGGCTGCAGTGAGCTAAGATCGTGCCACTGCACTCCAGCCTGGGTGACAGAGGAAGACTCTGTCTCAAAAAGAAAAAAAAAGTAGTATTTACCTATGTAGGGTTATTGTCATGAAGAGTCAGATGTTTGTAAATTGCTCCATTAGAATGGTGCTTGACATAGCACTGAATAAATGTGTTATATGTAAATATATATAGATAACACGTATAAATTATACATATATACAGTTGTGCCTCAGTATCCATGAGGGATTGGTTCCAGGATGTCCTCAGGACACCAAAATCCACAGATGCGCAAGTTCCTTATACTAAATGGCATAGTATTTGCATATAACCTATGCACATCCTCCCATATACTTTAAATAATCACTAGATTACTTATAATGCCTAGTACTTAAATGCTGTGTAAATAGTTGTTATACTGTATTGGGTTTTTATTTGTATTTTTATTTTTGTATTGTTATTTCTTATTATTTTTTCCCAAATATTTTCCATTTGCATTTGGCTGAATCTGCCAATGCAGAATTTGTGGATATGGAGGGCCCGCTGTATACACTCACACACTTTTTAGTAACCGAGGTGATTTTTCCCTTACTACCACATTATGTTATCTCCATCTGGAGAAAGGAAATTCCGTGCAGGGACATATGCAAAAGTCCTGAGGGCAGGAGGATGCTTGGAATATTCAAGGAGCAGCAGAATGGCTGGAGTGAGGTTAGCAGGGAAAGAATGGTAGGAGGTGGGGTTGAAAAGATAGCAGGGGCCAGATCATAGAGAGTCCCGATGTCCATTGTAAGGATTTGGGGAAGCAATTGGGTAGAGAAGTGACATGATGTGACTTTCCTTTTAAGTTTCTTATTGTTTCTGTTATGTGGAGAAAAGGATGAAGAAGGGTCAAGGGTGGAAGCAGTGACACTATTGTAATCTAAGTGGCTTAGACTATGTGATTATAGTAGAGGTTGTAAAAAGTTGTTGGTTTCTGTACTATTGTATTTTTTTAATTTTATTATTATACTTTAAGTTTTAGGGTACATGTGCACAACGTGCAGGTTTGTTACATATGTATACATGTGCCATGTTGGTGTGCTGCACCCATTAATTCGTCATTTAGCATTAGGTATATCTCCTAATGCTATCCCTCCCCCCTCCCCCCACACCACAACAGTCCCTGGTGTGTGATGTTCCCCTTCCTGTGTCCATGTGTTCTCATTGTTCAATTCCCACCTATGAGTGAGAATATGCGGTGTTTGGTTTTTTTTCCTTGCGATAGTTTGCTGAGAATGATGGTTTCCAGTTTCATCCATGTCCCTACAAAGGACATGAACTCATCCTTTTTTATGGCTGCATAGTATTCCATGGTGTATATGTGCCACATTTTCTTAATCCGGTCTATCGTTGTTGGATATTTGGGTTGGTTCCAAGTCTTTGCTATTGTGAATAGTGCTGCAATAAACATGTGTGCATGTGTCTTTATAGCAGCATGTTTTATAATCCTTTGGGTATATACCCAGTAATGGGATGGCTGGGTCAAATGGTATTGCTAGTTTTAGATCCCTGAGGAATAGCCACACTGACTTCCACAATGGTTGAACTAGTTTACAGTCCCACCAACAGTGTAAAAGTGTTCTTATTTCTCCACGTCCTCTCCAGCACCTGTTGTTTCCTGACTTTTTAATGATTGCCATTCTAACTGGTGTGAGATGGTATCTCATTGTGGTTTTGATTTGCATTTCTCTGATGGCCAGTGGTGATGAGCATTCTTTCATGTGTTTTTTGGCTGCATAAATATCTTCTTTTGAGAAGTGTCTGTTCATATCCTTTGCCCACTTTTTGATGGGGTTGTTTTTTTCTTGTAAATTTGTTTGAGTTAATTGTAGATTCTGGATATTAGCCCTTTGTCAGATGAGTAGGTTGCAAAAATTTTCTCCCATTCTGTATGTTGCCTGTTCACTCTGATGGTAGTTTCTTTTGCTGTGCAGAAGCTCTTTAGTTTAATTAGATCCCATTTGTCAATTTTGGCTTTTGTTGCCATTGCTTTTGGTGTTTTAGACATGAAGTCCTTGGTTTCTGTATTATGTCCCCATCGTACAGGTTGGAAACTGGTTCTCAGATAAAGTCACATAACCAAGAAGTTGTAGAGGCAGAATTAGAACTAAGGCAGTCTGATTCCAAAGCCTGGAGCTACTAGCTCCATTATCACAGTGCCTCCCTGGAAGGCAAGAGAGAGACAATTCCCTGATAGGGCTTGAGAAGGGAATGTGAGGCTGGATATTGGCCACAAGGGCATCCCATGGAATATGTACTCTCTGGGAGACAACTAGAGGGAACACTTCCAGGGATAAGAAAGCTGCAACTAACTTTCAAGCTCTGCCTGCACTGTAGAGTGACCTCAGTCTTAAGGCATCTTTCAAATAGTTCTGGCCCATCTCTCCCGCTCTTCCCATCCCAAAGTTTGTTAACTATATGTGTAATGTGTATTCAGTACTTTTTAGTATGATCCATTTTAAGAAGGTTTTAAAAAAGGTATCACTGATGGTTCTGGACAAGATGGGATAGGTCCATTCTGTCCTATTTCTCCTGCTGATTTCAACTAAAAATCCTGGGCAAAATTTATAAAGCAACTACCAGACGACTCTGAAAGAAGATAGAGTGGCCAAGGACCTCAGGACTCATAGCACAACTCAGCAGTGGGTTATCTGTTTGTTTTCTTCCTCCTGTATATCCTGGTCTGGGTGCTATGGCAGTCTGCAACCTACAATTGCAGACCAAAATTTTGAAAAGAACCTAATGTCTCCAGCCAAAAGATCTGGAATAGGATGCCCTGCAAGATGAAGCTTCTTTGAGTATACCTCCCTGTATTAGGCTGTTCTTGCATTGCTGTAAAGAAATATCTGAGACTGGGTAATTTACAGAGAAAAAAGGTTTAATTGGCTCATGGTTCTGCAGGCTTTACAGGAGGCATGGTGCTGGCATCTGCTTGGCTTCTAGGGAGGCCTCAGGAAGCTGACAAGCATGGTGGAAGGTGAAGGAGGAGCAGGCCATAACATAGCAAAAGGAGGAGCATCAAGACCAATGAAAGTTTCAATAAGAAATAAAAAAAGCAGGAGCAAGCAAGAGAGAGAGTGGGGGGAGATGCCACTTACTTTTAAGTGATCAGATGTTTTGTGAACTCAGAGTAAGAGCTCACTTATCACCAAGGAGATGGCCCAAGCCATTCGTGAGGAATCCACCCCCATGATCCAAATACCTTTCACCAGGCTCCACCTCCAGCACTGGGGATTAAAATTCAACATGAGATTTGGGTGGGGACAAATACCCAAACTATATTACTGCCCTACTCCAGATGAACACCTTAAAGAAATTGCACCCCTCCCACTGGATGCTTCAGCATGGAGACTGTGGGGTGGCGCCCTGTCAACATGCCCACCGAGCACTAAGTGAAGGACAATAAAGAGTCAGTGTCTCTACACTAGAGACTTGGGGAGGATTTCAGAGAAGAGAGAACTGGAGAGAAAAATCTTTAACTCTGTGTATGAAGTCCTGAGCACACCTCTGAGCAGCTCATGCTTGAAACTGACCAGAATCAATAAAGCAGAAACTTTGAGAATTCAACTATGGTGTGGAATACTGCCTAGGTTTCAGATTAACCTCTAGGTAGCACACAAACAGGGTGGATGGAATACTACTCGGCCATAAACAGAATGAATTAATGGCATTTGCAGCAACCTGGATGAGATTGGAGACTTATTCTAAGTGAAGTAACTCAAGAATGGAAAACCAAACGCTGTATGTTCTTACTCATAAGTGGAAGCTAAGCTATGAGGATGCAAAGGCATAAGAATGACATAATGGACTTTGGGGACTCGGGGGAAAGGGTGAGAAGGAGGTGAGGGATAAAAGACTACAAATTGAGTGCAGTATACACTGCTTGGGTGATGGGTGCACCAAAATCTCACAAATCACCACTAAAGAAGCTACTCGTAACCAGACACCACCTGTTCCCCAGTAACCTATGGAAAAAAATTTTTAAATAAATTATAACAATGCCTGATACGCTTTTCATTGTATGCAGAGGTAATATTTAAGACAACTATGTTATAAAGAATGGGAGAGCAAAGGGACTTAAATGGTGGTAAGGTTTCTGTATTTCTCTTGAAATGGTAAAATATTGATATTACTAGACTGATAAGGATGTGTATGATAATCCCAAGGGTAACCACAAGTAAAAATTATAGAAAAAGATAAAGCGAACAACACTATAGGTAAATCAAAATAAAGTAGTACAAAATGTTCAAATAGCCCACAGGAAGGCAGGAAATGGAAAACGGGAATAAAAAACAGGGGAAGAATAAAAATAAAATAATAAAACGGCAGACCTAAATCTTGACATCTGTAATTACATTACATGTAAGTGGTCTAAACAGACAAAGATTATCAAAATAGATTTTTTAAATGACCCAATTATAATGCAGTGTACAAGAAAATCACTTTGAATATAGTGCTACAGGCAGGTTAAAAGTAAAAATATGAAAAAAGATATACCACTTTGACATGGGTTTTTAAAAATCTTGAGTGCCTATATAAATATCAGACAAAGTAGGCTTCAGAGGGCTGGGTGTGGTGGCTCATACCTATAATCTCAGTGCTTTGGGAGGCCGAGGCAGGAGGATTACTTGAGGCTAGGGTTTAAGACCAGCCTGGGCAACATAGCAAAACCCTGTCTCTACAAAAAAAAATTAAAAGTTGGCCAGGTGTGGTGGCATGCACCAGTAGTTCTAGCTGCTCAGGAGGCTGAGGTGGGACGAGCCCTTGAACCTAGGAGTTCAAGGTTAACAGTGAGCTATGACTGAACCACTGTACTCCAGCCTGGGCAACAGAGTGAGGCCCTACTTAAAAAAAAAAAAAGTACACTTCAGAGCAAAGAAAATTACCAAGAATAAAGAGAGACATTACACAATAATAAAGGTATCAATTCACCAAGAAGACAACCACCCTAAATGCACCAAACAAGAGAGCTTCAAAACGTGGAGTAAAACTGACAACTGAAAGGAGGAGTAGACACATCCCTGTTTATACTTGGTACTTCTGTACTCCTCTCTTGGTACTTGATAGAACTAGACAAAATCAGCAAGGATGTGGAACAACTAATTAGCATCATCAACCAACAGGACCTACTTGCCATTTATAGAACATTCTCCTATACAGTAGAATACACATTTCTTTTAAAGTGCATTTGAGGCATTCAGCAACACAGGCAACAAAGCCCTAAAGGTGATGAGGCACCTTTGCTGAAGTAGCTGAATGTTCCTGGAGAGAAGCGCACAGTGAGGCTTTCCAAGTCACTTTCCAAATATATCACCACCTAAAAATCACAGTTATGTGTGCTCACTATTCTCTAAAACAACTGGTTCATGTGTGTCTTTTCTCCTTAGCCTCTTTCAGTACTTTCCTGCCCCTACTCCCACTTCTCAGATGGTTACCTTGTGTCTTATGGAAATGGTAAGAGTCTCCACCTGCTGTGGCTTGAATGGCTCCCCTGAGCTCATGTTGCTATTTAATTGCTATTTTACCAGTATTCGGGGTGGAGTCTTCAAGAAGTGATTGGGTCATGAAGCCTTCACTCTCATGAAGGGGTTAAAGCCATTGTGGGAGTGGGGTTCTCATCAAAAAGATAAGTTTGGCCTACTTCTCTCTCTGTCTCATGCACTGACTTGACCTTCCACCGTGGGCTGACCCTTGCCAGATGCTGGTGTCATGCTCTTGGACTCTCCTGCCTCCAGAACTGTGAGCCAAATAAACTTTATAAATTGCCAAGGCTGTGGTACTCTGTCAGAGCAGCAGAAAACAGAATAAGACACCATGTTTTCACCAGCAAATGTCCTAACCCCCCCACGTTTACCCTTTCTGGCTCCCGCTTGTTGGGATGGGTGGGGTTCCCTATTCTGTCAGTGGCCACCCCCTCTTATTTTATAGGATTTTGCTCTTGTTGCTGCCCCCACTTGCCCATATGGAGCTAATCTTGTCAGCATACCCGCATGTTCTGGTGGCCCCCCTTGTCTGTATTCCGTAAGGTACTAGAGGGCAGGAAATGTATTTTATTCCTGTTTCTTTGGCTGTCTAGAGCCTGGCAGTAAACCTAGGGTGGTGTTTGGCTCCTTGGTAGGGGCTCAATACATCTTTGTGGAACGAATGAAAGTGTGTCCTACAGTACATGCTCAGCAAATGATTTTGAATGAGTGAGTGCCAGTTGCCCCCCCTCCTCCCATTAAAATGCCAGTATTCCTGGCATACTACTTTGAGTTATCAGAATGGAGGAAGAGAATTTCTGCTTGATTTTGCCAAGATCCTCCAGCCTTAAGCACACGCCCCCTCAGGTGTCATGCGCCATGGCTGCCACTAGATGGCAGAAGAGAAGCATTGCTCCTGGGGAGAGTAAGCCTGGGGGAGCACTCAGTGCAGTGTAGATGAAATAATCGTGTAACAGGAGGTGTCTGTACAGAACGCAGATATCCACGGATGAGATGCTGTGTCTTGCTTCTCACTGCGTGGTGAGAGAGGCTGCTAGGAACTGGGATGGAGCTTACTAGCTGTGCCGTCTTGGACAAGATACCGAGCTGCTCAGTGTGTTTCCCCACCAGTAAAGCAAGTATAATCATGGCATCTCTCTTAGGGTATGAAGAATATGTGGCTTAATAGTTGTGTGCTATTTAACACAGAGATTAGCACCTTGTAAATGAAGCTCCGTGTAAGTACTTGATACATAATTCTTTACATTATTATTAGGCTTTTAACTCACAAAGTTTTTCTAGCGACATTCCCATTTAACCCCACAACCCTGTTAAGCAGGTCTAACAGTACCCAATTTTAGAGAGGAGGGGCCTGAGGCCTGAAGAGGCTGAGATGACTTATCTAAAATCCAGATAATACGTGGCAGCTCCAAGATTGAAATTTAGCAGGGCTGATTCCCAAATTCAGGGCATTGGCCACTAAAAGCAACACCACTACTCCCTACAGACTTGGATGTGGGGTGTGTGTGTGTGTTGTAAACCAACTCCACATGTTGTTCTTGCAGAGCCTCCAGGTAGAGGCCTTACTCCTCTTGGGTGTTCAGTAAACACTGGGTGCCAGGAGCATCTAGACCCTGTGGGAGGGGAGCTGCACCAGGGATGCAGATGCTGTCCACCAGGCTGCACCTATCCTGGCCTCCCTGGTACCCTGTGCCCACCCTTGATAAGGCAGCCAGCCTTTCCCTGTGATCCCTGGCATGGCTGCCCCATTGGCTCCAGAAGATGAGTCCTTGAGGTTGGCATTGTGGGTCATTTGGGTTGGTATTAGAAAAGTAAAACATTCATTGTAGGGAGTTTAGAAAGTAAAATCTCCATTAGAAGTTTTTGGTATTTCATATTATCCTTTTAGCCTTTTTCCTGTAAGTACATTTTTATATTTTATAAAAAATGAGATCATACTGCACATACTATCCGTAGCTTGATTTTTCCACCTAATGTTTTGTGACTGTCTTTCTGTTTTAAATATTCTTCTGTAAGCTAAATTCAGGTATATTCAGAGAGCTGAAGAAAGACCCAACATTATCTTCCCAGTGTTCAGTATGGAGCTTGGCAGACACTGAGGGTCATTCTGTGTTTGAGGAAAGGATGAGGCAATGGGAGGCCCTGTGCATGGTGGTTTAAGGCAGAATTATCTGGTTGACCCTGGCTCTGGCTCTACCACTCCCAAGCTGTGTGATCTCAGGTGACTTTACAAAACCTCTCAGAAGTAAGACGAGGATAGTAGCAGGCCCTATGTCAGGGTGGTCATGGAGATTAATCAGTGCATTCCCTGAGAACACTGCCTGCCCATGGTCATCACTCAAAATGTGCTAACTACAATTAATTCATGTCTAACTAAGACAGAATGGGGTAAGTGACAGAAGAGGGATGATGTTTACTTAATTTCTTCAATGCCTCCTTATTGATCTTAGAATGAAATCCAGATTCACTAAAGAGTTCCTCAGTCCTCTAGGACCTGGCCCTTTTTTCTCATTGATCATACTGCCTGCTCCTATTCTGAGGGTAACAGGAACCTCGAGGAGGGTAAGTGACATTTAGACTGAGACTCCAAGGGTGAGGGGAGACTTCCAGGCTGGGGGACGGGGTCTGTAAATTCCCACTGTCATGTGGGAGGAAAGATCATCCAGCGGGTCCTGAAATTGGCTGCACGTTGGCGTCATCTGGGGACCTTTACATGCTGCTGATGCTCAGCTTCTGCGCCACGTGCTCTGATTTAGTTGATGAGGTGCAGACCTGGGCATAGAAAGCAGTTGCTTTCAAGAGTAGCTGTGAACATGGTGATCTCTTCTAGAATGTCCCCATTTCCCAGGAGGATATTCTGTTTCCCTATAACGTTTTGAAGAGTCTCAGTAGAAGCAGCCTGTTTTTGACAAAAAGATCGTCAGAGTACAGCTCAGCACATTCTCACAGACAGAATCGCCCTGGTCCAGACATCGTCAGCATCCTGGAAGCTGCCATGCCACCTATCACTACCCCCACCAAGGGAGCCACTACGCTGACTTCTAAATACAGATTATTTTTGTCTGTTGTTGTGCTTTATATAAAAATGTATGCTCTGTGTCTGGCTTCTTTTAATCGACATTTCGTGAGTGCCGTCTGTGTTGCTGTATGCCCATGTAGATCACTGTCATTGCTGTTTAATACTGCATTTTTGAATATACAACTATTCTTATACATTTGCCTATTGATGGGCATGTAGGCAGTGTCCAGTTTGTGGCTATTTCACATCGTGCTGCTATGAAGACTCTCGTGCATGTCTTGTGAGCCAATGCGTGCATTTGTGTTGGACAGTTCCTGTTTACCCGGTCATGGGGTGTGCCCACGTTCAGCTTCGGTAGGTGGGAAACGGTGGTGCCTGCTCACAGCCCACAGTGTGTGGGAGCTCCACATCCACGTGTATGCTTATTTTCTGTTTTGTTCATTTTGGCATTTGGTGAGTGTGTAGTCACATCCCAGTGGGCTTTGCTTTATGTTTTTCCTGATGATTAACAAACTCAAGCACCTTCTCATCCACTTCCTGGCCATTCAGGTCTCCTCTCGTGTGAAGCCTCTTAATCTCCTGCCCATTTTTCTATCCTGTGAATACGGGATAGCCCTCTGTGACTGGTTGGTTGTTTTCAATGTAGACATTATGCACATTTACCTTACATTTATTCTTAGATGTGTGTCATTTTTCATCACCAAAGAGAAACGATTGAAAGGGCAGACACTTCCCCCAAGTCAGCATCTTTAGACACCATGAGTATTAGCAAACGGCCTGTGGTAAGGCCAGGTATCAGCAACACTCCTGGGGTGAGAGCACTTTGCCTTGGCCACAGAGAAGACAGTTGCCGTGACTTGGGCCCACAGGGCTGTAGTGGGCACTGCTGATGACCCCTTGCCCGTAAGGTCCCTTCCTGCTCTCTTAGCCACCCCTGGCTTTGGCATGCTTGACTGCAGCTTGTGGCCTTAAAGGAGGCCTTGGGTGCTGGAGCCATACCCTGCACAGAGGACAGGAAGAGCCTGAGTTGAGGTCTGTGCCTCCTCAGCCTGAGCCAGTGCCAACGAATGGGATGTGAGTACAAATGCCCGGCTCCTTTGCCTGGAGGTGGAACAAGCTGTGGCATATCTTATCCAGATTTTATTTTATTACTGTTTTTTGAGACGGCGTCTTGCTCTGTCACCCAGGTTGGAGTGCAGTGGCGCAATCTCGGCTCACTGCAAGCTCCGCCTCCCAGGTTCACGCCATTCTCTTGCCTCAGCCTCCTGAGTAGCTGGTACTACAGGCGCCCACCACCACGCCCGGCTAATTTTTCTTTGTATTTTTAGAGACAGGGTTTCACCATGTTAACCAGGATGGTCTCAATCTCCTGACCTCGTGATCTGCCCACCTCAGCCTCCCAAAGTCCTGGGATTACAGGCGTGAGCCACCGCATCTGGCCCTTACCCAGATTTTTAAAAAATGTTTTTAAAAAGTGTGGTAAAATATACGTAACAGAAAATTTACCATTTTAACCATTTTAAGTATACAATTCAGTGACATTAAGTATAGCCACGTTGTTGTGTAACCATCACTACCATCCATTTCCAGAATGTTCTCATCTTCCTGAGCAGAAAGTCTACCCACTTAAGCAATAACTCCCATCCCCCTGACTCCCAAGAGTCTCTATGTGGCTCTATGGATTTGACTCCTCTAGGTCCCTTACATGTAGTATCATACGGTATTTCTCTTTTTGTGTCTGGCTTATTTCACTTACCATAATATTTCCAAGGTTCATCTGTGTTGTGGCATGTAACAGAATTTCCTTCATTTTATGGCCGAATGATATTCCATTGTATGGATGGACCACATTTGTTTATCCATGCATTTGTTGATGCACACTTTCTGGCTGCTGTGAGCATTGATACATAAGTATCTCAGTCCCGGCTTTTAGTTGTTCTGAGTATGGATCTAGGAGCAGAATTGCTGGATCTGTAGTTATCTCATGCTCCTGGGCTCCTCCAGGGCTTGGGATGAGTCTGGGGTTAACCTGAAATAATGCCCTTGCTTGGCCTCTTCCTCTCCCTTCTCCTGGGAGCATTTCCTTAACAAATCACTTGCACTTGAATCCTTGGCTCAGGGTCTGCTTTGTGGAGCACCCAACCCAAGACAATCCAGAGAGGCGGTGAGGCCTCCCGTGAAGACAGGAGTGCGGTCTGTTTGCCCCAGTGGAATGATGGATGATGACCCCCATTGAACTCGCCCTCGTCTTCCCTGTCTAGTCGCTAAGACTTGTACTTTGAAAAATAGACAAAACTACGGGTGTTTTGCAGAATGCTTGAGATCAGGAGACCCTTTGAAAGGGAGCATCCAGGAGCACATGTTTTCGCTGATTAGTTTTGAATTGTAAACATTTTATGAACAGTCTGCTGCATTATGATCACTGTGCTTCATGGTGATTCTCCCTTTTTAACAGTCCCTGCTTTTTATAAGGGACTAACACATTTTTTTTTTTAAAGTGCACCAAGGACTAGAAAGCAAGTGGCTTTAAAGGCTTTAAAACTAAAACTTGGCCAGACACGGTGTCTCACGCCTGTAATCCCAGCACTTTGGGAGGCCAAGGTGGGCAGATCACCTGAGGTCAGGAGTTTGAGACTAGCCTGGCCAACATGGTGAAACCCTGTCTCTAAAAAAATACAAAAATTAGCTGAGCATGGTGGTACATGCCTGTAATCCCAGCTACTAGGGAGGCTGAGGCAGAAGAATTGCTTGAACCCGGGAGGGGGAGGCTGCAGTGAGCCAAGATTGCACCACTGCACTTTAGCCTGGGTGACAGAGCGAGACTCCGTCTCAAAAGAATAAAAAAACAAAAACAAAAAAACTGAAACTCACTAGGCAGGTGGGAAGAACGTACACAGTTACCCACCACCAGCGTCTTCCCTCCCTGTTCCTCTCATCTCTACCTCTTAAATTTACCATCAAAGTTGCTTTATCCGTTTTTTTTTAATTCAAGACAATTGAATTTATTGTTAAGGGACATTAATAAGAAGGACTAAGAGAAACAAGATAAAAAATACAGAATATATTTGGCTTAGGAATTTCCAAGTAAGTTTACAGGGCAAGGATTTCTTACCCCAGGTTTGTCAGCTGGCACCGTTGGCAGATGCGCAAGCCCTGTATCTTCCCCCTCTCAGTGTCCAGTTGGGGAATGCAGGCCTTTCTCTGCTTCTGAAGCAGCTTCTCTTTCTTTCAGAGAGAGCTTTGAGCCAGAGTCAGAGCCACACCTGCGTCTCTAGTAGTCTTAAGCTACCCAGAGGCCAAGGGGAAGAGAGGGTGGGAACCCACACCGACAGAGCACCTGCAACATGTCAAGGGTGTGCCAAGTGCTCTGCTGCTCCAAGGCTCATGTTATCTTCAGTTTACAGAGAAGGAAACAGACTCAGTCACCCAGCTATTAGGCAATTAAGGTGGATGTCATAGCTTGTGTTTTTGTCGACAAAGCCTGTTTTCTATCCTAAGTAGTCTCGGCTACCTCCACTTGGGGAAGATGGAATATCAATCTCTTGCAGACTATTTTTAGTCCTAATGAGAAAAAACAAACTTTTAGGTAGATTTTGATGACTGGCTCTAAGGTCATCTCTCTATCTCTCTTGAACTTACTTTCTTTTTCTTGTTTTTTGTTTGTTTGTTTGTTTGTTTGTTTAGACAGAGTCTCGCTCTGTTGCTCAGGCTGGAGTGCAGTGGCACCATCTCAGCTCACTGCAGCCTCCACCTCCTAGGTTCAAGCAATTCTCCCACCTCAGCCTCCTGAGTAGCTGGGATTACAGTTGCCCACCACCATGCCTGGCTAATTTTTGCATTTTTAGTAGAGATGGGAGTTTCACCATGATGGCCAGGCTGGTCTCAAACTCCTGACCTCAGGTGATCCACCCACCTCGGCATCCCAAAATGCTGGGATTATAGGCGTGAGCCACTGTGCCTGGCCTCATTCTTCTAAATAAGGTTCATAACAGCTGAGTAGGAAACACCCCCTAAACATCTTTTTGTTATTAAAAGCAACATTGATTTGTGTACCCCTGTAACTCCAGTAATATTTATTTTCTTAAAGTCTATTTTATGCTATCTTTTTGTTCTTATTTGCGTGGTATGTCTTTTTCTATTCTTTTACTTTCAGTCTTTCTGATATTTAAAGTTTTCTTTTGGAAATAGCTGTTCTTTATTTTTTGTTTTTTTAATCTAGTCTGACAATCTTGGTCTTTTAATTGGAGTGTTTTGCCCATTTGCACTTCATATAGTGTAAAATATATTTAGGTTTAAGTCTACCATATTGCTATTTGTTTTTCATTTGTCCTATTTGTTCCTTGTTCCTTTATTCCTTTCTTGCCGTTCTTTGGATTAATCAAGTTTTTTTTTTCCATTTTTCTCTATTAGCATATTAGTTATGCATTCTTTTAGTACAGTATTCTTTTATTGATTACCTTGGTAATAATATGCATCCTTGTTGCGATACCTTCTTCCTTAAATTAGCGTATTTACTACTTGCTGAACATTGCAAGAATCTTTCAGCTGTTTAACTGCGTTTACCTGCCTTCCTCCTTTGTGCTATTGTTGTCGTATATTTTACTGCTACATGTGTTATAAACTCCACAAGTCAATATATGTATATGTTCATTTCCCTTCGACTTGAAGAGCTCCCTTCCATATTTCCTGTAGTACAGATCTGATGGCGAAACAATCTCTTGAGCTTTTGCTTGTGTGAAAATTTTTTTATTTCACTTTCACTTTTGAAGGATATTTTCACTGAGTACCGAAATCTAGAAATCTAGCTTTGTATTTTTTCCTTTATTTTTTAAACTTTATTAGTTTTATTTTATTGTGGCCAGAACACAACATGAGATCTACCCTCTTAACAAAATTTTAAGTGTACATTACAGTATTGTTGACTGTAGGTTTGATGTTGTGTAACAGATCTCTAGAACTTATTTATCTTGCTTAACTGGAACTTTACACTCATTAATTAGTAAATCTTCATTTCTCCCTCCCCCCAGCCCATGACAAACCACCATTTCACTCTTCGATTCTACAAATTTCATTGTTTTAGATACCATATGTAAGTGGAATCTTGCAGTGTTTGTCCTTCTGTGACTGGCTTATTAGCATAGTGTCCTCAAGGTTCATCCATGTTGCTTAAGATTGCACAATTTCCTTATTTCTTAAGGCTAAATAATATTCTATTGTATGACTATACCGTATGTTCTTTACTCATTTGTCCATCAATGGACATATAGGTTGCTTCTACATTTTGACTATTGTAAATAGTGCTGTTATGAAAATGGGGTGCTAATATCTCTTTGACATCTTGATTTCAATTATTTTGGGTAAATACCCAGAAGTGGGGTTGCTAGATCATATGAGGTTCTAGTTTTAGTTTTAGTGTTTTTTTGGTTTGGTTTTGTTTTTGTTTGTTTGTTTGTTTTTTGAGACGGAGTCTAGCTCTGTCGCCCAGGCTGGAGGGCAGTGGCGCAACCTTGGTTTACTGCAACCTCCACCTCCCAGGTTCAAGCAGTTCTCTGCCTCAGCCTCCCACCAGCATGCCCAGCTAATTTTTGTATTTTTTAGTAAAGACAGGGTTTCACCATCTTGGCCAGGCTGG
Source organism: Homo sapiens (assembly GCF_000001405.40). NCBI lineage: Eukaryota > Metazoa > Chordata > Mammalia > Primates > Hominidae > Homo > Homo sapiens. Next base: position 1,138,530 of record NC_000004.12, read on the forward strand.
TCTTGAACTCCTGACTTCATGATCCACCCGCCTCGGCTTCCCAAAGTGCTGGGATTACAGGTGTGAGCCACCACACCCGGCCAGTTTTAGTGTTTTGAGGAACGTCCATTCTGTTTTCCACAGCAGCTGCACCCACTTTGCTTTCCCACCAGCAGTGCACAAGCGTTCCAGTGTCTCCACATTCTCACCAATACTTGTTTTTTTTTTTTTTTAAATAGCCATCCTGACAGATATGAGGTGATGTTTCATTGCTTTGATTTGCATTTCCTTCATGGCATTGAGATTTTTTCATACACCTGCTGGTCATTTGAATATCTTGTTTAGAGAAATGTCTATTTAAGTCCTTAGCCCACTTTCAGATTGGGTTATTGGGTTTTTTGCTATTGAGTTGTAGGCATTCCTTATATATTTTAGAGCTTAGCCCCTTGTCAGGTAGACATGGTTTGCAAATATTTTCTCCCATTGCATGGGTTACCTTTTTACCATTTTGTTTCCTTTACCATGCAGAAGCTTTTGAGTCTGATGCAGTCTCATTTGTCAGTTTCTGCTTTTGTTGCCTGTGCTTTTGTTGTTATATCCGTGAAATTATTGCCAAGACCAGTGTTATGAAACTTTTCTTCCCTCATGGTTTTTCATAGGAGTTTAACAGTTTCAGGTATTACATTTAGGTCTTTAATCTATTTTTGGTTTATTTTTGCGTATGGTGTAAAATAAAGGTCCAATTTCATTATCTTGCATGTGGATATCCAGTTTTCCCAGCACCACTTATTAAAGAGACTGTCCTTTCTCCACCCTATTCTTGTCACCTTTGTCAAAGATCAGTTGACCATATATGTGTGGATTTATTTCTGGGCTCTTTATTCTGTTCCATTGGTCTGTCTGTCTTCACACTAGTATTATACTGGTTTTTTGTTGTTGTTGTTTGTTTTTTGTTTTTCCGAGACAGAGTCTCACTGTGTTGCCCAGGCTGACATGCAGTGGCGTGATCTCAGCTCACTGCAACCTCCACCTCCCGGGTTCAAGTGACTCTCCTGCTTCAGCCTCCCCAGTAGCTGGGACTACAGGCATCCATGCCCAGCTAATTTTTTTATTTTTAATAGAGACAGGGTTTCACCATGTTGACCAGGCTGATCTCGAACTCTGACCTCAAGTGATCTCCCCACCTCAGCCTCCCAAAATGCTGGAAATGCTGGGATTACAGGCGTGAGACACCACACCCAGCCCACAGTGTCTTGATTACTGTTGCTTTATAGTATATTTTGAAATCGAGTCTAGATGAAGAAAAAGAGACAATTCAAATAAAACCAGAGTGAAAGAGGAGACATTAAAACTGATGCCATAGATATAAAAATGATAATAAGAGACTAGTATGAATAATTATATGCCAGCAAACTGAATAACCTAAAAGAAACAGATAAACTCCTAAAAACACACAATCTATCCAGACTGAATCATGAAGAAACAGAAAGTCTGAATATCTCCTTAACTAATATGGAGATTGAGTACATAATCCAGCACCTTCCAATAAAGAAAAGCCCAGGACCAGATGGCTTCACTGGCAAATTCAACCAGCGTTTAAAGAAGAATCAACACCAATCCTTCTCAGATTCTTTTCAAAAGTTGAAGAGGAGGGAACCATTCCAAACTCATTTTATGAGAACAGCACTACCCTGATACTAAAGCCAGACAAAGACACTACAAGAAAAGAAAACTATAGGCCAGTATTCCTGATGAATATAGATGCAAAAGTCCTCAACAAAATACTGGTGAGCCAAATCAAAGACGCTTTAAAAGGATCATATTATTACACCATAACCAAGTAGGGTTTATCCCTGGGGTGCAAAGATGGTTCAGCACACATAAATCAATATGGTATATTGTATTAACAGAATAAAAGATAAAAATCACATGATTATCTCAATAGATGTAGAAGAAGCATTTAACACAATTCAGCATCCTTTCATGATAAAAGTTATCAAATTAGAAATAGTAGGAAAGTACCTCAGCATAATAAAGACATTATATGAAAAGTCAACAGCTAACATCATACTCACTGGGGAAAACAAAAGCTTTTCCTTTACGATCAGGAAAAAGGCAAGGATACCTGCTTTTGTCACTTTTATTCAACATAGTACTGGAAGTCCTAGCAAGAGCATTTAGGCAAGAAAAAGAAATAAAAGACATCCAAATAGGAAAGGAAAATAATATTGTCCCTGTTTGCAGATGACATGATCCTATACATAGAAAACCCTAAAGACTACATAAAAAACTGTGAGAACTGGCTGGGCATGGTGGCTCACACCTCTAATCCCAGCACTTTGGGAGGCTGAAGCAGGCAGATCAGGAGGTCAGGAGATCGAGACCATCCTGGCTAACACAGTGAAACCCTGCCTCTACTAAAAAAAATACAAAAAATTAGTTGGGCATGGTGGCAGGCGCCTGTAGTCCCAGCTACTCGGGAGGCAGGAGAATGGTGTGAACCCAGGAGGTGGAGTTTTCAGTGAGCCAAGATCGTGCCACTGCACTCCAACCTGGGCAACAGAGCGAGACTCTGTCTCAAAAAACAAAACAAAACAAAACAAACTGTGAGAATGAATAAATGAATTCAGTGAAGTTGCAGGATACAAAATCAATGCAGAAAATGAGATGCATTTCTATACACTAACAATGAACTATTTGAAAAGACAATTAGGAAAACAGTCCCATTTACAATACCACCAAAAAGTATGAAATACTTAGGAATAGACTTAACAAAGGAAGTGATAGACTAGTATACAAAAATTACAGAACATTAATGAAAGAAAGAAGACACAAAAGCCATCTCGGGTTCATGGATTGCAGTACTTCATATTGTTAAAATGTCCGTACTACCCAATGCAATCTACCAAATCAATGCAATCCCTATCAAAATTTCGATGGACAGAAATAGAAAAACAATTCTAAAATTCATATGGAACCAAAAAAGACTATGAAGAGCCAAATTAATCTTGAGAGAGAACAAAGTTGGAGTCATCACACTTCCTGATTTCAAAATCTATCACAAAGTCGTTTTTCCCTTTCCGTTCAGCATCTCTGAAGATGCCATAGCTTCTGTTGAAACGTTAACAAAATCATTTTTAAGATTGAAGTAACTGTGCCCTGATATGATTGTGGTTTTCCCTTTGGTTATTTTTAATTTTTTTCTGTTTGTATTTGGCTTTCGATAGTGTGACAATGATGTACCTAGGTGTGGTTGTCCTTATATTTATCCTCATTTGGGGTACTCTGAGCTCCTTGAATCTCTGGGTTGATGTCTTCCATCAATTTTCAAAATTTTTTGGCCATTATGTCTTTAAATATTGCCTTTTCTCCATTCTCTCTCACCTTTCTCTTTGGGGCTGCAATTGCATGTATCTTAGGCCATTTGTCTTCCTCACATATCTTACACTCCTTTCTGGTCTTTTCATTCTTTTTTCTATTGAAATCTCTTCCAGTTCACTAATCTAATCTCCTTCACTAATCTTCTTTCCTGGTCTTTTGTTGACTCTATCGAATGAGTTCTTCAGACATTGTGTTTTTCAGTTCCAGAATGTCCACTTGGTTTTTTAAAAAGAGATCCTAATTATTGAAATTCTCCATCTTTTCATATATCTTGTTCATCAATTTCCCTATTTTCTTTAACATATTAATAGTAATTTTAAAGTCCCGCTCTGAATCATCTGTGTATCTCTTTCTATTGCCTGTTTAATATTTTGGCTTCTGGTCATTCAATCTTTTTTTTTTTTTTTAAAGCATGCCTCATAATTTGGGATTGGATGCTGTACACCATAGAGGGTTTTTTTTATTTTTTTGGTATATTGTAGAGGGTTTGAATAATGCTATCCTCCTCCAAGGAGGGTTATTTCCTGCTAGCAAACAGGGCTGATCTATTCCAGTTTTGTCCTTATTCCTAGAATGTAACCCACCCCTGGGATGTAGTCCTTATTTCTAGGGCCTGATCTTATGCCCAGAGTGTAACCCTTGTAGGGTCCAGGGTGTTTTCTGAGATCCCTCCACCTTGTTGGGTCATGGTCCTTTCCTGCCAGGTCCATGTGGCTGACAAAACCTCTGCTTCATTCTTCAGCGGTTGCTGTTTCCTGCTGGTTGTTTTTGTTTGCCTGTTTTGAGTCTCTCTCTGCTTTTATGTAACTTAGGTATCAGCCAGTTATTTGAGGAAGATTTTAATTCAGATTATTAGGCTCCTTATTTTTGTTTCCTTCCTTTTCTGGATTTCCCTCCTCACTTCCCAGCCACTTTGGCAGTCCTGAACTCTGACCTCTCTTTCCTTGGCCCTTTCTCTTGAGATTTATTACCCTAATATACAATTTGAAATTTTCCTGAGTGGAAAACACCAGGATGATTGTGGAGCTCACCTCGTGTCTTTTCCCTCTCCAAAGATCGTGGCCTCTTAAGTCCTGTCTGTGTTGGTTGTACTCAATGCCTTCAAACAGGTGCTTTAGATGCCCATTGCTCTTGGAATTCCCAGCCTTCAGAACTGTGAGAAATGTATTTCTTTTCTTTATAAATTACACAGTCTGTGGCATTCTGATATAGCAACACAATATGGATTGTGACAGATGGCCAACAGGCATCTCAGATTTAATTAATCCAGAAAAAAAAATTCCTGACCCCCCGCCCTCCCACCCTGACCCAAACCATGGTCTGCAGTCTTCTCCATCTCTGTAAATTCTTGTTTATTTGTCTCTTTGTGAACCCCATTTTCATTCTGTCAGAATGTCTTATAGGTTCTGCCTTCCAAATGCATCTGGTATCTGACCATAGCTCCTCTCGCTGGAGCTCCCTTGATCCAAGCCCCATCCTCTTTCCTGGATGATGGGAGGAGCTTCCCTGGATATCTCTGCTTCTGCAGCCATGTGGCATTTAAAGTGTGGATTATACTAAAAGCCTTGTCACTCAGAGTCAAATTCAAAGTCTGTCTGTGGCTGTTGACCAAGGTGCCGTGATGCTGACCTTCCAGCCCCACCTTCTATCCTCCAGCCAGTCCAGCCTCACTGTCTGCTTCCTCAGACACACTCCAAGTCTCCCCCATCCCCGTGCATCACAGCTTCAGGGTTACTATCCCAGTGAGTTCTTCTTCGTCCATGCTGGGAGCCTCCTGTCCCCCTCTCTGAGTTGTTTTATGACTTGCTCATTTTCTAGGTTATTGTTTTTCTCTGTCCATGAAACCATAAACACCCTGAAGGCAAGATTCCATTATTATGTTTCTTTCCAGTTTGAATCCGCAGAATCAAGAACAATGACTCATAGGTGAGCGGTAGATATTTGCTGAATATATAAAGGAACACGGGGAGAAAAGGAAGAAAAGAGAGAGGGAGATGATTTTTAAAGGGAAAAGAGTGGAATAAACATAATTAAAAACACAATCTTCAGTTGCCAAGAGAGCTTGAAATTAAGTCCTGGGCAACTGACCATTTCTGAGCATTGAGGAAGAACCGCAGTGAGCCTGTGGCTTCACCAAGAAAAGGTTGTGCCGCACAAGTCTCATTCCTTTTTTTGTTAGGGAATACCAACAGGGAGAGCTTAGAACACTGTGGATATCATGGAAATGGTACCAACAGGGAGAGCTTAGAACGCCGTGGATATCATGGAAATGGCACCGACAGGGAGAGCTTAGGACACCATGGATATCATGGAAATGGCACCGACGGGGAGAGTTCAGAACGCCGTGGATATCATGGAAATGGCACCGACGGGGAGAGCTTAGAACGCCGTGGATATCATGGAAATGGCACTGACAGGGAGAGCTTAGAACGCCGTGGAGATCATGGAAATGGCACCGACGGGGAGAGTTCAGAACGCCGTGGATATCATGGAAATGGCACCGATGGGGAGAGCTTAGAACGCCGTGGATATCATGGAAGTGACACTGACAGGGAGAGCTTAGAACGCCGTGGATATCATGGAAATGGCACCGACGGGGAGAGTTCAGAACACCGTGGATATCATGGAAATGGCACCGACGGGGAGAGCTTAGGACGCCCTGGATATCATAGAAATGGCACCGACGGGGAGAATTCAGAACGCCGTGGATATCATGGAAATGGCACCGACGGGGAGAGCTCAGAACGCCGTGGATATCATGGAAATGGCACCGACGGGGAGAGCTCAGGACGCCGTGGATATCATGGAAATGGCACCGACGGGGAGAGCTCAGGACGCCGTGGATATCATGGAAATGGCACCGACGGGGAGAGCTCAGGATGCCGCGGATATCATGGAAATGGCACCGACGGGGAGAGCTCGGAAATGGCACCAACGGGGAGAGTTCAGAACACCGTGGATATCTTGGAAATGGCACCGATGGGGAGAGCTTAGAACGCCGTGGATATCATGGAAATAGCACCCATAGCGAGAGTTTAGAATGCCGTGGATATCATGGAAATGGCACCGATGGGGAGAGCTTAGAATGCCGTGGATATCACGGAAGTGGCACCGACGGGGAGAGTTTAAAACACCGTGGATATCATGGAAATGGCACCGATGGGGAGAGCTTAGAACGCTGTGGATATCATGGAAGTGACACTGACAGAGCTTAGAACACTGTGGATATCATGGAAGTGGCACCGACGAGGAGAGCTTAGAATGCCGTGGATATCATGGAAATGGCACTGACAGGGAGAGCTTAGAACGCCGTGCATATCATGGAAATGGCACCGATGGGGAGAGTTTAGAACACCGTGGATATCATGGAAATGGTACCGATGGGGAGAGTTTAGAACGCCGTGGATATCATGGAAATGGCACTGACAGGGAGAGTTTAAAACGCCGTGGATATCATGGAAATGGCACCGATGGGGAGAGCTTAGAACGCTGTGGATATCATGGAAGTGACACTGACAGAGCTTAGAACACCGTGGATATCATGGAAGTGGCACCGACGGGGAGAGCTCAGGACGCCGTGGATATCATGGAAATGGCACCGACGGGGAGAGCTCAGGACGCCGTGGATATCATGGAAATGGCACCGACGGGGAGAGCTCAGGACGCCGTGGATATCATGGAAATGGCACCGACGGGGAGAGCTCAGGACGCCGTGGATATCATGGAAATGGCACCGACGGGGAGAGCTCAGGACGCCCTGGATATCATGGAAATGGCACCGACGGGGAGAGCTCAGGACGCCGTGGATATCATGGAAATGGCACCGACGGGGAGAGCTCAGGACGCCGTGGATATCATGGAAATGGCACCGACGGGGAGAGCTCAGGACGCCGTGGATATCATGGAAATGGCACCGACGGGGAGAGCTCAGGACGCCGCGGATATCATGGAAATGGCACCGACGGGGAGAGCTCAGGACGCCGTGGATATCATGGAAATGGCACCGACGGGGAGAGCTCAGGACGCCGCGGATATCATGGAAATGGCACCGACGGGGAGAGCTCGGAAATGGCACCAACGGGGAGAGTTCAGAACACCGTGGATATCTTGGAAATGGCACCGATGGGGAGAGCTTAGAACGCCGTGGATATCATGGAAATAGCACCCATAGCGAGAGTTTAGAATGCCGTGGATATCATGGAAATGGCACTGATGGGGAGAGCTTAGAACGCCGTGGATATCACGGAAGTGGCACCAACGGGGAGAGTTTAAAACACCGTGGATATCATGGAAATGGCACCGATGGGGAGAGCTTAGAACGCTGTGGATATCATGGAAGTGACACTGACAGAGCTTAGAACACTGTGGATATCATGGAAGTGGCACCGACGAGGAGAGCTTAGAATGCCGTGGATATCATGGAAATGGCACTGACAGGGAGAGCTTAGAACGCCGTGCATATCATGGAAATGGCACCGATGGGGAGAGTTTAGAACACCGTGGATATCATGGAAATGGTACCGATGGGGAGAGTTTAGAACGCCGTGGATATCATGGAAATGGCACTGACGGAGAGTTTAAAACGCCGTGGATATCATGGAAATGGCACCGATGGGGAGAGCTTAGAACGCTGTGGATATCATGGAAGTGACACTGACAGAGCTTAGAACACCGTGGATATCATGGAAGTGGCACCGACGGGGAGAGCTTAGAATGCCGTGGATATCATGGAAATGGCACTGACAGGGAGAGCTTAGAACGCCGTGCATATCATGGAAATGGCACCGATGGGGAGAGTTTAGAACACCATGGATATCATGGAAATGGTACCGATGGGGAGAGTTTAGAACGCCATGGATATCATGGAAATGGCACCGACGGGGAGAGCTTAGGACACTGTGGATATCATGGAAATGGCACCGACAGCGAGAGTTTAGAATGCTGTGGATATCATGGAAATGGCACCGATGGGGAGAGCTTAGGACGCCGTGGATATCATGGAAATGGCACCGACGGGGAGAGCTTAGAATGCCATGGATATCATGGAAATGGCACCGATGGGGAGAGTTTAGAACGCCGTGGATATTATGGAAATGGCACCGATGGGGAGAGTTTAGAACGCCGTGGATATCATGGAAATGTCACCGACGGGGAGAGCTTAGAACGCCATGGATATCATGGAAATGGCACCGACGGGGAGAGTTTAGAACGCCGTGGATATCATGGAAATGGCACCGACAGGGAGAGTTTAGAACGCCGTGGATATCATGGAAATGGCACCCACAGCGAGAGTTTAGAACACCATGGATATCATGGAAATGGCACTGACAGGGAGAGTTTAGAACGCCATGGATATCATGGAAATGGCACCGACAGGGAGAGCTTAGAACGTCGTGGATATCATGGAAATGGCACCAACAGGGAGAGTTTAGAACACCGTGGATATCATGGAAATGGCACCCACAGCGAGAGTTTAGAACACCGTGGATATCATGGAAATGGCACCCACAGCGAGAGTTTAGAACACCATGGATATCATGGAAATGGCACCGACAGGGAGAGCTTAGAACGTCGTGGATATCATGGAAATGGCACCAACAGGGAGAGTTTAGAACACCGTGGATATCATGGAAATGGCACCCACAGCGAGAGTTTAGAACACCGTGGATATCATGGAAATGGCACTGACAGCGAGAGTTTAGAACACCGTGGATATCATGGAAATGGCACTGACAGCGAGAGTTTAGAACACCGTGGATATCATGGAAATGGCACCAACAGGGAGAGTTTAGAACACTGTGGATATCATGGAAATGGCACCCACAGCGAGAGTTTAGAACACCGTGGATATCATGGAAATGGCACTGACAGCGAGAGTTTAGAACACCGTGGATATCATGGAAATGGCACTGACAGCGAGAGTTTAGAACGCTGTGGATATCATGGAAATGGCACCCACAGCGAGAGTTTAGAACACCGTGGATATCATGGAAATGGCACCGACGGGGAGAGTTTAGAACGCCGTGGATATCATGGAAATGGCACCAATGGGGAGAGTTTAGAACACCATGGATATCGTGGAAATGGCACTGATGGGGAGAGTTTAGAACACCGTGGATATCATGGAAATGGCACCCACAGCGAGAGTTTAGAACACCATGGATATCATGGAAATGGCACTGACAGGGAGAGTTTAGAACACCGTGGATATCATGGAAATGGATTTCAGAAAGGCTTTTGTATGTTAGTTTTCAGCCAAGTCAAGAAGTGAGATGCATCCACATCTGGCTGCATGCTTGTAATTAGAATCTGACTTTCAAATTCGTCTCAATGTGTGTGGAAGTCTTAGAACCACAGTTCATCCTGCAGTTTGTTCAGTTCTGATTAAAAGCACTCACTCCACATGTGCCAGGCACTGCAATAGGCTTTGGGGATACAAAGGTTAATAGAAGAGTTCATGCCCTCAAAGAGCTCATTCAGTCCTAATACACCTTCAAACCGGAAGTGTCCCTGCTGACACAGAGCAAAATGACCACTTTTATGAGCGACATGAAACTGGGAAGGGGACCCAGATATCCTCCTGTCCCCATCCCCGTCCCCCAGCACAGGGCCTGTGTCCCAGCAGCCTGCTGGTAGACCAAAGCAGCCAAGGTAAAAGGCCAATCCCGGCTCTCCCCCCAGCCAGCTTCGCACCACTCAATCTGTGGGAAATTGAGGGCATCATATTTGGACCATGACTTACTTGTGGTTGTTTGTTTAATTGGTTTTGATGAGTTTGGTTTGCTTTTCTCTCCTTGTACGATTTGCCCATTTTCTGTCCTCGGTTTTTCCATGTCTGAGTAATAGTCTTCTTTTGTCTTATGCCCATCCCCCGTTTTTGCCAGAGCCTTCCACCCTCCTGCCTCAGTCTCCACAGCCTGCTCCCTCGGCCTCCTCTGGGCTGGCTGTCCTGGGTCAGCGGTGAGTTCTTCTTTCTTGGGTTACATGCTTTGCGGCTTCTTTGCTGAATGCAGTCAGGGGCAGGGGCAGGGGCAGGCCCAGGGAGCTCGCCTGTCTTGCCCTACAGAGTCTTCAGCTCCCAGCTCTTAGCTTGACCCAAACGAGATACTTTCACGCATGTGTGTTACAAACTGGAGCAAAACCGCGCACTTGGCAACTAAGGAGAGTTAGCCTGCAAAGAGAAATCTGGGATGGGTGGAATCTGTGACTTCAGTTATGACGGACTTTCAGGTGAAAAAATGTGTATTTATTTTGAGTGGACCCAGATGGCAGAACAAGGATGATTGGATACAGTTGTGGAGATGTAGTTCCTGCACTATGGACAGCTGTGGGCTGTGCTCCCCGGCAAGGAAAAGGCGAGCAGCCACCCCAGAGCGCCAGTGCAGAGGCTCCCTTGGCACTAGGGTGTGGGGCAGGTGTGGGCTCCTCCACCACAGGGCAGTGGGTGAGGAGCACCAGACCCACAGGATGGCTTCCAGGACCAGTCTGTAGCTCTTGGACTTTAAGGGCATACTGTTCTCTTTTAAAGAAAAGTTAAAACTGTGGCCTGATGCGCCTTTTTTTTTTTTTTTTTTTTTTGAGATGGAGTCTCATTCTGTCACCCAGGCTGGAGTGCAGTGACGCGATCTCGGCTCACTACAACCTCTGCCTCCTGGGTTCAAGTGATTCTTCTGCTTCAGCCTCCCAAGTAGCCAGGACTGCAGGTGTCCACCACTACTCCTGGCTAATTTTTTTTCTTCTTTGTATTTTTAGTAGAGACGGGGTTTTACCATGTTGGCCAGGCTGGTCTTGAACCCCTGACCTCAAGTGATCACATGCCTCGGCCTCCCAAAGTGCTGGGATTACAGGTGTGAACCACCATGCCTGGCCCTGATGCACTTTCAAAGTTTTCCATAACAGTGAGTTTTAAGTAGCCAAGCTCTAAATCTAAATAATTGCCCAAGGGTGATGGTTAAGGAGACTGCTGAGTGGGAAGAACAGAGAGTAGGGAGGCTTGGGAAGACCAGGTGAGGAGGAGCAGTCAGTCAGAGAAGAGCCTTGGCAGGAACTGAGGAGGGAGGCGTGGACAGCAGCATCCGTGGGAAGGAGGACTCCAGAGGCTCCTGACTTGGGTGAGGGAGCCAGCCACAGTGGGCCCTGGTCTTCCAGCCAGATGGGACCGCTTGCCAGAGGATCCTTGGGGTGTCACATTTCTAGCTGGAAACTTCTGTGGCTGGTGGCACCCTTGCCCGAGTTTTGCTTGGGCCCACTGGGCTTGTTCTGCCCACTCAGCCTGGCATGCTGCACTCAACTCACGCTACTGGCCTGGATCCCACACCTGCCAAGAGCGAGTCAGGCACAGAGCAGTGAGGGGTGTGTGAGTGAGCATGGGGTCCAGCCACTGTGCAGTCAGGCACACCCGCAGCTGCTGCAAGGTGGGCAGCTCCAGTGCTGGCATGGGCGCCCACTCTCTGCAAGGCTGCAGCTGGACCAGGTGCACTGCAAGCAGCTTCCACAGCTGGCACTGGGGAATGCAGTATGCCAGGAACCACAGGGCCCCAAAGAGGGAGTCCAACTCAGAAGGGGCAGGGCTCCTGCTTGTTCCTGGCCTGGGGGGCTCCCAAGTCTAGGCTCCCTGAAGGGCTGCAGCTCTTCTCTCCTTCTCTTCCCCCATAGCATGGCAAGCAAGGGGCATGTCTCAGCCCTGTTTGTGTTATACCAGCTCTTTTAGCCTTGCCATTTGACGGGTCCCAAGTTCTTGTCCTGTGACCAGGAAGAATGAGGTCTGCAGACAAGTGGAGGGTGAGCAAGAGGAAGACGAGCTTTATTGAGCGATACAACGGCTCAGAGGAGACCCGCAGGGGCAGCTCCTTTCCACAGCCAGGGTGTCACAACGCGTGTTCAGCTCCTAGCACAGAGGAGACCGTAGAGTGGGAAGCTCCTCTTGGCAGGCAGGCCATCCTGTCATCTCTGAGGCTCTCAGCAGAGAGGAGGCCCTGGAGTGGGTTGCTCCTGTCTGCAGACGGGCCATCCCTTTGTGCCTGCGGCTCTCAGCAGAGAGGAGGCCCTGGAGTGGGCTGTTGCTCTCTGCAGGCAGGTCCTCTTGTTGTCTCCCCAGCTCTCAGCAGAGAGGAGGCCATGGAATGGGTAGCTCCTCTCTGCATCTGGTTGCCCTGATGTCTGCTCAGCTCTGGTTGAGCCTAGGGCTTTTATGGGCCTTAGAGGGGAGGAAGTGCACTGTGATTGGTACATTGGCAGTCATGGGTAAAGGCACCAGAAGTTCCCACTCTGGTCTGCAGGACTGGCAGCCCAGTCCCCAGCCTTCAGGACCTCCCTGGCCTGAAGGTGGGGGCCTCACCAGGGACCTGCCCTCTTCCACCCAGGAACTTGTCTGCGTCCTGCTGCTATTCATGGTGTCCAGGCTATAGGTGCCAAGGGGTGCCTGCAGGCCAGTGCCAAGCTACCCTCAGCCCACCCTTGGCTTCCCTCCTATTCTCGGTGCTTAAAGTCTGGAGGGTGCTGAGGCAGCAGGGGGCTGGTGTATTAGCACTGCCCTGAGCGTGTGCACACCTGGCCAGGCTGCAACAGTGCCCAGGCTCGCCCTGACTTTACTCTGAGATCAAAGTGGACACTGACAGCAGGGAGAAGCCAGGCAGCAGAAGCAGGCACTTCCAAACCTGCGAAGGCCGGGGATGGGGCTTCCTGGGCCCCCTAGAGTGCAGAGATGCCTGGGTCTGCAGCCATGGTTTGGGTGGCTGTAGCTGCGCCTAGGAGAGGGGCTTCTCTCTGCTCCCGGCTTCCAGGAGCACAGGGATGCCTGGGTCTGCAGCCATGACTTGGGCAGCTGCATCTGTGCCCAGAGGGGTGGGGCTCCTGCCTGCTCCATGGAGCAGAAGGCCTGGATCTGCAGCTGGGACTTGGGTGGGGCTTCTGCCTGCTCTGTGGAGCAGGAGGTCTGGGTCTACAGCTGTGACTTCAGTGGCTGCAGCTGTGCCCAGGAGAGTGGGGCACCCATCTGCTCCCGGCCCGAGAGCACAGGGATGCCTAAGTCTGCAGAGAGCTACCACCCAACTCGGAAGGGGCAGGGCTCCTGCTTGTCCGCAGCTCCTGCCAGTTCCATGGAGCATGCAGCCCTGGCTGTGCCTCCCTGCTGCAGCTGGCATGATGGCACCAGCCACTTTAGATGGACCGTGGTGTCATCACTGAGACCCTGTCTTGACACAGCTGTCAGGACACTCTCTAGCCACACTTGCCTTCCTGCTGCCAGTGCCGCCGTGGCTCAGGTGGCTGCAGTTCCTTGAGATGTCCCAGTGGGTCCTGGGTGAGCCCATCCAGCTGATGGGCCATGAGGCAACAGGCAAGTGGACAGGCCAGCACTGTCCCCCTTCCTCTTCTTCTGCCCCTTCAACTGCAGGCTGGAAAATTCATATGTTACCAGGAAAACAGCCGGCTACCCAGGGCTATTTACCTCAGGGGCCAAGCTTCCCGTGGGATGAGATCGTTGGGCTCAGAGAACGTGTTGAGCAAACACAGTACTTTCTGTGAGCTGGGTTAGGTTGTAAAAGCCTTACAAAGAGTAACCTAATCATCAGCACAACCAACAGAAATAGATGTTTGTTTTTTTAATCATCATTGCATTTCACAAATTAAACAGAGGGTAAGTCACTTGCCCAGTGGCACACAGCTCTCAGGTGACAGACTGGGATTTGGATCCAGGCAGGCTTGTACAGACTCCAGAGTCCCAAATATGGCTTCATCCACAGTGTCGGAGCAGCAGCGAGGGCTCTAAGACCACCCAGCTCTCTTCCTGGCTATTTTTTCCATGCTACTCATCCCAAAACTTGATCTCACATTGCTCTGTTTCTTTCTCTGCCTCCATGCTTGATGCATTTACTTAATCTTTCGCAGGATGGGTCATTACTTTTTGCAATAGCACACTCAAAGGTAATGACCAAGATAAATTGAAAAGAGGATTCAACAGTATTCATTGTAAGATTGAATGGGATATAAAATACGTAATCAGCACTTGTGAGGAATATCACTAGATTCTCTTCTTCCTACTCCCCCTCCTTTTTTTTTTTTTTTTTTTTTTGCATTAAAACCCGGGAATTTGATGTTGATTGTGGCCTAAATGTTAAGCATATTCTGGATTTTCTACACCGTTCTGACACCACAGGTACTTGTTTCTTTCTCAGAAGGCAGGTGAAGCTCAGCTGTGTGGGGCTGTGCTTGGTGGCAGTGTGGGAAACGTGTGGAACTCACCATGGTGTTAGCAGCTTTTACTAGCCGTTTGCTTGGAAAACAGTCTCCGATCTGCACTTGCACACCCACCACGATGCCTTCTCCCCATGGCTCTGTGGACACCAGGAGGTCAGGGCACAGAGGACGTGCGACTTGTGCTCCTGTCTTGCTGCACAGTCTAAAGACCTCACGTACGTTTTGAATGTTCAACCACTATTAGAGTGAGAAATGGCATCCAAGATGCTTTTACTGAGGAACATTGACAACTGGAAAACAAATCAAGCTTGGATTCCAGGGAACACTGTCCAGATTTCCTGTTTTATGAATTTTACCATTCACTCTTAAGGCTGTTAGGTTTGAATAACTTGATAAATGATCAAGAGAAAACCATGCAGCATTATGTTCACTGCCAAGTAATATGGACGTAGAGGATGGCAGAATTCTGTAAAACCACTTCTGGAGTTCAACATTTAACCGAGCACATTTTACTTACCTGTTACCAGTGTGTCGCTTGGAATGTCTTCTATTAGGCATTTCTCCTCACGTTCCCCTGCGTGGAAATAAAAGGCAGTTGAAAATGGAAAACCAAAACATAAAAGAAATGTTAACATTTGCATTTCTGTTGCTTGAGCCACTTCTGATAATACTTTCTTTGAAATGGATCCGTTGCAAGTGCCACTGGTTAGTGGGTGTTTGTATTTCACTGGCTAATTTTGTAAAATTGATTTTTGTGAGAAGTGACACGTGGCGCTGACACTGGGCAGATACTTGCAGCAAATCCGACGAACAAGATAAAAAGGCGTAAGAATTTGGGGCCTTTCCAAGCTGATGATGCAGAGTTCTTTCTGATCCGCCACTGAAAAGATGTTGAAGCATTCTGATGGAGTGAAGAAGCTTCTAATGAAGATGGTGTCATGGAGTATGAGAAATGAGAGATGGGGAGGCAGGTGTAGGCAGGAGGGGAGGGAGGCTGGGTGTGGGGGTGAGGCTAGGCATGTCGAGGGGAGGCTGGGTGCGGTGGGGAGGCTAGGTGTGGGGGGGTGTGGCTGGGTGTAAGGGGTGAGTTTGGGTGTCTGGGGGGAGTCTGGGTATGTTGGGGGAGGCTGGGTGTGTGAGAGGAGTCTGGGTGTGTGAAGGGAGTCTGGGTGGGTGGGGGAGAGCTGGGTGTGTGGGAGGGAGTTTGGGTGTGTTGGGGGAGGCCGGGTGCCGGGGGAAGGCTGGGTTGGGAGGAGTCTGGGTGCGGGGGAGGTGGGTGTGGACCTGTGGGTGGGAGGAAGGGAACCTGGCTAAAGTGGAACCACCTGGACTAGGAAGAGCGCGTGCCCTGAAGAGACTAAGTCTGTTTCCTCATTTAAAAAAGGAGTGAAAATCACTTAGTGATCCATTAGGTCTTTTCAGCTGCGACATCCGGTGTTTTCTCTTTAAACCTTTTATTTAAAAATGTCTGTAGACTAACAAAAAGTTACAAAAATAGTGCAGAGGTCCTGTGACCCATTCGTCAACGCCCCCAGTGCAACGTCTTATGTGACTAATCACTGCAGGACTGCATCACGGGGACCGGGCATTTGACAGTGGCAGAGAACAGCTAGCTCGGCTGCAAAGCTCACGTGCTCACATTTTTGCACACGCTTGTTTTTTGTATGTGAGTGCACCATCATGAGAATGCTTCAGCGAGCCCTTTTGAGCACTCTGGAAAGAAGTGGGAAGATGGAAAGAATGCATCGTGTGGTTTGGAGCAAGTGCTGGCAGCCGAGGGCCTGGGCTGTCTGACTACACTGCTTCTCAGTGACGTGAGTGTGGACAGATCGACGGACCTCCGGGCCGTCACCCATAAGGCAGGGGCAGTGCATTGTCGCAGGGATTAGATGACACAGGCGGTGTGGGCTTCTCAGCCCTGGTCTGGTGCATAGTGGGCATTTGGTGAAGGGTGTAGCTGTTGCTTTTCTGGTGCCAGGTGGAGCTCTGGCTGGATTCCAAGCGTGTGGCAAGGGTGACCAGGCACGCACCTGCAGCTGTCTTCATCCACGACCTGCCCTTCCTCCTACCTAAACCCAGCTCCAGTTTCAGAGCCCACCTTTTCCTTCCTCCTCAGAGACCTCTCTCCCTTCCCACTGGTCTGTTCCCTCTGCCTCAGTCTCCCAAACAGCCAATGTTTTCCTTTAGAGATGTTCTGAAGCACAATGTTGACAAGCCTAGACTCTGGGGCCACACTGTCTGGGTGTCCCTCCTCTGCCCCTTACCTCCTGTGCGATCCTAGGCAAGTTCCTTAGTTGTTCTCTGCCTCAGTTTCCTCATCTGAGAGAATAAAGAGCCCACTTTATACGGTGGCTGTAAAGACCAAATGATACTCTCTGTGTAAAGTGCTAAGAACAGTCCCTGGCACACAGTACACTCTGTGTAAGTGTTTGCCAGTGTTATTTCATAGCCTGACATCTTGAGGGGTTGCCAGATAGGCTAGCTCCACTTCTCTACTTCCTCACACAGCTAAAAAAAACAAAACCGTCTATTCTAGAACAGTTTAAGCACATGAAACTAGAGAATTGTGTGATGAACCCCAAACTAGTTTTACTTAACCAACACACACACACCACACACACACTTTTAAAGTATGTCAGGTCAGAGGCCGTTTTCACCTATCGGCACTTCAGTATGCGTCACTAACTAGTGAGGACCTTATTAAATGAAACAGTCACCAACCATGCCATCACAGCAAGGTTAATAAGAATCCCTTCCTGTCCTCCGACACGCAGTTCACAGTCACATTTCCCTGATTGACTTAAAAGGTCTTTTTCACAGTTGATTTATTTTGATCAGTATCTAAACAGAATCCACACATGACACTTGGTTGCTATGTCTGTTAAAACTCTTTTATTTATAGGGTCTGCCTTCCCCACACAAGTCTCTTTCTTAACCCACTAATTTGTTGGAGGCCCTGGGGCCCTTGCTCTTGGCGGCCGGCATCCCAGATGTGGTGAAAGTGTCCTCAGGTGCCGTTGGACTCAGCACACCTTCGCTGTGACTGCAAATCTCTGGGGGTTCTTTTTGAGCTCACGCCCTGATCTGGAGGTGAGGACGGGGCCTGGGCACTGACACTGATGCTCCAGAGACTGTGCTGGGAGTGGCGAGGGGTTGGCTGGCTCTTCCTCCAGCTTCCCAGGTACTGGCGTGTGCAGTTAGAGTTGATGAGACTCGGGCTCAGACTTTAAGCTAGAGTTGCTGCTGAGTGCCTCCTGGTGCCTCACAGTGGAGGCCATGATGTCCAGGTGTCCTGCCTTGAGTGACCACAGCCCATCAGGGGCTCAGTGCTGTCCCCGCTTGCCCCTTGTCAGGTTCCCTCAGCCTCTGCCTGGCAGTTTTGACATCCACTCTCTCTCGATTCCTCTTTCCTCAGTGGTTGCTACAGGAGAACTTCTCACCAACTAGCTGCTTGCCCTGAAGCAGTTTGTACAGGAAAGGCCGGCCATGGGCTTGGTTCTTTCCCTAGAATTAGCAGTTTTCAAAGGAGTATGTTTGTTCCCTAACAGCCGCCATGTAACCAATGGGGATTCTTTAAAGTATCATTATGAATTCATGAGTGGCTGGGTATTTAATGCTTTTCTGATATATTGGAGTCATTATTCTTAATACTTAAATTGCCCAACCTTTGGCCAATGGTGACCCTTCAGTTTCACTCCTGTGTCCTTTAGACAGAATAACATTCACTCTTTAATATAATATAAAAGGCATTCACGTGAGGGGCATTTGCTTCTGCAGATCGTCATTGCCCTGAGCTTTCTCAGGGGACAGAGCTAGGAAAGGTTTTACTGTGGGCTTATTTTTAAATTAAAAAAGGAGCTCATATTCTCATGTCCAATCGAAGTGTAAGACTAAAGAGTTTTACTTCATTTCATTGAATATATACTTGTATCTCTTTTATGCCAAAAATCTACTTACTGGCATTAATACAATATATTTGCTTTATCCTTCAACATAGCTATACAGGCCATACCTTGGAGACACTGCAGGTTCAGATCCAGACCACCAATAAAGCAAACATTGCAGTAAACCAAGTCACAGAAATGTTTTTGTTTCCCAGTGCATATAAAAGTTATATTGACACTATATTGTAGTCTATTAAGTGTGTAATAAGCACTGTGTCTACAAAAAAGATGCATGTACCTTAATTAACATACTTTATTGCTAAAAAATGCTAATGATTATCTGAGCCTTCATGGAGTGGTAACCTTTTTGCTGGTGGAGGGTCTTGCCTTGATGTAGACGGCTGCTAACTGATCAGGGTGGTGGCTGCTGAAGGTTGTGGTGGCTGTGGCAATGTCTTAAAATTAGACATCAGTGAAGTTTGTCATATCAATTGATGCTTTCACAAAAGATTCCTCTGTAGCATGTGACACTTTGATAGCATTTTACCCACAGTAGAAAGTCTTTCAAAATTGGAGCCAGTCCTCTCCAATTCTGCTGCTGCTTTATCAACTAAGTTTATGGAATATTCTAAACCCTTGGTTTCATTTCAGTGTTCATAGAATCTTCACCAGGACTAGATTCCATCTCAGTAAACTACTTTCTTTGCTCATCCATAAGAAGCACTCCTCATCAGTTCAGGTTTCAGCCTGAGATTGCAATAATTTGGTCCCATCTGCAGGCTCCACTTCTAATTCTATTTCTCTTGCTGTTTCCACCACATCTGTAGAGACTTCCTGCACTGAAGTCTTCAACTCCTCAAAGTCATCCTTGAGGGTTAAGATCAGCTTCTCCCAAACTCCTGTTCATGTTGATATTTGTATGTCCTCCCATGAATCATCAGTGTTTTGAATGGCATCTGGAATAGTGAATCCTTTCCAGAAGGTTTTCAATTTACTCGTCCAGATTCATGAGAGGAATCCCTATCTGTGGCAGCTATAGCTTTACAAGATGTATTTCTCAAATAGTAAGACTTGATAATTGAAATTTCTCCTTGATCCATGGGCTGCAGAATGGATGTTGTGTTAGCAGGCATGAAAACAACAGTAATCTCCTTATACATTTTCATCAGAGCTCTTGGGTGACCAGCTGCATTGTCAATATTGTCAATGCATAGTAATACTTTGAAATAATCTTTTTTTTTTTTCTGAGCAGTAGGTCTCAAAAGTAGGCTTAAAATATTCAGTTAGCCATGCTGTAAACAGATGGCTGTCATCCAGGCCATGTTGTTCCATGTATAGAGCATAAGTGGAGGAGGTTTAGCATAATTATTAAGGGCCCTAAGATTTTCAGAATGGTCAATGAGGATTGGAGTCAACTTTAAGTCACCAGCTGCATTACCCCTAATGAGAGAGTTAGCTTGTCGTTTGAAGCTTTGAAGCCAGACACTGGCTTCTCTCTAGCTATGAAAGTTCTAGATGGCATCTTCTTCCAATAGAAGACTGTTTTGTCTACATTTGAAATCCACTGTTTAGTGTAGCCGTCTTCATCAATGATCTCAGCTACATCTTCTGGGTGACTTGCTGCAGCTTCTACATCAGCACTTGCTGCTTCACCTTGTTCTGTTTTTTTTTTCCCTTAAACCTCATGAACCAACCTCTGCTAGTTTCAAACTTTTCTTCTGCAGCTCCCTTACCTCTCTTAGCCTTCATAGAACTGAAGAGAAAGCCTTGCTCTGGATTAGGCTTTAGCTTAAGGGAAGGTTGTGTCCGGTTTGATCTTCTATCTAGACCACTCAAACTTTCTCCATATCAGCAATAAGGCTGTTTCACTTTATCATTTGTGTGTTTACTGGAGTGGCACTCTTAATTTCCTTCAAGAACTTTTCTTGGCTGGGCACAGTGGCTCATGTCTATAATCCCAACACTTTGAGACTGAGGCAGGAGGATTGCTTGAGGCCAGGAGTTTGAGACCAGCCTGAGCAACATAGCAAAACCTTGTCTCGACAAAAAAATACATAAAAAAAAAATTAGCTGGGCACATGCCTGTAGTCCTAGCTAGTTTGGAGGCTAAGGCAGGAGGATCCCTTGAGCCCAAGAGTTCAAGGTTACAGCGAGCTATGATCATGCCACTGCACTCCAGCCTAGGTGACAGAGCAAAACCCTGTCTCAAAAAATAACAATACTTTTTTCTTTGTATTCACAACTTGGCTGACTGTTTGGCACAAGAGGCCTAGCTTTCAGCCTATCTCAGCTTTATGTTAATCATTTCTAGCCTTTGATTGCAAGAGAGAGATGATGGCTCCTCCTTTCACTTGAACACTTAGAGGCCACTGCAGGGTTACTTGTTGGCCTAATTTCATATTAGTATATCTCAGGAAATAGGGAGACTTGAGGAGAGAGAGAGAAATGAGGCAATGGACAGTCATTGGAGCAGTCAGACCACACACAACATTTATCTACTACATTTGCCATCTTACGTGGGTATAGTTGGTGACGTCCTAAAACAATTTCAGCAGTAACAACAAAGATCACTGAACACAGATCGTTATAACAGATATAATAATGATAAAATACACTGAAATATTGTGGCAGTTACCAAAAAGTGACACAGAGACATGAAGTGAGCACATGCTGTTGGAAAATGGCGCTGACAGACTTGCTCAATTCAAGGTTGCCTCAAACCTTCCATTTGTAAAAAGCACAGTATCTGCAAAGCACAGTGAAGCAAAGTGCAGTAAAGTGGGGGTGTCCACAAGAATTTCCAAAGAGCCACACCAACATTTGCTGCTATCAAAAAGACTACGAAATGCCATCTAAGATTTCTTTGCCATTCTCTTTCGTCTTTTCCCGGGGACATACGCACAAAAACACCATTTAAAGTTATTGAAGTAATTATTTTCATATAAAGTATATTTCATTTGTGTCAGTTTGTTTTCAATATTTGCAGTTTAGTCATTTTGCCTCTTTAAAGTTCACTATTTTTATTTTTGATTATGTAAAATATTTACATGGCTCAAAAATAAAATTATATGCAAGAAAAGAAAGAACAGATGAGACAAAATAAAAATGAAATTGGTAGATTTAAATCTGATGATATCAATTAAGTCCATTCGATGTAAATGACATAAAGGCAGAGATTATCAGACCAGTAAAGAAGCAAGACTCAAATAAGTAATGTCTACAAGAAACTGGCTTTTAAAAAGATATTCCATGCAAACTCTAATCCAAGAAGTAGGAGTGCCAATATTAATATCAGGCAAGATAGATTTTTAAATAAAAGGAGATTACTGGAGATAAAGGAGCATTTCATAATGATAAATGGGAACTATCTTAAATATATATGTACCTAATAATAAAGCTTCCAAATTTTATGAAACAAAAATTGCCAGAATTGAAGGAGAAAGAGATACATCTATAATTATAGTTGGAGATGTCAACAATCCTCTATTAGTAATATAACAAATAAAGGGAAGTCAGTAGGATTAGTGAAGACCTGAACGATGCCATCAACCAATGTGACCCAACTTGAGCAAACTAACATTAGTGAAACACCACACTCAGGCATGACAGGATGCACAGGGAATATTTGCCAAGATAGGTCTTACTTGGGGCTATAAAATAGTATCAATAAATTTACAAGGATTGAAATCATACAATATGTTCCTGACCATAACTTAATTGAATTAGAAATCAGTAATAAAACTTATATGAGAAACTGCAAATATTTAGATATTAAACACAGTTTTAAATAAACCATGTATCAGAGAAGATGTCACAGGGAAGATAGGAAGTATTTTAATTGAATTGCAATGAAAATATATTTCTTTTGTGGTATGCGGCTAAAGCAATTTATAAAGGGAAATTTATGCCTTTAAATACCTGTATTGAGTTTGAGACCAGCCTGGGCAACATAGTAAGATCATATCTCTATTTTAAAAATTTAAAAATTAGCCAGGCATGATGACATGTGCCTGTAGTCCCAGTTACTTGGGAGGCTGAGATAGGAGAATTGCTTGAACCCAGGAGGCGGAGGTTGCAGTGAGCTGAGATCACGCCACCGCACTCCAACCTGGGTGACAGAGTGAGACTCTGTCTCAAAAAAAAAAAAAAAAAATGCTTGTATTAGAAAAGAAGAAAAGTTTAAAATCCATGACCTAAACTTCTACCTTAATAAACTACAAAAAGAAAAGCAAATTAAACCTAAAGTAAGAAGGAAGGAAACATTAAAGATTGATGGAAGAAAAAGTAAAAGTAAAGTGTGGAAATCATTGAAACAAAATGAACAAACACTAGAGAAAGCTAATGAAACTAAAACTCGTTCTTTGAAAGATCAATAAAATTGGTAAGTCTGATCAGGGGAGAAGGAGAAAAACCACAAGTTACCAATATCAGAATGAAAGGGGATATCGTTATAAATTCTACAGATAATAAGAGGGTAATAAAGAAATTTTATGGGCCAGTGTGGTAGCTCATGTCTGTAATCCCAGCATTTCGGGAGACTAAGGAAGATGGATATGACTTGAGGAGTTTAAGACCAGCCTGGACATCATAGTGAGACCTTGTTGCTACAAAACAATAAAAATCAGCTGGGTGTGGTGGGGGGGTACCTGTAGTCCCAGCTACTCAGGAGGCTAAGGTGGGAGGATGGCTTGAACCTAGAAGGCTGAGACTGCAGTAAGCAGTGACTGTGTCACTGCACTCCAGCCTGACGACAGAGGGATACCCTGTCTAAAAGAATTTTGTGAATGAGTTGTGCCAATACATTTGACAATTTAGATGAAATTGACAAATTCTTCAAAAGCACAAATTACAAAAACTTTCACAAGAAAAAATATTTTTAATAGCCTAATCAATCTAATAAAGAATCGAATAAATAAATTTTATTTGTAATTAAAAACTCCTCCCACAAAGAAAATTCTAGGCCCAATGGCCTCACTGGTGAATTCTGTGAAATATTCTATAAAACGTTTATGAAAAAGTTAATATCCATTTTTCACAAAGTCAGAGAAGAGAGCACTTGGATTCATTTTATGAGGTCAGCATTATCCTATACCAAAATTATACTATGACATTATAGAATCTAGTAATAAATGTATTTGGAACTGACAATTCCCTGTGCTTTTAAACATTCTGTGGTTAAAAATTTGCCCAGTTATTTGAATTTGGGTGTTTGTTTTTTGGGGGTTTTTGTTTTTTTGAGAAGGAGTCTGTATCGCCCAGGGTGGAGTGCAATGGTGCAATCTCGGCTCACTGCAACCTCTGCTTCCTGGGTTCAAGCAATTCTCCTGCCTCAGCCTCCTGAGTAGCTGGGATTACAGGCATCTGCCACCACTCCCGGCTAATTTTGTATTTTTAGTACAGATGGGGTTTCACCATGTTGGCCAGGCTGGTCTCAAACTCCTGACCTCAAGTGATCCACCCATCTCAGCCTCCCAAAGTGCTGGGATTACAGGTGTGAGCCACCGTGGCCGGCCAGTTATTTGAATTTGTGAACCTGAACTTCCAGCTTAGGATTTGTTTTCCTCGGCCCTGCTGATCAGCTCTCACTTTACCGCTGCTTTTCAGCTTCTCTAATTTTGCTGTTATTTTTTTCTCCATCTTTGGGGAATTTATACTTTTGTTATTGGAGAGATTTAAAATAATTTGTATTACCATTCCTCAAATCTCAGACCATCCTTTTGGGATAATTTTCCTCCACCCTGAACAACATCCTTTAGAAGTTTTTCAGGGTAATTATCTTGGTATTAAGATTCTTCAGTTTCTGTTAATCTGAAAATGTCTGCATTTTGCTCTCATTCTTAAAAGGTGTTGCTGAGTTCCCAGCTGTGGGTTGACAGTTAATTTCTCTCAACATTTCAAAAGTTATTATCTGACTGCCTTCTGACTCCCTTTGGGCTGTTAGGAAGTAGCTGTCATTCAATAGATGTTCCTTCATAAGCAATCTGTACATTCCTCTGGGTCCTTTGAAGGTTTTTTCTTGTTTTTTTTTTTTGTTTTTTGTTTTTTTTTTTTTGAGATGGAGTCTCACTGTCTCCCAGGCTGGAGTGCAATGGCGCAATCTTGGCTCACTGCAAGCTCTGCCTCTGGGGTTCATGCCATTCTCCTGCCTCAGCCTCCCAAGTAGCTGGGACTACAGGTGCCCGCCACCGCGCCCAGCTAATTTTTTTTGTATTTTTAGTAGAGACAGGGTTTCGTCGTGTTAGCCAGGATGGTCTCGATCTCCTGACCTCGTGATCCGCCTGCCTCGGCCTCCCAAAGTGCTGGGATTACAGGCGTGAGCCACCGCGCCCAGCCTGAAGGTTCGTTCTTTGTGTTTAGTGTTCACCAGTTTCAATATACTGTGTGTGGGCGTGGACTGCTTTCACTTCTCCTCTTTGGAATACATTATGCTTTCTGTTTCTGGAGACAGCTTCTAATTTTAACCAGTGCTGTAAATTTGCACTATTTTCTCTTTAAATATTATCTCTTCTCCACTCTCCCTATTATCTCCTTTAGAGTCTCTGATTTAAAACATTTTAGAACTTTCCATCTTGTCTTCCATATCTTTGTGAAATTTCCCATTTCCTGTCTCTCTGTGCTGCATTCTGCCTGATATCTTCAGCTAGATCTTCCAGTTCACTAATTCTTTGTTCAGCTATGCTAATTAGCTCTCCAACTCACTCAGGCTTCCTCATTTTATAATTTTTCCTTTCCAAATGTATCTGTTTGTTTCTAATTTCCCTTGTTGGTTGGTCATTTTTGTTCTATTTGTTTTGTATTACATTTCTGACAAGTTAATTATCTGAGATCTTGGGTGTCTGAATCTGTTGGTTTTTTTTTTCTGGCTTTCAATTATAGCGACTTGTTTTCTTGTTTATTTAATCTTTGTGTTGTGCTCGTTGCCTGATTTTGATTGTTGGGGCTCACACTAGGGACTGGGAAAGCTCCTGAGGAGAGAATTGCTCCTGTCCTTTCCTATATCACAGGGCATTGCTGGCCTCGAGGGTCCCTCTCCATGTGGGGTGCTGGGTTCACCTTTTCACTCTGCTGCTAGCCAAGCTCACAGCAGCCCTCAGGAGCCCTGTCTCTCCCAGCTGCTCATGAGCTTGTTTCTTTGGCCTGACACCACCTCCTTGCTCCAGCCTCAATGTGTGTGTTTACTTATTTTTAGAAGTGGGGGTAGAAAGTGGAGTCCTCCCTGCATCTTATGAAAGGGGCAGTGTCTCAGAGCTGTATCCATCCCGTTTCGCCATTCTGTGGGTGGAGGGTGTCCCCTGAGAGTGCCAAGGTAGGCGTCTGGATTGTGCCATCCACACACCCTCTTCTACAGCTCCAATGGAGTATGGTGGGAGTGGAGTTAGGTGTCAGTGCTCAGTTCCTCAGCCTACCATCTTTGCCAGGAACTCCCTGCCCATCGCTTCTCCATGTTCTACCCTTTGTCTTCCTCCCCCAGTGCCACAGACCCCTCAGCCCCAGTCCCCATGGCCTGTGTGTTGTTGCTGAGCACAGTGGGCCATTCCATGATTATCCTCCTATGGCTCGGACACTGTGGACTGCCGACCACTTCTCAGCACAGTGGGCTGGACCAACCCTCACCCTGTAGGCCCAGCAGCACCCTGGAGCCCAGCGTATCCACATCCCACTAATATGAGGGGCATGCAGTCTCAGTGTAGTTGTGGAGCCCCTCCTTCTGGCCCAGGTGCCCCCCGTCCACCTGTGGCAGCACAGTGTGCAGGGGGCTACAGACCACGAATGGGTCCCTCAGGTGTGAACTTGCCCTCACTTGCTCACTGCCCCCCTGGCTCCCCATGCTGACCCAGTTGGGACAAGGCCTTCCTGAAACTGGGATGGGGTCAACTGCTTGGGTATCTCTGGGAGGCATGTTAAACGCAGGTCTGTAAGTATTCACGTTGCGTTTTCATCAAAACAAACCCAGACTCATCCATTTCTTCCCATGTCCACGGGTGTCTCTGAGGCCCAAACCTCTCTCTTTTGGGACTATTGCAGGGGCTTCTCCTCTCCATTTTCCTGTCTATACCCACTACTCACTGCTGTCAAGATGGCGGCCACTGATGCAGTGCTGTTTCTGCACTCTGCGCCTTCCCGTGCTCCCCACCTCATTCAGGAGAGGGCAGCCACATAGGTCCTGTCTGATCCACCCTCCGGCCAGGCGGCCCCTGTGGGATTCCTCACACAGCATTCCATTACCGGATGGCGTTCCCCATTGGTCTCCTTCAAATCTCAATGCCTCAGCACAACAGTGGCCGTCCTAGTGGCGTGGGGGCCCCAGAGACTTCTGTGATGGCACCCACGTCAACACATGCCCTGGGGCCCCAGAGACTTCTGTGATGGCACCCACGTCAACACATGCCCTGGGGCCCTGGAGACTTCTGTGATGGCACCCACATCAACACATGCCCTGGGGCCCCAGAGACTTCAGTGATGGCACCCACGTCAACACATGCCCTGGGGTCCCTGAGGCCAGGAAAGCACAATAGCCTCTCACCTGGGCAGTAAATGTTCTGGCCCCAAAGTGACGCCTGTCCTACCCCAGGGACCCCCAGCTCCATGCTCCAGGAGGGAGGGCAGGTGGATCCAGGTGTCTGCAGGAGTCTGCACCACAACCCCTTCCCCAGCCTTTCAGTGATCCTACAGGACTTCACAGGCTCCACAGTAGCGCATGGTTCTGTGAGTCTGCTCTTGCAGTCTCTGCCCTTTGACTGGAGTGTTGTGTCCGTCTGTCGAGGCTTCAATGCACCACCCCATTGTGCTGCTCTGGTGTCTTTGAGTTTAGAGCTCCTGGCGAGGTTAACTCGGTCAGCATCTTCTCCTGGTCATGCCAGCCCCAGCGGCCCGGTGGCTCTGACCGTGGAGTTTGCCATGTGCTCTGACTCAGGAGCATCAAGGCTGGTGTTCTGTGCGTTTTATGGGTTCTGATTGTGGGTTCATGTTCCTGGGGATCCTCTTGAGTTCCAAGTACACAGTGTGATCTCTACACAGGATTTACGGCCATTCTTTCAGGGGCCTCCTGGCATTGTCAGTCCCAGGAACCTTAAGAAAACTTTAAGCCAGGGGTTTTTCAGATCTCCACGTCACCTCAGAGCTCATGCGCCCGTGAGCTTGGGCTTAGTTCATTGTTTTCAAGGATGGTGGGCGGGGATGGCGTGCAGGGTGGTGGGAGCTGGGCCTGGGGTCTGGTTCTAGAAGCATCAGGGCTGGAGGGCCTTAGACAGTTACGAGGAAGGGTCGTCTACCAGGCCTCGGTGAGAGAAGTGAGCCCCCACCTTCCAGTCACTGGGAGAGGACTGAAGAAGCAGCCATCCCCCAAGCATCTCCATCCTCAAACCACACAGAGCTCCCGCCCAGGCACTGAGAGGGCCCTGGGGTTCCACCAGGTGAGTGGCACTGGTGGGGAGGCCTGGGGACCCCTGCTGCAGAAAGGGCCACGACAGATTACAGTGAGCCCCTGAGGACATCTTTGAGGTTGGGGCCTCTGAGCTCAGGTCTCAGGAGGTGTCTGCTGGTGGCCTGATGGGCTGCGAGGGTCTTGGTGGTCAGTGGCCCCCCCATGAACAGCAGCAATGCAAGCTGCTCCCACAGAGGAGGGGGCAGAGTGAGGGCTTCTGGGGCCTCGTCCGGATCTCAAGGTGCCCCTTGTCTGAGCTTCTGATCGTCCTGTGGGCAGGCGCGTGCCTGCCGGGTTTGTGGATGCATCTGACATGCCATTTGCTGTGTCTTCTGAAATCCTGTATGGGCCAGGGGTGGCGTCTGTTGTGGGGAGATCTGTAGGTCTCAGGCCTGCCTCCCACACACACACAGAGCACGTGCCTCATGGCCCTGACGGCAGCACCAGGCGCCTTCTGAATGTGTGTCCCCAATTAGCGCACACCACGGGTCCCTGCACTGCACGGGGCCCAGAACAAGTGTGGGGACAGCCAGGGACATTTGTGAGCAACAGAGATAGTCTTTATTCAAACGCAGAGAGATCCATAACATGGAAACACTGACGCTTCCGAAACCGCCCCATTTATTCACTTCTCAAGTGGCCCCCGCTTGGATGCGCCCTCGGGAGAGTGGGCTCAGCACAGCCTAGAGCACCAGGTCTGAGGTATCTGCAACCACGTGGGAGCCAGGCCCCTGGACGATGAAGGACAATCTCCTGGAGCAGCAATAACTTATAAGGAGACATAATTTAGAGTAGCTGGAGCCTTGGGGATGACTTTATCCTGCAGGAGGAGGAGGCTGAGAGCAGACGGGACACGGGGGCCCCTAAGAAGCAAGGTTGGGAAAGGAGGAGGCTGTTTCCCAATGCCCGTGCCGGCCACCAGAGGGCCCTTCAGTGCAGAGATGGTCGGCGCGGCCTCACCGCGGTCAGGAGCAGCGCGAAACCCCCTGTGCCCTCGGCCGCCTGCAGCATGAGCCTGCACAGGAGCCCCCGACACCCCATGGCTCCGGGGGGCCCCAGGGGCTGCGGGGCTCTGGTCTTAGACGCAGTTATCAGGGACGCACTCAGCCTCTTCTTCGAGCTCGGGGCAGGGGCTCCCGTTGTTGGCGGGCTGGACCCGGACGTAGCGAGTCCTGCTCTTGGTCCCGAGCCTCCCACAGTGGCCTCCGCACAGTCCCCAGGACGACCACAGGGAGACCTCGCAGTCCAGCGGCGTTTCTGGAACTGGACCAAGCAAAGGGGAGACCGAGGTGAACGCTCGCGTGAAGAGGCGCTTCGTACAAACGGAAGCCACCTCCCACCAACGTGTGCATTCATCAGAGGCCACGCCCACCCTTCGGGGGCACTTGCGTTTCTCCGCACAGTCGCAGAGTGAGCGGCAAGATGGGATGGCACCATAGCAACCTCGGACACAACCTAGGGACTGGAGTTGCGCGTTTCTACGTAAGAGCCGGAGCTGCCGCTCAAGTCCCTGTGGTGGTGGAACTCCCACATCGTGGCAGAGTAAGGGGCCCCTGGGAACCCCGTGGGAACCCCGGGAGAGGGCGGACACCCCTGCTGTAGAAAGCTGCTCTGCCCGAGCCTGGACCCAGCTGCTACATTTACCCGAATAACAGACAGGGGCACCTGATTAGCTGTCTTGCGGGACCTGGACCCCCCACAGGACTCAGACCTTTTCAGTATCGTTCTCGTTTCCCTGTGTCCCATCTGGTTCCATAATTTTCATAAATTTAAAAATCATCATTTGGTGTTATGGTTAAGTCACTTGGTAATTTCCATGTTTCCAAAGCAAAGTGAAAACACCTCTTTTGCACCCCACAGGCCAAGCCAGCCAGATGGACAGTGTTTCTCTGGCTGTGTGGCCCAGAGCGGGCAGCCCCTAAGGAGGCCAGGAGCCCCGCCTCACTCTGCCGTGCACGGGAGGACAGTCAGCAAGGGCTCGGCTCTCCTCACAAATCTGCGAGTACCCTGCTGCCAGCTTTGTGGCTACTGAAGGATGAGAGAGAGTGGAGAAGGGGGTCAATGTGCAGGTGCAGTGCCTGGACTGGTCTGGAAGCCCTGGCCAGGCCCACACCTGGAGCAGCCCTCTCCAGAGATGCAGGAACAGGGCTTGCAAAGACCTTGGGCGCTGAGGCTTCGCAGGGGCACTGGTGTAGAAGCCAGAGAGCCAGGGCCCCGGGCAGCCCACCTGGGGAGCACACAGAGCTGCTGGCAGATCCCAGCACCCCCCAGCTTCCTGACTGAAACCGAGGTGGTGGGAGCGCCCCTGCCCTGGCTGCAATGAGGAGTCAGTGAGCACTGGCAGTGCCTGTTCTACAGCGAGGGCCCCACCACAAGCCTCTCCAATGCTGCAGAGCCCTGTCAGGAGGCCTGGGGACAGGCATCCAGCGTGTGAGCAGGAAGCCAGAGCTGAGCCAGGCTGGCTTGGCGTGGACCTGGCGGAGCCTCCTGGGTGCCAGCCGCCACATGCCCATCCCAGCCTCTGCCCTCGGGAAGCCAGAAGTCACAGGAGAGACCCTTGTGGGCGGTGGTCTGTGCTCCGTCCCCACTGCCCACTCTGGTCCCTCGGCTGGCACAGCTGGCTCTGTCCGTCTCCCACCCTTCTCTCCATGTCCTGCCTCCTGCTCAGAGCTCATAGCACAGTCTCTCCCCACCCTTCCCCTGCAATACTGCTTCTGCTTGGCCACAGCTGACTTTATCCCTCTCCTAGCCCAGGGCACTGGCCATGTGCTCCCCTGCCCACTGTGGCCCAGTGCCCCCAAATGTGGGGCAAACCGCACCTCTCTGGACCCTCTGCCCACGAGGGGCTCTTCCCGCCAGACCAGTTGCACACCACGAACAGTGCTGGCACGTCTGCCTGTTGGGTAAGTGGCTCGGGGACATCTGCTTGGAATGGGGCATCCGCGTGGACAAATGAGTGAGGAGCCCAAGCCTGCACTGGGCAGGGGCAGCACCGAGGCTGGCACAGGGAGGCCCAGTTCATCCCAAATGAGGAGGGACCCAGGACTGGGCACAGTCTCTGTCTGGGGAGTGGTTCCCGCCAGCCAGGCGGCCTCCTGTCTGACCTGACCTGGCCCTTGCTTCCAGGGACGGCTGACAGTAAGCTTGTAATTACTGCTGCTCCTCAAGACGACATCTGTCCCTACCACATGGCTTGGGGGGCAGGTGTGGGGCGGCCCCGTACCTGCCTCAACTCCAGCCAGCAACATGGAGGGTGGAGGACGACGGGGCCCATGGCCAGGTTGGTGGGCTCCAGTTCCTCCTCGGGAAAGTCTGAAGTCCGCTGTTGTCTGGGGCCTACACTGACTGTCCCACACCCATATCAGGTGAGACCCAGAGACCCAGAGCCAACAGGCCCTGACCCACGACCCAGCAATGCGCTCCAGACCACAGGCGCTCCGTGAGGCCAGTGGCTGCCACCCAGCTGAGTAGGGAGGGAACTGCCACTCGGCCCCAGCGTTCCCAGCCTGCCCTGTCCAGCAGGTGCCTGGAAGAGCTAGGAGAATGCTCATCAGCACCTGCCCCGCCCCAGGCCAAGGCGCCTGTGAGCAGAGCCCCGAGCTGTGTGGTGGCTGGGTCCCGAGACCCCCACAGGTGCCCTGCAGCATAGCTGTCACCCGGTGGCCACACAGGGCCATCCTAGCAAGCTTCCTTGTCAGCTGTGACACACAGGTCACCTGTGGGTGCGTGTCTGACAGGACAGAGTCTCTCAGGTACTGTCTGGAGCCTCCTTTCATTCTTTCCTCTGGGCTGTGGCCCTGTAAGATGCTTTCAACTGCAAATAATGTGCAAGAGTCACATCTTCAGTGTGTGAATCAACAGAATCCTAAATCTTCTAGGCACCATCTTGCAGTACGCACTACGAATCCCTACTTGGAATTTCTCAGAGCCTTAGGTTCGGGTTTGGTGGTCGCCCTGTGGCAGGGTTCGGGGCTGCTGTGTGTCCCATGTGACCTGTATGTCCGTTACCTGAGGCGCTGTCTACAATCTCATTGTCCCTGCTGGGCAGGACTGGGGCGGGAGGGATGAAGGCCCTGGGGCTCTGTCGCAGCCGCACCAGTGTCACCCTGGCGATGGGAGGCAGGGCCTTCAGCCGCGGGTAGTAGAAGGAGTTGGCCGGGTGGCTGGGAGAGGAGGACGTTATCTGGGGAGGAAGAAGAGGAGGTTGGCCTGGGGTCCGAGAAGCCCACCTTCTGGTATGCGTATGGCCTCACTGGGGCCACTGCCCAGCGTCCAGCGTGCCCTCTGCACCACTGTTGGGGACAGGGTCCCATGTACTCCTCTCAGCCATCCCACGGAACACGGGCTGGAAACCGAGGCCAGGAAGGGGCAGCCTCCTCGGGACGCGCGTCCCGCTGTCCTCCCTGCGGTGCTGTGACCCCGGGTTGGGAGAGTATGGGAGGGCTGCACCCCCTTGCTCACTGCTGGCGCTAGAAGCAGAGCCTCTTCCACACAAAAGCCGCAAGCGGCTGTCCTGGGCTGGGAGGCGAGGGTGCAGCCAGGCCCCAGCCCCGTCCCCACCGCGGGGGCCATAGCGGCCCTTGCGCACGCGGGGTGCCCACTCACCTCGGTCACCGTGTCCTGCGGGATGGTGGCGAAGTTGGGGGAGGAGAAGGTGAAGCCGCTGTCCGTCCCGGCGTCGTAGGGGTACAGGTCCAGCGCCGCCTGTTCCCGCCAACGGTCCCCGTCGCACAGGTCCAGGCTGTCCACGCCCACGAACCAGTCGGGGCTGGGCACGATGCGCACCACAAACGAGACCTGCGGCGACAGCGGCTCAGCGCGCCTGGCCCCGGCCCCCCGGACCCCGCCCCCGGCCGGCCCCGCGCTCACCAGCGAGTGCCTGCGCTGCACCTCCAGCTCCGCCGACGTCTGCCCGGTGCCGCTGGGGACGGCGGGCGCCGAAAACACCGCGTGCACGCTCTGCAGCGCCTCCCCCGCCGCCTCGATCTCCTTCATCAGCGCCCAGGCCTCGCCGCGCTCCGCAAAGTCGCGCAGCCCGTTACTGACGTACTGGTTCTTCCTCCACATGCTGTAGTCGGAGCTATGCGCGGCCCCTGCAGGACCACCCGGCCGCGCCGCGGACCATGGTCAGACACTGCGGTCGGGCTTGGATTCCAGGGGGCGCCCCAGGAAATCCCTCCCCGCCGCCCGCAGGGAACCATGGCCCCCAGTCACGTCGGACCGTGACACCCTGTGGCTGCCCCTGCCGCGACCCACCTGCGCCCTCCCCGTGAGCGCCCCCTGCCCCCACCGCATCCCCGGAACCGCACACCGCAGGCGCTCGGCAAACATTCTGGTGTTAGAGTCTCCCGACGTCAGCACGCCCCAGACTGGGAAGCGCCGCCGTGCAGCTGTGCGGGGGGCTCCGGCGCCGCAGCCCTCCTGGTGGAGCAGGAGGCGAGGAGGGGGCTGTACTTACCCAGCAGCGAAGACCACTGCGCAGGGGGGCGGAACAGGGGGTACTGCTTGGGGAAGGCCGTCTGGCTCCACTTGCCCGTGAAGGTGATGCTGTATTTGGCCAGGGCTCTGGCGGAACAGATGGACTCTCCCCCAAGAGGCTGGCCGGCGGCGCCGAGAGTGGCCAGGAGGAGAGCGCAGAGGGCCTTGCCCAGGGCGGCGGCCGGGCTGGGGTTTTCCATCACCTGGGAGCACAGAGGGGAGCAGCCGCGCGCTGGCACCGTCGTGGCAGCCTCGGGGTGGAAAGCCGAGAGGGCTGCGGCACTTTGGGCTCTGAGGACGGCCCCGAGCACCCGCGACCCCCTCCCTGCTCCGCAAAGCTCTCCTGCGGTGCTTCCGAGACCCCCATCAGCGGAATGGACGGCGCGGGGTTAGATCGCCCGTGCGCCTGCGAGCGACCAGGGGTAACGGGCAGGTTTTCAGTCCGAGTCCCTGCAGCTTGCCGGGCCGGTCTGGGTGCGGCCTCCGGGATGCCTTCGCCGTCGCAGGGACCCGGGGCCTTGGCCGACTGGCTGCCCCCGGGACTAGACCCTTAAAGCTCGGTCGCAGCCAGTCCTGGGGGTCCCTCTGGAGGTGCCACAAGGTTCTGGGCCGCGGGGAAAGTGCAGGAGGCCCGGGCCCTCTCTGGGTGTCCCGGGGGCACGCAGTACTCACCCGGCAGGAGCAGCGGGAGCGCGGCCGGCAGCGGTCGGGTCCCAGCCAGAGCCCGGAGCTCCTATTTAAGCCCGAGGCCGGCGCCCCGGGCCGGCCAATGAGGCTCCAGTTCCTCCTGTCTTCGATGCTGCACGGCCTGGCCTCCAGCGAGAGGCAGATAGGACGTGGGAGAAAGGAGGAGAAGGGGCTGCGGGGGCGGCGGGGGCTGCCGCTTTCCCAACTCGCCCTGCCCAGCGACCTTCCCCGGGTCGGATCACCCTCTTCCCCTGGCAGTGCTGCCGCACCCCTTTCTTTGTCTGTCTGTCCTATCCCTCCCCTCCCCTCCCTGTCCCCTCCCTTCCCCTCCCCTCCCCTCCTCCCCTCCCCTCCTCCCCTCCCCTCCTCCCCTCCCCCCTGTCCTCCTCCCTCTCCCCGTTTCTCTCCCGTTCCAACAAGCGCCTTCCTGGTGCCTCCCTAGGTGCCACTGAGGGGAGTTCTTTGCCCCAAGCCTTTCGGGAAAGCTCAGGGCGTGGGGGCAGAGGGGCTCTTGTTTTCACCTTCTCGAAATTAGAGCCAGCGTGCTACACCTTCTTGCGCAGGGTGTGACCTGGAGAGCCCTGTGCGTGGCCTGACTTCAGTCTACATGCTGGAAGTGGCTGGGGAAGCTCCTGGCTCCCGGCGCAGGCATCCCTGGCCTTTGGGGCCCTGGCTTTAAGTCTCTTTCCTGGCATGGCCTAAAGCTGCACAGAACAGCCTAGCGGTCTGCACTGTGGCCAGAGGGCATTTGCAAGCCATCCCTCCTGGAGGGAGGTCAGAGTGGGCTGAGGGTCTGGGGTGGAACGCGCAGGGAGTCAGGAAGAGCCACAGAAAGGGGGCCCCCCTCCCCAGGACCCCGCACAGGGCTGGGGCTGCAGGCCGGCGGTGTGTGCGGTGCAGAGCCCTCCCAGGGGCTCTAGGCTTCCCTGCCTTTGGGATGAAGCTAACAGATGCTGAAGTTGATCCTGCTCCATGTCAGGAAAATATTTATAGGTCCCCAGTCATGGGATCTGGAAACAGAGCGGAGGAAGGAGCTCGGGAATGGTCTTGCTCAATCCTTCCCGGCCTCTGCTCATCGGAATCACCCAGAGGGCTTTTAAGCTTAGACAAAACACTCTGATGTTTGGAACCCTGTTAATGTTTCACAGATTCAAAAAGAGAGAAAAAATAAATAGAAGCAACTAGGACAGAATGCAAACAGAAACAAATGATCTAACCTGTATTTTAAGCGAAAACCACAGATCAGCCACTCAATGCAGTATTTAGACTCCAGGCCCCCAGGCCAAAGACAAATTTCCACCTCCGTGCTTCTCAAATGTTTTTATCTGAGGACTCCTTCATACTCTTAAAGGTCACTGAGGGCCAGGCGCAGTGGCTCATGCCTGTAATCCCAGCACTTTGGGAGGCCGAGGCGGGAGGATCACTTGAGCCCAGAGTTTGATACCAGCCTTGGCAACACAGGGAGACCTCATCTCTACAAAACATACAAAAATTAGCTGGGTGTGGTGGAGTGCGCCTGTGGTCTCAACTAGTCAGGAGACTGTGTCTGTGGTCCCGGCTACTCAGGAGACTGAGGTGGGAGGATCACCTGAGCCAGGGGAGGTCAAGCCTGCAGTGAACTGTGTGTGCCACTGCCCTCCAGCCTGGGCGACAGAGTGAGACTCATGCCTGTAATCCCAGCACTTTGGGAGGCCAGGGCGGGCGGATCACTTGAGGTCAGGAACTCGAGACCAGCCTGGCCAACATGGTGAAGCCCCATCTGTACTAAAAATACAAAAACTAGCTGGATGTGGTGGTGCACGCCAGTAATCCCAGCCACTCAGAAGGCTGAGGCAGGAGAATTTCTTGAACCCAGGGGGCAGGGGTTGTAGTGAGCCAAGATCGCGCCACTGCAGTCCAGCCTGGGCAACAGAGCGAGACTCCATCTCAAAAAAAAAAAAAAAACAAAAAAACAAAAAACAAAAACAAAAAAAACTAATTGAGGACACTGAAGAACTTTTTTGTTTGTATGGGTTATACCTATGGATACTTATCATTTTCTAAATCATAACAGAAATGTTCAGAATACTTGCCAATTCACTTAAAAATAAGAAAATATTGCTATTACACATTAACATAAATAGCATAATGTTTTATGAAAAGCAATCATACTTTTAAAAATGAAAAACCCGCCTGAGAAAAGTGGCGTGGTTCTACGTTGGTGCGAATCTTTGTATTGTCCGGCTTAGTGGAAGCTGGATTCCCATATCGGCTCCAGCACTTCATCTGCTGAGATGTGCTGTTGGTTGAAGTCTATGAAGAAAATCCAGCCTTGGCTGCGTATGTTACCAGCCTTGTCAGGTGCCTGCTCTGGCCTGCAGCCCTCGAAAGCCGCCGTGTGCCCATCAGAGCATGGGAGCAAAAGGTGCCCTCATGCAATGGGCTTCGATCTCATCATCTGCCTGGAAGGATCTCAGGCCCTCCACGAGTCCCCAGAGCAGGACTGGCAGCCGCTGCTCAGAGGCTGGACTCGAATCCACAGGCCTTTTTCCCAGAGCGGCATGGGGCGGCTGTACTGCAGCTACTCTGCATCCCTGGACAATCCTCGCTTTCTGGACAGCTTCCTCGGCTGAAAGGAGCACAGGCTCCATGGCAAAGCTACTGGCTCTGGGTCTGAGGAGAGGAAGGAGGCGCCGGGTCTGGGGCATGTTCCTGTGTAGGAAGCCAGGGTGCCGCTCCAGAGACTCGCTGAGGCACAGTCCCCATCTCAGTCCAGCTCTGGCCGTGGCAGCGGCTTCCAGGCTCACCCAGTCTCACAGGAGGCCAAGGAGGCTGCGGAACAGCCCAGGGGCAGCAGGAGCTGTTCTCCCAGCCCGGCCCTCATGCCGTCTCAGTGAGCTCTGCGACCTGGGGCCCCCACTTGGCGGTGGGCCCAGGCTGGGGGGTCTCCAGCTAGGATGTAGGGCGGTGGTGGGCCCAGGCTGGGGGGTCTCCAGCTAGGATGTGGGTGGTGGTGGGCCCAGGCTGTGTGGGGGGAGTCTCCAGCTAAGATATAGGGTGGTGGTGGGCCCTGGCCTGGGTGGGGGTTCTCCAGCTAGGATGTGGGTGGTAGTAGGCCCAGGCCTCGGGGGCTTCAGCTAGGATGTGGGTGGTGGTAGGCCCAGGCCTGGGGATCTCCAGCTAGGATGTAGGGTAGTGGTGGGCCCAGGCCTCGGGGGCTTCAGCTAGGATGTAGGGCAGTGGTGGGCCTAGGCCTGGGGGTCTCTAGCTAGGATGTGGGGTGGTGGTAGACCGAGGCCTTGGAGGTGCTCCAGGCAGGGCCACAGCTGATTTGTCTGGGAAGGGAGGGGGCTTGTTTGGAGGGCTGGAGTAGACAGCAGCCAGGAGGAACTTCCTTTGGTAGTGGGAGGCCCCTCCAAAAGCACGCCTGCGAAGGCCCTAGGGCACCAGGGGACATGGGAGCATTCTTTGCTGTGCTCAGAGAGGGGGACATGGGAGAACTGGGGCCAGGTGGGCTTAATTTTCTGGATCCTGTGGCCCCTTGGGTTGGATCGGGCTGGGGTCTCAGGCAGAGCTGTTTCTGCACTGAGGCAGGGACTGCAGGCCAGTGACGGAGTGATCTTGTGTGACTCCATGCTCTCAGAGTCTTGCTGGAAACCCCCCTGGCTCTCAGACCCTCTTCTGTGAACCAGAAGTCTCTATCCTGCCTTCTGCTGAGGGTCACAGGATAAGTATCCATAGGTGTAACTCACACACCAGCACTTTGCAAGGTGTCCCCCCACCCACACAGAAGAGTTCCTCTGTGCCCGCAGGCAGGAGCAGCCCCCCACATACACACACAGTACATTCATTCATTCACTCACACAGTACTTTCATTCATCCACCCATTCAAATAGTACATTCATTCATTCACTCACTCACACAGTACATTCATTCATCCATTCACACAGTACATTCATGCAATCATCCACACAGTACATTGATTCACACAGTACATTCATTCACTAATTCACTCACACAGTACATTCATTCAAGCATCCATTCACACAGTACATTCAATCATCCATTCACACAGTACATTCATGCAGTCATCCACACAGTACATTCATTCACTAATTCACTCACACAGTACATTCATTCAATCATCCATTCACACAGTACATTCATGCAATCATCCACACAGTACATTGATTCACACAGTACATTCATGCACTAATTCACTCACACAGTACATTCATTCAATCATCCATTCATACAGTACATTCATGCAATCATCCACAGTTCATTCATTCATTCACACAGTTCATTCACACACTTCATTCATTCATTCACACACTTCATTCATTCATTCACACCATTCATTCATTCATTAACCACAAGGTGAGTATTCCTTGCATCTCAGAGATGGGGACAAAGGAGTGACCCCACTAGGCCCAAGGTTGCAGGGGGCTGGGGTGGAGTGGATACATTTTGTAGATTGGATTCTCTTATTCAGTAAAGTGTTTAGTGAATTGGTTGACAGCAATGCCAGGGTCCTCTGAGGACAGGGCCTTCCTGGAGGTCACTTGAGCCACTTGCCCCAAGGTGGTTTTCAGGAGAGTGTGGCTCAAGGCTGTGGCTGGAGCCAGTGGCTGCTGCCTGTCTGCAGCTGGGCAGAGCAGCCCCTGTGTCCACATCCAGCTCCACCTGGCTGCCCTGCCACGGCCCCAGCAGGCACCCCCTTGTCTTTGACACCCCCTTAGTGCCTGCTGTGGTTGGGTAAGTGTAGACCACAGTGTGAGTAATCAGCGCCCACACTCCCAGGGTGTTGGCAATGTTTAAAAGTTGTCTTAACCAAAATGTGTTGCTAAGGTTGGACTTTTGGACAACCGCAGGTGCTGTGAAGCTCCTTTCCCAGTCAGGCATCGGGGGTGGAGTCTGTGCTGCTTAAATTGGATCTGAGCAGGCGGGTGTGGGGTTTCCATGGGTTTGTTTGTGAGCCGCGTGGAGCAGACGGCATACAGGAATGCCTGGCGAGCCTCCCCTAACTGCCACCCTGCTCTGTTTCGCCTCAGGCTGTGGCCCTGCCCCGGGCCCCAGAACCCAAGATCCCTTCAGGGGGCAGGGGTCCCAGCTGAGAAGGGAGAGGCCTTCTTTACCTTTCTGCATGGGTTCTGGCATGGGGGCCCTCAGGGTCTGGCATGTCAACGGCTCTTTCAGGGCTTGCCCACAGCCCCTCCCTGGGGCGCGGCACAGGCACCCAGGCCTGGCCCAGCAGCATGGAGCTCCTGGCCACATCTGCTGACACCACACCAGCTGACTCAGACGCGGAGTACCCACCCACGGGAGCGGCCGTCTCCTCCAGAGCACCCAGACTCCAGGATCAGTTTCTGGCTCCCCCAAGGGACCCTGCTGCGCATTTGAAAACCCACCTGAAAAGTCCTGTGTTTGCCAGCCCACCCAGACACATCACACTTGCTTGTCCACTCACGGACATGTACCAAGGGCCTCGCTCCGGCCAGGCACCACGGGCTCTGCACACACTGAGGGCCTCCCTCCGGCCAGACACCACGGGCTCTGCACACACCGAGGGCCTCCCTCCGGCCAGACACCACGGGCTCTGCACACACCGAGGGCCTCCCTCCGGCCAGGCACCACGGGCTCTGCACACACCGAGGGCCTCCCTCCGGCCAGGCACCACGGGCTCTGCACACACCGAGGGCCTCCCTCCGGCCAGGCACCATGGGCTCTGCACACACCAAGGGCTTTGCTCCGGCCAGGCACCATGGGCTCTGCACATATCTGCTTTCTAAAGGCTACTTTAGCCCTTGAGACTTCAGACTCGCAGGGATGGGGCCACATGGTCCAGTGGTTCTCCTGGCCCCCTCCCCCTCCCTCATCTTCAGACTCGAAGGGATGGGGCCACATGGTCCAGTGGCTCTTCCCGCCCCACTCTCCTCTGTCCCTCCTCTTCAGCACCCGCTGACTTCCTCCCTGGCCAAGACACCCCTGGCTGCTCACACCTCAGGGCCTTTGCACGTGCAGCTCTCCCTACCTAAAGGATTCTTCCTGTGCTGCCTTCTTCCTGCCATACAGGCCTCAGGGAGAACAGCTGCAGGCCCCACCCCCCACCCCCAGAGGAGTGCCTGGTCATACTCTGTCATGCCAGGGTTTTTTTTTCAATCAGAGCTCCTACAGAGAACTAAGCCTACCATAACCAGTGTGAGCAGACAGGGATTTACTATGGGGGCTAAGTGGCTTATAGAATTGTGAGGAGGGTTGAAGAGAGACTGTGGACTGAGTGTCCAAGGGTGACCTCCCACACTGCACAGCAGGACGGGGCTGCGGAGTGGCAGCTGGTCCCCCCTGTGCAGGAACCCGCCACCCCAGCAGCAGATGGCCACGTGCTCCTGTGTCCCTCTTGCCCACATGCCTCCATTCTGGATTCAGGTTTCTCTGAGCACTTCCGATTGATTGGCAGAGCCTGAATCAGGTCAGGGAATCCAGAGTCTTGGATTCAGCTTTGCAGCCTCTGCAGTCCAGGAGGACACCCAGAAGGAGGATGTGAATCGTGCCAGTGAGCTGAGCTGCAGCCCACACAGTGCTCATCCCCCTGCTCTTCTCTGACTTATTTAGCTGACGCTGAGTGGGGACCTTGCCCGGCTGCTTCACCTCTGGAAGCACGACTGCAGCCACCATGCCAGGCTCACGGGAGGGCCAGCAAACACAGCACTCACTCTTATCAGGTTTCACAGTGGCTCTTCCAGTCCCACCTTGCAAAGGAGGCCAGGTCACTGCTGGCGAGCCACAGATCTGGGAGGAGAATCTGCTGCTACTATCTGGTTCTAAATACTGTTTTTTCTCCTCTGTGCAACAGTCCGCCTCCCTCGAATATGAGCCTATCCATTTTCAGTGACACTTGCCATAGTACCTTTTTCTATCCACGTTAAGATGTCAAGACTGCAGCAAAAAGGGCAGCATAAGGACCTCTGAGAATTCTCATCTTCCTCCAAGCAGTGAGGAAACTGGCAAAAAATGTCAGAATACATTTTAAGTACTCTGGAAATTAACCAAAGGCGTGCAGCAATCTATGTAGGGTTATTTTATTTTATCGATAAAATAGGCTGAATCTTGGTAAGAACAGCATGCATTCCCACCCACCCCCTCCAGCTCTGTAGTAGCCTTAAAAATTAACAACCTACATTTGTGATAAAAACTAACAGCCTGAGCTGGAGCTCTTTCAAAGCCTCATTTCCAGAAAGTCATTATTATTTGACCTATCTGGTGGTTCCCTAGAAGACACCACTTGCAAAGCTGTCTGTTTCTGACTTGATTCAGAGCTTACCCAGCATGAAAAGACTTCTCCTGGGGCTATTGTTGAAAATAATAATTATAGGCAATTGATGAACTTTGCAGTTGCCCAAGGTGGTGGCTAACAGTTGGGCAAGAAATAGACAAACTGAAAAAAAAAAGGAAAATCTGGGAAGTGAGATGTCAATGGGGAGCTTTGAAAAAATCCAACCTATTTCTGAGAATCTAGAAGGCCACACATATTCCCAGGTCTGAGCTCCAGAAATACCTCAGAAGGCACTGAGCTCATACTTCTGACTGACCTTCAGGCTCTATGCAAGCAGGAAGTGAGGGCTACTGCAGAGTTGTTAACTGCCCGACTGAGTGTTGAAAGCATTCTCTAATGCATAGAACCTCAAAACAAAAACTGGGAGATGACTGGTTCTGGGCCTTTAAGGAAATCTCTGTCTGGCCATTAACTGACCACTAAGCTAACTGAGGAGAGACTTAGTGGCCACACATGGTAGATAATACAGATTTTGCATAATTAATTCAGAAAAGTTAATAATAAACTACAACAAACTCTGGGGGAATGGAGGTGTATCTGGTTTCTGGAGTTGCCACATTATACTATTTAAAATGTTCATTTTTCAACAAAAAATTGTGAGATGTGAGAAAGCACAAGAAAGTATGACCTACACATGGGGAAGAAAGCAATCGATAGAGACTGTCATTGAGGAAGACAAGATGCTGGATGTACCAGACAAATACTTTAAATTTATGGTCTTAAATATCTTCCAAGAACAAAGGAAAACTTTTCTAAATAATTTAAAGTATAAGAGTGATGTTTTACCACATAGAGAATATCAGTAAAGGACAGAAATTATAGAGAACCAAGTAGAAATTCTGGAGTTGAAAAGTACAATAACTGAATTTAAACTCTCACTAGAGGATTTCAACAGAAGATTTGAGCAGGTAGTGTAAAGTGTAAGTAAAAAAGGAAATAGGTAAATTGAAAGTATCCAGCTTGAGGAAAAAAGAATGAAGAGAACTGACCAGTGACTCA
This sequence comes from Homo sapiens, assembly GCF_000001405.40. Taxonomy (NCBI): domain Eukaryota; kingdom Metazoa; phylum Chordata; class Mammalia; order Primates; family Hominidae; genus Homo; species Homo sapiens. Next base: position 1,180,873 of record NC_000004.12, read on the forward strand.
GAGACCTGTGTGACATCATCAAACATACAAACAAATGCAAATGCATAACTGAAGCCCCAGAAAGGGAGGAGGGAGATAAAGGGGCAGAAAATTATTTGATGAAATAATAGCTGACACTTCCCAAAGATAAAGAAAAATGTTTATCTACACATCCAATAAGCTCAACCAATTCCAAGTAGGGAACATGCAAAGAGATAGCCGCACTGACACACATCATTATCAAACCGTCAAAGCCAAGGACAAAGAGAGAATCTTGAAGGCATCAAGAGAGAAGCAACTCATCTCATACAGGAGATCCTTAGTTAGGTTAACACCTGACTTTTTACCAGAAAACATGGAGGCCAGTAGGCAGTTGGGTGACATATTAAACACATTGGAAAAAAAAATACTATCAACCAAGAAGTTTATATCTGAAAAAATAAAGGTGAAATTAAGACATTCTCAGGTAAATCAAAACCAGAGTCTATCACTAGGAAATCTGTCCTACAAGAAATACTAATGAGAGTACCTTAGACTGAAATGAAAGAACACAAGACAGTAACTCAAAACCACATGAAGAAACAAAGAGCACTGGTAAAGGCAGTGACATGGGGACCTAGAAAAGACATTCTAGGAAGATTCTGGGAAGATGGTGGAGCAATAAGCACCAGAAATATGTTTCCCTACCCAGACAACAATTGCACTGGCAGAATCTGTCTGATGTAACAGTTTTGGAGCTCTGGAGTCTATTGGATTGCAGCTTCCAGGAGTAGGTTTGGAGGCAAAATGCAGTTAATTTTGGCACAACAGCAGTCACCCATCCTCCCCACCAGCCCCAGCGCAGACAGTTATGCACATGTTCCTGTAGCAGTTTACAGACAGCTTTCAGGAGCGAGGCTGGCAAGAAAAAAGGATGTTGTCCTTCAGATATTTGGGATTGGTGTTCTGATTGCTGATTGCTGTTCTGATCACAAGAGTGCAAAGAAGCAGGTGCCTATTGTTTCACCTTCCCCCATTGTTGCAAGCTCTCCTGCACTGGATGAAGTGACTTCATTTTTCTCCTTTTCCCTTTTTGGAAGCCAGACATTAAAGACTAGGACATTCAAAAGCAGCTGCATGTATGGAGAAAGTTAGAAAGTGATATGGCACATACAGGCTCAGAAAAGACCTGAGAAGACCTTATGTTTGTACCTAACGCTGACCCTTGGCACAGAGAAAGCCTACAACAACAACAAAATGTAACAAAAAGCAACAAACCCCAGGGAAGGGGGAAACATGATTTTCAAAATTGTGATATTAGATTCAAATGTCCGATTTTCAAGAAAAAGAATCACAAGGCATACAAAGAAACAGGAAAGTATGGCCCATTTAAAGAAAAAAAGTCAATAGAAACTGTTCCTAAAAAGACCTGATTGATTATATATCTACTAGACAAAGACTTTAAAACAACTGTCTTAAAGATGCTCAAAGGACTAAAGGAAGTGTCAAGAAAGTCAACAAAAAAATGAATGACCAAAATTGAAATATTCATAAAAAGATATAAAACCTAAAAAGAAACCAAAAAGAAATTCTGAAGGTGAAAAGTATAATCATGGAAATGAAAATTCACTAGAGGGATTAAAAAGCAGATTTGAGCAGGCAGAAGAAAGAATCAGAGAACTTGAAGACAGGACAATGGAAATTATTGTCTGAGGAACACAAAGAAAAAATATTGAAGAAAAATGAACAAAGCCTAAGAAACCTGTGGGACACCATAAAACAGGGCAACATATGCATTGGGGGAGAAGAGAGACTGAAAGAGTCAGGAGAACATTTGAAGAAATAATAGTTTAAAATTTTCCAAATCTGATGAAAGACATGTATATAAACATCTAAGCTCAACAAACTCCAGGTAAGATGAACTCAAAGAACCCACACCAAGATACATCAAACTTTTGGAAGACAGATAAAAAGACAGAATCTTGAAAGCAACAAGAGGAATTACTCATCACATACAAGGAATTGCCACAAGATTATCAGCAGATATCAAAAACTTTGGAGGCCAGAAAGCAGTGGGCTGATATATATTCTGAGTGTTCAAGAAAAAAAAAACTAAGGACTCTATATCTAGCAAAACTGTCCTTCAAAAGTGAGAGAGGGCTGGGTGTGGTGGCTCACTCCTGTAATCCCAGCTGAGGTCAGGAGTTCAAGACCAGCCTGGCCAACATGGTGAAACCCCATCTCCACTAAAAATACAAAAATTAGCTGGGTGTGGTGGTGCATGCCTGTAATCCCAGTTACTCAGGAGGCTGAGGCAGGAGAATCGCTTAGAACACGGGAGGTGGAGGTTGCAGTCAGCAGAGATCGCACCACTGCACTCCAACCTGGGCAACAAGAGTGAAACTCCATCAAAAAAAAAAAAAAACAAAAAAGAAAGAGAGAGAAAATAAAACTTTAAACAATGAAAACAATGAGGGAGTTCACTACCTCTAGGCCTGCCCTGCAAGAAATGCTTAAGGAAGTCCTATAGGGTGAAATGAAAAGACACTAGACCATAACTTGAAGCTATATAAAGAAATAAAGATCTCAATAAAAGTAGATATGTGAGCAATGATAAAAGTTAGTATTATAGTAACACTGGCTTGTAACCCCACTTTTTTGTTTTCTAAATGATTTAAGAGAATGTGTTTTTTAAAAGCATGAGTCAAGAAGCTAGTATTCTCGTCACTTTGGTTTGTAACTCCACGTTTTGTTCATACTTTGAGCCTAATGCATTTTTTAAAATTATTAATTTATGTTTTGAGGCACACAGTGAATTAAGATGTAATTTTGTGACATCAGCAACTGAAAGAGGTAGGATAGAGCTGTAAAGGAGTAGAATTTATTGAAATTAAGCAGGTATAAATTTAAATTAGAGTTATAACATTAGAATGTTAAATGTAATCCCCATGGTAACCACAAAGGAAATAGCTATATAATGTACACAAAGGGAAATGAGAAAGGAATTTAAATATTTCACTTGAAAAATCAACTAAACCTAAAAGAAGACAGTAATACAAAAAATGGAGGACAAAAAACTATAACGCAAATAGAAAACAAACAGCAAAATGACAGATGTAAATCCCTCATTATCAGTGATTATTTATCTATTTTGTTAGTTATTTTGAGACAGGGTCTCACTCTGTTGCCCAGACTAGAGTACAGTGGCAAGATCATGGCTCAGTGCAGCCTCAGCCTCTCAGGCTCAGGTGATTCTCCACCTCAGCCTCCCAAGTAGCTGAGACTACAGGTGCATACCACCATGCCCAGCTAATTTTTCGTAGAGACCAGGTTTCACCATGTTGCCCAGGCTGGTTTCAAACTCCTGAGCTCAAGTGATTCACCCACCTCAGTCTCCCAAAGTGCTGGGGTTGCAGGCATGAGCCACTGCAACTGGCCAGTAATTACTTTAAATGAAAATGAATTAAACTCTCTACTCAAAAGACAGAGATTGGCAGAATGAATACACACACATAATTCAGCTCAATGCTGTCTACAAAAATCTTGATTTAAATTCAAAGACACAAGTACACTGAAAGGGAAAGGGTGAAAAAAGGGATTCCAAGCAAACCAAAACCGAAAGAGAGCAGCAGAAAAAACCACTCTAAAATTCACATGGGCTCTGAAGGGACCGCAAGTAGCCAAAATAATCTTTAAAAGAAGAACAAAGCTGGGGGACTCACACTTCCTGATTTCAAAATCTCCTACAAAGCTGTAGTAATCAAAATCTAATAATCTAGTAAATTTACTACAAGGTTCCAGTAATCAAGAATACAATAAGCTGGCCAGGCACGGTGGCTCATGCCTGTAATCCCAACACTTTGGGAGGCTGAGGCAGGCAGATCACGAGGTCAGGAGTTCATGACCAGTCTGGTCAACATAGTGAAACCCGTCTCTACTAAACAAAAATTTAAAAAATTAGCCGGGTGTCATAGTGTGTGCCAGTAATCCCAGCTACTTGGGAGGCTGAGGCAGGAGAATCACTTGAACCCAGGAAGCGGAGGTTGCAGTGAGCCGAGATCTTGCCACTGCACTCCAGCTTGGGCGACAGTGCAAGACTCTGTCTCAAAAAAAAAAAAAAAGAATACAATAAGCAATAAGCTATGCTCTATCTTTATGCCAGAAATAAACTCTCACATATATGGCCAGATGATTTTTGACAAAAGTGCCAAGACCATTCAATGGGAGAAATAATAGTCTTATAGTCTTTTTTCTTTTTCTTTTGACACAATCTCACTCTGTTGCTCAGGCTGGAGTGCAGTGGCACAATCTCGGCTCACTGCAGCCTCCGTCTCCTGGGTTCAAGCAATTCTCCTTTAGCCACCCGACTAGTTGGGATTACAGATGTGCACCACCACCCCTGGCTAATTTCTTTTTTGTATTTTTAATACAGACTGGGTTTTGCCACATTGGCCAGGCTGGTCTTGAACTCCTTACCTCAAGTGATCTGCCCACCTCGGCCTCCCAAAGTGCTGGGATTACAGGCATAATCCACCATGCCCGGCCAGAATAGTCTTTTTGACAAATGGTGTTGGAAAACCTGGACATCCACATGCAAAAGAATGAAGTTGGTCAAGCCTGTGATCCCAGCACTTTGGGAGGCTGAGGCGAGCGGATCACCTGAGGTCGGGAGTTCCACACCAGCCTGGCCAACATGGTGAAACCCCGTCTCTATTAAAAATACAAAAATTAGCCAGGCATGGTAGCACATGCCTGTAATCCCAGCCACTTGGGAGGCTGAGGCAGGAGAATTTCTTGAACCTGGGAGGCGGACATTGCAGTGAGCTGAGATCGCGTCACTGCACTCCAGCCTCGGCAGCAGAGTGAGACTCCATCTCCAAAAAAAAAAAGAATGAAGTTGGACCTTTTGCCTGACACTGTATGCAAAAATTAACTCAAAACTGATTAAAGACCTAAATGTAATACCTAAAACTATAAACTTCTTAAAAGAAAACATAAGACAAAGCTGTACAACTTCAGATTTTACAATGATTTATTGGATATGACACCAAAAACATGGGCAACAAAAGAAGAAAATAGACAAAGTGGACGTCATGAAAATTAGAATATTTGTGTATCAAAAGGCAACATCTGGCCGGGCGTGGTGGCTCACGCCTGTAATCCCAGCACTTTGGGAGGCCGAGGCGGGCGGATCACGAGGTCAGGAGATCGAGACCATCCTGGCTAACACGGTGAAACCCCATCTCTACTAAAAATACAAAAAATTAGCCGGGCGTGGTGGTGGGCGCCTGTAGTCCCAGCTACTCAGGAGGCTGAGGCAGGAGAATGGTGTGAACCTGGGAGGCGGAGCTTGCAGTGAGCTGAGATCGGGCCACTATACTCCAGCTTGGGTGACAGAGCGAGACTCCGTCTCAAAAAAAAAAAAAAAAGGCAACATCAACAGAGTAAAGGGGCAACTCAAAAGATGGGAGAAAATGTTTTTTTTTTTTTTGAGATGGAGTCTCCCTCTGTCACCCAGGCTGGGGTGCAGTGGTGCAATCTTGGCTCACTGCAACTTCTGCCTCTCGGGTTCCAGCAATTCTCCTGTCTCAACCTCCCAAGTAGCTGGGATTGCAGGCGCATGCTGCCGTGCCCGGCTAATTTTTTGTATTTTAGTAGAGACGGGGTTTCACTGTGTTGCCCAGGCTGGTCTCAAACTCCTGAGCTCAGGTGATCCACCCACCTCGGCCTCCCAAAGTGCTGGGATTACAGGTGTGAGCCACTGCACCCAGCTGATGGGAGAAAATATTTACAAATCATTTATCTGATAAGGCACTAATATCCAGAATATATAGAGAACTCCTAAAACTCTAAGACAAAAAACTCAATTTAAAAATGGGCAGAGGACATGAATAGACATCTCTCCAAAGATGATCTACAAATGGTCAATAAGCAAATGAAGAGATTCCCAACATCATTTATTACTGAGGAAATGCAAATTAAAACTATAATAGGACATCACCTCACACCCATTAAGATGACTACTATCAAAAAAACCCCAAAATAACAAGTATTGGCAAGGATGTGGAGAATCTGGAACCCTGGAGAACTATTGATGGGAATATAAAATGACACAGTTCCTATGAAAAACACGATAAGAGTTCCTCAAAAAATTAGAAATAGAATGACTGTATGATCCCACATTGCAACTGTGGGTATATACCCAAAATAATGGAAATCAGGGTCTTGAAAATATATTTGTATACTCAAGTTCATAGCAGCGTTATTCACAACAGCTAAAATGCAAAATCAGTTCAAGTGCCTACCAATGAACAAACAGATAAGCAGAATATTATTTAGCCTTAGAAAGAAAGGAAATTTCACCTTACAAAGGAAGGACATATGCTATAATATGGATCACCCTTGAGGACATTATGCTAAGTAAAATAAGCCAGTCACAAAACACAAAGATTGTGTCATTCCACTTAGATGAGGTACTTAGAATAGTCACATTCAGAGAGACAGACAGCAGATTGGTGGTTGCCAGAAGCTGGGGGGAGCAGAAATGGGGAGTTGTTGTTTAATGAGTGCACAGTTTCAGTTTCACAAGATGAAGTGTTATGGAGATGGATGGGGTGACGTTTATACATGATGAATGTTTTTAATGCCACTCAACTGTACACTTTAAAATGGCTAAGATGGTAAATTTTATGTTATATGTATCTTTTTTTTGAGGCAAAGTCTTGCTCTGTCATTTCTTTTACTATACCTTTTAAGGTGTCTTTTTAGCAGATGCCCTAGGGATTACAATTAATATCTTAATTTATAACAACTGATCTCAGATTAATTATAATTTAATGTCAATGGTATACAAAAACTTTGCGCATATATAGCTCTGTTCCCTCCTCCTCCTCTGTGCTATCACTGTCATATAATTTAAATGTTTACACATCATTTGACTACCAGCACAGATGTCTAATCATCACTCTCTGCAGTTGTCTTTTAAATCAGGTAGGAGAAAAAAGAGCTACACACATAAACTATTTATTTTTACACTGCCCTTTGAAAATGTTTTCCCCAATTTTTTATTGTAATAAAATACACATAACAGGCCAGGCACAGCAACACACGCCTATAATCCCAGCACTTTGGGAGGCCAAGGCTAGTGGATCTCCTGAGGTCAGGAATTTAAGACAAGCCTGGCCAACACGATGAAACACCGTCTCTACTAAAAAATACAAAAAAAAAAAAATTAGCCAGGCGTGGTGGCGGGTGCCTGTAATCCCAGCTACTCAGGAGGCTGAGGCAGGAAAATTGCTTGAAACTGGGAGGAGGAGGTTGCAGTGAGCCAAGATCACACCACTGCCTGGGCAACAGAGCAAGACTCCGTCTCAAAAAAAAAAAAAAAAAAAAAAAAGAAATGACAAATATGTTGAAATGAGACACTAGGAAATATCTATTTAACACCAAAGAAGGCCATATGGAAACAGAGGAACAAAAAAAACCTAAGATATGGAAAACAAATAGCAAATGGTGTGCCTAAATTCTCCCTTATCAACTCAGTATGTAGTGTCAACTAAATGTTAATTAAACACTCCAGTTAAAAAGCAGCGGATAGAAGGGCTGACTTTTAAGAACCATGATTCAACGCACATTCAAAGACACTCTGAAGTAAAAGAGCAAAGATAGAATAGTAAGCAGAAGAGAGCTGGAGTGACTGTGACAATATGAAAGAAAACAGACCTTCGGACAAAAGTTGTTAAAACAGACAAGGATATTTTATAGTGATAAAAGGGTACATCCATCAAGAAAATATCACCGTTATCAACATATGTGCACCTGACACAGAGCCCCAAGATACATGAAGCCAAAGCGGAAATGATGAAGGGCAAAATGGACAATTCAACAATAACAGCTGGAGACTTCCAGCTTTCAATAGCCCATTTCCAATCATGGATAAAGCAACAGGACAGAAAATCAAAAGTCAGTAGAAGACGTCAACAGGCTCTAACCCACCTAGACTTGGCAGACGTCTGTAGAATACTCCACCAACAACTGCAAAGGTTGTTGTGCCCATTATTCTCAAGTGCACGTGGAATGTCTGACAGAATAAACCCGATGTTGTCATAAAATAAATCTCAACAAATTTAAAATGATTGAAATCATGCAAAGTATGTTCTCTTACCACAATTGAATGAAATTACAAATCAATAACAGAAAGAAATTTGGGTAATTAAAAAATATGTTAATAAAACACTGAACTCCTTAGTATCCAATAGGGCAAAGAAGCATTCACAAGAGAATTTAGAAGATAGTTTGAGATAAATGGAAATGAAAACACAATATACTAAAATACAGATGAAGCTAAACAGTGCTTACAGGGAAATGTACAGCTGTGGATACTTACACTAAATAAAAAGAGATCTCAAATCAATAACCCAACCTTCCACCTAAAGAAACGAGAAAAAAACAGCACAGTAAGTCAAAGCAAGCAGAAGGAAATAATAAATAGTAGAGCAGAGATAAATTACAGTAGAAAAATAATTTAAAAGATCAATTAAAACAGACCGGGTATGGTGGCTCACACCTGTAATCCCAGCACTTCAGGAGGCTAAGGCAGGCAGATCTCTTGAGCTCAGGAGTTCAAGACCAGCAGGGGCAAACGGTAAAACCCCATCTCTACAAAAATAAAAAATAGCTGGGTGTGGTGGCACGCACCTGTGGTCCCAGCTACCTGGGAGGCTTGAGCCCAGGAGGTCGAGGCTGCAGTGAGCCAAGATCATGCCACCACTGCACTCCAGCCTGGGCAACAGAGTGAGACCCTGTCTCAAAAAAAAAAAAAAAAAAAAGAAAGAAAGAAAGAAAAGAAAACAAAAAACAAAAGTTGGTTTTTGGAAGGCCAGGTGCGGTGGCTCACACCTATAATCCCAGCACTTTGGGAGGCTGAGGCGGGCGGATCACAAGGTCGGGAGATCGAGACCATCCTAGCTAAGATGGTGAAACCCCGTTTCTACTAAAAAATACAAAAAACTAGCCGGGCATGGTGGCACCCACCTGTAGTCCCAGCTACCCACGAGGCTGAGGTAGGAGAATGGCTTGAACCCAGGAGGCAGAGCTTGTAAGTGAGCTGAGATCATGCCACTGCACTCCAGCCTGGGTGACAGAGTGAGACTCCATCTCAAAAAAAAAAAAAAAAAAGTTGGTTTTTGAAAAGATCAAGAAAATTGAATAGCCAGACTAAGAAAAAAGAGAAGACTCAAATTTACTAAAATCAGGAATGAAATAGAAGACATTACTAATGACATTACAGAAATTAAAAGATTTATGAGGGACTCTTATGAACAATGTGCCAACCAATTAAATAATCTAAATGAAATGAACAAATTCCTGGAAAGACACAAACTACTGAAACTGACTCATGAAGACATACAAAATCTGAATAGACCTAACACAAATGAAGAGATTGAAGTAGGAAAAAAAAAAACAAACAAAAAAAAACAAACTTCCCACAAAGAAAAGCCCAGGATGAGATGGCTTCCCTGGTGAATTTTACCAAATGTTTGAAGCATAATTAATACCAATCCTTCATAAATTCTTCCAAAATAGGGAACACTTCCTCACTCATTCAGAGGCCAGTATTACCCTGATACCAAAACTAGACAAAATCGTCACACAAAAAATAAACTTTCCAGTATCTCTTATGAATATAGCTGCAAAAAATGTTCAACAAAATACCAGTAAACTTAATCCAGCAACATTTTCGAAAAGATTATGCACAATGAATGCAAAGTTGGTTCAATATGAATGATTAGGCAAGAAAATAAAATTAGAGGCAGCCAGGTTGGCAAGGAAGAAGTAAAACTATTTCTATTTGCAGATGACATGATTTCATGCATACAAAATCATCAGAAATCCATGCAAAAACATTGGAGCTGAGAAATGAGTTCTGCAAGGCTGAAAATACAGACCAATATTATAAAAATCAGTCACGTTTCTAAAACAATGAACAATATGAAAATGAAATTAAGAAAACGATTCCATTTATAATCACATCAAAAGAATAAGCTTAGGAATAAATTCAATCAAAGAAGTACACAACTTGAACACTAAAAACTACAAAACATCATTAGAAGAAATTAAACATTTAAATATGTGGAAAGACATCTTGTGTTCCTCAATTAGAAGAATTAATATTGTTAAGACAGCAATAGTCCCCATATTGGTCTACAGATTCAATCCAATCCCCATCAAAATTCTAACTGCTTTTTTTTTCTTTTTTTTTTTTTGCAGAAATGGAAAGTCTGATCCTAAAATTCATACGGAATTGCAAGAGGCCTCAGATTGCCAAAACTACCCAATAAAAGAACTAAATTGGAAGACTTACACGTCCCAATTTCAAAAATTACTACAAAACTGTAGTAATCAAGACAGTATGGTACTGGCTTAAGGCTAGGTATAGAGACAATGGAACAGAATTGAAAGTCCAAAAATAAACCCCTACTTTTATGGTGAACTGGTTTCAACAAGGGTGCCAAAGTCACTCACTTGAGGAGAGATCAGCTCCTCAGCAAATGGTGCTCAGACAACTGGACCTCCATTTGCAAAAGAAGGTATTTGGACTCCTACCTCACACCATATACAAAAAAATTAACCATGTATAAAATTGATCAAAGACCTAAAAGTAAAAGTCGTGAGTTTTGGCCCACAGGAGTAGACGGACAGGGTTGAGGAGCCAGTCTCCCAGTGAAGGTGCTGGAGGCTCCTTGATGCTCTTCCCTGACAGTTCAGCCTAGAGTGCACTCCTTGGGATGATGGCGCCCCTCCTCTCACACCTTGGCTCAGAACTCAGCACTGAAATCCACTGGGAAGGCCAGGGGCAGGAGAGACCTCTGCCTAGTGGGAGTGCAAGGACAGAGGCCTCCTCGGGCTGTGTAGGCCCTGCCTGGAGGGGACACCAGAACCATAGGGTGTGTGCGAGGCAGCGGTTGGATCAGTGTGGAGAGAGGGTGGAGGAGGTGCCCACAAGTTACCAAGGTTTGCAGTGAGTTCCTGTCATTCTACATTCAGGTACATAGCTCCCAGGACAGCCAGCCCCTCCCCATAGGCCTACACACCCAGCCTTCAGGCCACACCCAGGCTGGTGGCCGCAGACCACTTGGGTCCCTGTTTCCAGGGCTCTGATGGGATAGAAGAGACTCAGCCCCATGAGGATGTGGGTGCCCCTCATCTCTCCACAGCAAGGAGGGGCCAGAGGAAGCCCCATGCTAGCGTCAGGGGACAAGGATTCCAGCTCAGGCCTGTCCACGGCTGTGTGACCCGGCATGGGTTAAGCTCTCTCAAGGCCTCAGTTTCTTCCTCTGCAGAGTGTGGGATGGGGGTGACCTCACCAGATGGCCCCACATGCTTTAGCACAGAGATAATCCCTTTCCTCGTGACCCACAGCCAGCCAAGCAGCTCTACTGAGTGTGGGACTCTGTCCAAGCTCTGAGTCAGCCCTAGGGCTGGTCTTGGCAGCCCTGTGCTGGCTGGCCAGGGTTGGCTGTGGAGCCAAGGAAAGGGATTTGGAATTCAGGGATTTATGCTTTAAATTTCACATTTTCTTTTTCCCAATAGAGTTTCCTACTCTCAATCTCTTGACACGATGGTAAAGCCCTTTGCTGTAGCTAAACTCAGTTGCCATTTTCGGATTGGCATTAGGGTGAGAAGGCTGAGTGCTCACAGGGAAGCCTCTTCCCAGCAGCACCCCTGGGCTGGAAAGGGCAGCGGGAGCAGCACAGAGCAGCAGAGGGTGGCTCAGGCTAAGCCGGAGCTGCCCGGGGCAAACAAAGAGGGACCTGCCTCCTTGTTTCTTAGCCTCTTAACACAGAAGCTCGCAGCCTGGATTCTAGGAAGGCTTGGGGGGTACGGCCATCCTGCTGGAAGCCTTTGCTCCTTTAGCCCAGAGAGCACTTGCCCCAGCCCCACATACACCCCAGGGAGATGCCACCGGCCAAGGAGAGGCTTGCTGAGGCCACGGCCCAGCATCAAGCCCTCACATCAGGCTGTTCCAGCAGCCAGGGGCCCTCAGAAGCAAGGCCGAGTGGAAGGAGGTGCCAGGGAGGGGGCAGAGCTCAATGTCCACTGCAGCAGCTGCTGGGGTCCCTTCTCTGCTGCCACCTCATCTGGCACAGGGTGGGGCATGGGATGGAGACATCTGAGTACCCACCAGGCCCACACACATATGTGGACATGCATGCATGCCACACACACGTGCACACACTTGTATACGTACACATGCCCGACACAGCTGCACCATGCCAGATACACGCCTCACACATGGGTGCACACACACAGCACATGTGCTCACACACCATGCACATGCCTGCATCTGAGGCTGACCCTGCCTTTGATCTGGAGGATGCTAATGGACCCTGCAGAGAGAAAGTGGATGTCACTGCAGAGACTCAGTGGGCACTGGAGGGTGCAACGTCCCCTGTCCCAGTCTCTGCCCAGGTCCATCCTGTCCCCTGCCCCACACACCCTTCATCACTGGGTGTCCCCGTCACCGGGTATCTGTCCTGGGGGAGTCCAGCACGCCAGGCCTGGCCTCTCTCCAGAGCCCCCCCAGTCTCAGTGGGCCCCACCCTGGGGCTGGGGAGGAGGAATAGGAGTGTGGGGGAGCTGGGTGGGGACTGAGTCCTTTCTCCAGGAGGGAAGGTTGTGTGTCCCTACAGCCCTGTGTCACCAGAACACCTCCCCAGCAACAGGGGTCACTCCCGTAGGACCTGCCGCTGACCATGGGACAAGAACGTGGGGGGCATGGGAAGGATGTGGAGGGGGCATGGGAAGGATGTGGAGGGGGCATGGGAAGGATGTGGGGGGTGTGGGAAGGATGTAGGGGGCGTGGGAAGGACGTGGGGGGTGTAGGAAGGACATGGGCGGTGTGGGAAGGACGTGGGGGGTGGTGTGGGAAGGACGTGGGGGGTGGCGTGGGAAGGACGTGGGGGGGTGGCGTGGGAAGGACGTGGGGGGGTGGCGTGGGAAGGACGTGGGGGGGCAGCGTGGGAAGGACGTGGGGGACGGTGTGGGAAGGATGTGGGGGGTGTGGGAAGGACGTGCGGGTGGCGTGGAAAGGACGTGGGGGAGCTGTGGGAATAACACGGGGGTGGCGTGGGCCCTGCTCCCTGTCCCTCTTCTTTGGACGAGGCTGCCAGTATGTGGAACCCAGGGGGGTGCCCTGTGGCCCAGCAGCTGTTCCCACCTTCCCTGCAGCCACAAGCTTTGAAGTGGCCTTGCCAGAGGCCCCACAGGACGTCTCCGGGGAGCTGCGGCCAGACTTTGGGCACAGCAGGCAGTGCCTATGGGGAGAGAGACACCCTCCGGCCGGCCTCCCTCCACCCCCAGCCCCACGACGGCAAATGGGCTCCTCCAAGGGTCTTCGGCGAGGTGTGCGGGCCTCTTCTGCCAAGGCCATGTCATTGGGAGGTGGCCCAGTCAGGGTGGCAGGAAAAAGGACCAACGGGGCTCACCCGCAGGTCCCGATAGAGGGACCACTTCAGAGGCGGTTCAAGGAGCCGAGCCCCAGGGTGGGAGGCCTGGGACCAGCCCCCGGGGGACAGCGACGGCCCCAGGCCTGGAGGACCGGATGGAGCGGCTGGCGTGCCCTGCAGGGGGAGTGGGAAGAAACGGGGAAGCCGGGCCGCGGTAGCGCAGGCCGCAGGCAGGGCTGTGTGGGACAGGGCGGCTTGCACAGCTTAGCTTCTTCCTGGCCCGGGTGGGCTCCGTCCTCTTCTCTGGGCCAGCTGCGCCGGAGGCCCCGGGAAGAGTCCCCCTGCTCTGGCCCGCGGGACCTGCTCCCCAGCCTGGAAAGTCTGAGCTGGCCCCGCTGCCGGGACACCCTCCCCAGCCTCGCTGGTGGCCTGGTTTCTGCCGGGCGCGGGGGGAATGTGGGTCAGCGTTTCCAAGTCTGGCCCGGGGCCAGAGGCAGTGGAAGGAAAAACACTCAGCGGGGGCTGCCTGGCAGAGGCCTCACCTCACAGCCGGCGGTTCCAACCCCGCAGCCAGCAGAGGCCTCACCCCACAGCCGGCGGCTCCAACGCCACAGCCGGCGACTCCAACCCCGCAGCCGGCGGCTCCAACCCCGCAGCCGGCGGCTCCAACCTCGCAGCCGGCGACTCCAACCCCGCAGCCGGCGGCCTCACCTCACAGCCGGCGGTTCCAACCCCGCAGCCGGCGGCTCCAACCCCGCAGCCGGCGGCTCCAACCCCGCAGCCGGCGTCTCCAACCCCGCAGCCGGCGGCTCCAACCCCGCAGCCGGCGGCTCCAACCCCGCAGCCGGCGGCTCAGGGCTCAGGACCACAGGGAGGGCGCCCCAGGCAGCTCCTCCTCCTGGGCTCTGCCCCCACCGCCGTCCTCTGGAGATGGCCCGAGGCTGGTGCCCATGACTCAATGTCCCACTCCCGCATCTCCTGCGGTCCCAGGGCGGGTCCCGCTGGTGTGTGGCCGGCCTCGCAGGAACCACTTCGCTCTCCCCCATCCACTACTCCCACAGGCAACAGGACCGGCCCCCTGGCCCGTCGGTGGGCGCATCAGCTTGGTGGCCCTGGCCCCCTGCGCCTCAGGGGTCCCTCACAGGCCGGCCAGCTTCCAGCACCCTCCCTAAGTCCTCGGCCCCTTGGAGGCTGCCATGGCACCTGAACCTCCCCCCGCCTCTCCAGGCACAGCTCGAGGTTGGGCGGATGGGGGCTGCATCCCGGGCACCACATGTGGGTAGGCACTGCCGCAGCCCCTCGAGTAGCCCTCAGCAAGCAGGGCTGGAGGGTGGGCTCTGTGCAAAACCGCCATCACAGCCCCAGGGCCATCAGCAGGCAGAGGCGCAAAGCCTGGTCATGGCCAGCAGCCCTGGGATGCCCCTGCCCCAGACCCCCCACCCCGGAGACCCCCAGCCCCAGGATGCCCACACCTCAGCCTCCCAAGTAGTTGGGACTACAGGTGTGCACTACCACACCCAGCTGATTTTTTTTTATTTTTGTAGAGCGGTCTCGCTGTGTTGCACAGGCTGGTTTCGAACTCCTGGCTTCGAGCCATCCTCCTGCTCAGCCTCCCATGGTGCTGGGATTGCAGGCGTGAGCCCCACGCCTGGCCACGCGCCTTGTTGAGTTGGTGACTTCGCCTTTGCTGTGGGGATCTGGGTTGGGGTCTTGTGGCTTACATGAGAATAGAAGATCATGGGGTAGTTCCTGGCACCCTCCCCTCAAGGAGGCTCACACAGGCCAGGACCGCCCCCTCTGGCTGCCCCATCGCTGCCCCCCGACAGGCCCTCTGCCTCTCCCCTGTGAACCACGAAGCACATCGATGGGGTGCCTAGCGCCCCGCCTCAGTCAGGGCTCATGGGGGAGGCCCTTCTTTAACGTCTCTTACTGGGCACACCCAGAGGCCACGTGTTCCAGGGTCAGAGAGACCAGGAGAAATCCCAGCTTCTTCACTCACGGCTGTGCATCTTCAAGAAGGTGACTGTGCCTCTCTGAGCCTCAGCCTCCTCTGTCTGACAGCATAGGGGTCTGCAAGTCTCTAGAGGTCATGTGAGCTCCATGGGAACCTCTCATCTATACCGTGGAAGCAGCTGCGGGAAGTGCACGTGAGCTCTGTGGCCTCATGCCGACCAAGACCCTGGGGGTCACACCAGGCATAGCTGAGAAGCAGAGCAGAGGCCACTGCGGTGACCAGGGTTACTCCCGAGACTCAGAGCAGAGGCCACTGCAGTGACCAGGGTTGCTGCCTGCCTGCCACACACCCCACTTGGGCCTCTGGCTGTCTCCTCTCCTGCAGAAACCCCATGGGCAGGTGTGCAGCCAGCATGGAGGGAAGATGTGTGTGCCAGCAGAGAGAGCACGAGGCCTGGAGTTCTCATCTGTGCCACCAGAAGCAGGGGACAGTGAAACATCATCCATGACCACTAGGGAGACGGCTCCATCCCAGGCATCACAAACCAGCCCAGAAGTGTCACCGGTAAGCGCGACAGCAGACACTAGAAGGTATGTCATCCATACTCATTATCCAGAGAAGGTACTAGAAGGAAGCCAGTCACTGCCTCTGAGTCAGACCAGAGGACACCCCCCTGACATCAAGGTGAGGCCAAGGGGAGAGGAAACAGGGCTAAGTAGGGCCTGTGATGTCAGCATGTCTGGTTGGGCATGTGGCAGGGACGATGACTGAGATAGAAGACATAAACCTCCATGGTCCAAACATGGGAGCTAAACTCGGAAAGCCAACAGGACGGGGACATGATGAGGGGACTTGAGGGTCACAGGAGCTCCCTCCGTGTCTCTCTCTCCATAATTAGGTCTAGTGGCAACAGAAAAATGCAGACAGATCAATATGGATGGTCATGCTCACGTTCCTCATGGGAAACAGCGCTTCCGAAGATTCCTCACGGGAAACAGAGCTTCCAAACGTTCCGACTTCCGATAAGTCCATGTCTGTTGTGTATTGGCTGCAAAGAAAACCTCAAGGAACTAAAAAGTAGAATAATTAAAATGATCCTGTTATCCAAAAAATTGTAAAATAAATAACGGAAAGTGCCACCTCTTCCCCCAGAAACTTAGAAACCAACACACTCCCAGGTAGCCCTTGGGTAAAACAGGATATTAAATCTGAACGTGCACTCTCTGAAAAGCCGAGAAGCCATAAATATCAATCCATAAATATCGAGGACTCAGCTAATGCAGCGCCCAGAGCCCCCAGCACAGCTCTTATTTTTTAGAGGAAAAAATAAACGAGAGGGACTTTGTGCCACCCTAAGAAACTAGAATGAGAACAATAAAGTGCATTTTAAAAAGTAGGGAGAATTATGAAGATAAAGCCAGAAATTAATGAGTAGAAAACAAATAAGTAAAAAGGAGAAATGATTGTTTTCTGAAAGAAATAAAATAAAATCCCCTTGCCCAGCCCAAAAGCTGCATCAAGAAATGACTGCCTAGGCTGGGCGTGGTGGCTCACGCCTGTAATGCTTACACTTTGGGAGGCTGAGGTGTGCAGATCACTTGAGGCCTGGAGTTTGAGACCATCCTGGCCAATATAGTGAAACCGTGTCTTTGCAAAAATACACAAATTAGCCGGGCATGGTGGTGCGTGCCCGTAGTCCCAGCTACTTGGGAGGCTAAGACAGAACAATTGCTTGAATCCGGGAGGTGGAGGCTGCAGTGAACTGAGATCGTCCCACTGCACTCCAGCCTGGGTGATAAAGTGAGACTCTGTTTCAAAAAAAAAAAAAAACTAAAACAAATAAATGACTACCTCTATTTAGAATTTTTGTACATTGAAATAAAAAAACCCACACATGATTAGGAAGAAAGAGACCCCAGTATGGAAGAGGCTGGAGGAATGATGAGACAGCCCGCTCGGCCGGGGCAGCTGCTTCGAAACCTGCAGCAGCCATGTTGTCGTGGGTGTAAAGTCCAGAATGACTCTGGATGAGCGGCACCACGCAGAGATGAGCACGAGGTGCTGGAGAGGGCGAGAGCTGAGCCAGGAAAGGAGGCACCAGGAGCAGATGTCCGCAGCTGACGATGACCTCACCTTCCATGGAAGGAAAGTCATCCCAGGGTTACTTTAACCTTCCCAAGACATGAAAGGATGGAAAACTCTGTAATTCATCTCATGAAACCAGGATAATCTAATTCAAAAACCTGATGTGGAACAAAAAGAGAAAACCATAGACAAATATCACTTTTCGCAGATGCAAAAAAATCTAAGTAAGAGAACAGCAAATAGGACTCAATGCAGCATCAGCGGATTCTACACAAGAGAACAGCAAATAGGAACCAACGCAGCGTCGGCGGATTCTACACAAGAGAACAGCAAATAGGACCCAACACAGCGTCGGCAGCATCGTGTTATGGCCAAGCAGATGAAGGCCAGGCTTACGAGGGCAGCGCAGTCATCAGAGACGTCATTTCATTAGCCAATTAGCACAGAAAATTCAGAGAACCTCACCGACAGGTACTGAAAAGAAAACTGACCAAATTCAGCAATCTTTATGAATAAAAGCACTATTTCTAGTAAAATAGAAAAAAGTGCAAAAGTCTCTGTCCACAATAGTGGCCAAGATCGTTCTACGTGGAAAACACAAATGTCACAAATCCAGGGTCGACTCGTGGGGCCTGCTGCTGTCATAATTGTCCAGCATTTTCTCGGAGGTTCTGGCAAACTTAATAGAAAAACCAAATAAATGGCACAAATATCAGAAAAATAAGACAATTTATTTTGTTGATGACATGATTGTAAACCTAGTTATGCCTCTGCTCCCTCATTTAAAAATTAAAAATCAGGCCAGGTGCGGTGGCTCACGCCTGTAATCCCAGCACTTTGGGAGGCCAAGGTGGGCAGATCACCTGAGATCAGGAGTTCGAGACCAGCCTGACCAACATAGTGAAATCCTGTCTCTACTAAAAACACAAAATTAGCCGGGCGTGGTGGTGCATGCCTGTAATCCCAGCTACTCGGGGGTCTGAGGCACGAGAATCGCTTGAACCCATGGGTGGAGGTTGCAGCGAGCCGAAATCACACCACTGCACTCCAGCCTAGGCCAGAAGAGTGAAACTCCATCTCAAAAAATATTAAAATTAAAATTAAAAATCAGTAAAAACATTTTAATACAAGATAAATATACAAAAATTAGTAACTTCCCACTCCTCTAGCAATAATCACCTGGAAATTTTAAAAAAAGGGAGTCAAAATATTCCCTTTGCCATGGCAACTGAGTAGTTGGGGGTGAAGGTTAGGATGCTGTATGGAGCAGCTCCGGCCATGGGGAGCTCGACAGAGGCGTCATTTCTCTCCCACATGGTGGCTGAGAATAGCTGGGTGTGCTGCTCTGTCGCCACACATGGGGTCCCCCCATCACGCCTCTTCTCTAGCCTTCCAGGCATCTTTCCTGGCTGTGGGGTTCTACTGGGTGCAGAAATGCCCACGTCCAGCTGGCAGGAGGGGCCGGGGCCAGGGCAGGAGAGGAGAGGCCATGTTTTCCAAGACCGGAGCTGGCAGGAACAGTGTCTCCAGGTGACAAAAGCCTCCGACAATTTGGCGAGAAAGGTGGGGGTGGGCATGAGAGGATGCAGGGCCCCCACCACTCAAGCAAGGAGAGCGGGGGGCAGAGCCACGGAGAAGACCCAGTCTGGAGCCTCTCCCCCCAGCCTGAAGCCCAGCCTCCAGGTTCCATGAAATCACCTCCAGTTATTCCAGGAGAAACGGCGCACGGCCTAGGAAAGAAAGAACAGGCAGCTTGGACCCAGGCTCCAATCCCGGCTGCTAGTTACCAGACGGGCAGCCACATCGCGTCTGTGTGCCTCAGTTTCTACACCTGCGGCTGGGTTGATGGTTGTGTCCGCCCGGTGGGGCTGCTGTGAGTTAAGGGGTGAGAAACGCTTCCCTGTCCACTGTCTCTGACACGTTCTTCCTGGGTCACCCCTCACTCAACACCCCCAGAGACCAGGCAGGCTCCACGGACAGTTGAGAAGGCGTCCAGCCTGCAGAACGGAGTCCAGGACCCAGAGAAGCTTCAGGGGTGAGCAGGGTGGGTCGGGGCTGGGGAGTAAATGACAGAGGGAGCAAGTGGAGGGAGGAAGGGGCTTCAGGACAGGAGGTGCAGGCTAAGCGAGGATGGCTGAGCCGCCCTGGTGTCAGAGCAGGGGAGGCTCAGCGGGGGCGGGGGCGGGCTCAGCCTCTGCGCTTCTGCCTCCAGGATGTTATGGATCTGGCAGGGAACGTGTAAACCATGAGCTCACCCCACGGGAACGTGGTTTCCTCTGGCTGCCCCCACAACAGCTGTTCCCCATCAGCACCGGCCCCATCTCCCTAGCAGGAAGCTGGGCAGCCACTGCAGGCCAGGTGTGGACGACCCTCACAACTCTCCCATCTGCGTGGACATCGCTGGACGGGGTGGTAAGGGGGAGGGGAGCAGCGAGGAGAGGGTGGGTGCAGCCCCCCACCCCTCTGGTCCCTGCCTTTGCTGTGAGCAAGTGGAGAAAGCCCAGCTCCTGGAGGTGGGGCCAAGTCTGCAGTGTCCTCAATGCCACCAACCAGGCCTGACCCTGACCACTGACTGAGCACCACGTGGTGCCTCTGCCCTGGATGTGGGCACCCCCGTGCCCTCCTGGCTCTGTTGCAGCAGACCTGTACGCCAGGGCCTTCTAGACGGTTCTGGCCCCTCCCGTGTGGACTGTTCCCACCATACCTGGTCTGGGCTGAGGCTTCCTGGCCCTTCCCCCTCCCACCCTGACGAGGTTGGCCTGGGGCGCCCATGGATGCACCCTGCCCACATGGCCCTCTGCGGTCACCCACAGCCAGCGGGACCCAGATTCCCTGCAGGCCAAATGCAGGTGCCCCAGTTCCTCCAGCCCCTCCCCCCGCAGTATGTGGGCAGTGACAAAGAGGGGGTGGGTCTGGCCCTGTGCCATGCTGGGGCCCCATGCCCGCCCTACCTGCCCTGAGTGTCCCGGCCGTGAGTCCCCAGCCCACTGGCTTCAGGCACTTCCAAGCCCCTTGCTCGCTTCCCTGAAGAGGCTGTGGGTTTCTCCAGGCCAGGCCTGTGGTCAGCAATGCAGGCAGGTGTTTGTGATCAGGGCATCTGTGCTATCAGGAACAGCCCCCAAACCACGCAGGGAGGGAGGAGGCCCTGAGAGAGAAGGTGCCGTTACATGCACGTGACCACAGAGAAGGCTGCCTTCACCCCGTCTGCACCCCGGGAGTGCCTGCCACACTGAGGTCCGCGCGCAGTTTCTGGTTTTCTGATGCTGACTTTTTTTTTTTTTTGGAGACAGAGTCTTGCTCTGTCACCCAGGCTATAGTGCAGTGGCGTGATCTCGGCTCACTGCAAGCTCCGCCTCCTGGGTTCACGCCATCCTCCTGCCTCAGCCTCCTGAGTAGCTGGGATTACAGGCGCCGGTTGCCACGCCCGGCTAATTTTTTTGTATTTTTAGTAGAGACGGGGTTTCACTGTGTTAGTCAGGATGGTCTCGATCTCCTGACCTCGTGATCCAGCCACCTCAGCCTCCCAAAGTGCTGGGATTACAGGCGTGAGCCACCTCGCCCAGCCGGTGCTGCCTTCTTGAGCCGTGGCCTCCACAGTGCTTCACCTGGCTCCCGCAAAACAGCTTCATTGAGATGAAATTCACATGCTCACAAGTCACTCTTTACAGTGTACAATTCAGTGGTTTTTAGCATGTTCACGAAGTTGTGCAACCATCCCCACTCATCTCACTCCGGAACACGTTCATCATCCGCAGAAGACGTCCTGTGCCTGTTAGCAACCGCTCCCCGCCACGGTTTGAGTGAGGCCACAACAGAACATCAGACAGCAGTTTATCAACAGAGACTTCCTGCCTCCCCGTCTGGAGGCCAAGGTTGGGTTCTCCTCTTCCACGATGGCCCTTGCACGTCGCATCCTCACCGGCTGGAGGGTGGGTCTGCCCCACAAGCCCTTTTCATGGTGGCTTTAGTCACAAGGGCTCTGCCTCGTGAGTGGATCAAACACCTCCCATCAGTCCCCACCTCCCGGCACTCCACGGGGTCTAAGTTTCAGCCTGAGCTTTAGAGGACGGAAACGTTCCAACCACGGCACTGCACGCCAGGCCCAGTACTCACCGCTCTCACATACAAAATCATATGAGTCAGCATTCTCTAGAGGGACAGGACTCATAGGATACATGAACAGGGGATGATCTTGGACTCCCTGCCCACCTTCCAGACACATGGGGGCAGGGCTGGGCCCCCACGGCTTCTGTGGGCTCAGCCCACTCAGTGCTCATGGGTCGGAGTCTCCTGCCTGCCGCTCTCCCAGGCTGTGCTTGCTCGCTGGTGGCCCTGCAGTCCTGGGGTCTCGGAGGCAGCCCCCACCTCAGCTCCGGTGGGCATAGCCTCGGTGGGGACTCCGAGGCAGCTCCAACCCCACGATGAGCCTCTGCCTGGGCCCCAAGGCTGTCAGCAACATGCTTTGAAATCTGGGTGCAGGCCACCATCGCCTGCAGTGTCAGCGCCCCGTGGATGCCGTCAAGGCCCCCCGCATGTGCCTTTGGGAGCGATGGTTGGAGCTGCGCCTGCACCTGCCTGAGCCATGGCTGGGGCGGCCAAGGAGGGCTGGGCCAGGATCGGGGGAGACCCAGGCAGGCAGTGAGCTCTGCGGTCCCAAAGGTGCCCCAGGGTCTCATCCCTTGCCATGATTCTGTCCTCAGGGCCCTTATAAAAGGGCTAGAAGGAACTAGCTTGGCTGTTTTTCCTCCGAATTCTGCCATGTGAGGCTGGATACGCCATTGGAGCTGCCCTCAGCAGACCCCAGCCTGCCGGCACCTGGATCTTGGACTCCCCAGCTTGAGAACTACAGGAAATAAATTTCTGTTGCTTATAAATTACTCAGTCTGAGGTGTTTTGTTACAGCAGCGGGGATGGACTAAGACCCTTCCCATTTTCCCCCAGCTGTGCCCTCGCCCCCAGCCCCGGGCAGCTGGGAGTCTACTCTGTGTCACCGTGGACCTGCCCATTCCAGACATTTGACATAAATGGTCTCATGTGATATGTGGCCGTCTGCGTCTGACCTCCTTCACTTGGCAAATGTTTGCGAGGTTCATCCACTTTGGAGCATGGGCCAGAGCTTCATTCCTTTTTACGGGTGAAGAATAGTGTGGGGCCAGGCCACAATGTGCCCATCTGTCCCTCAGCAGATGGACATGTAGGCTGTGCCCACCTTTGGGCTATTGTGAATAATGCTACCAGGAACATTTGTGGATAAGCTTTTGTGTGGATAAGCTTTTGTTTCTGATTCTCGGGGACGTGTACCCAGGAGTGGGATTGCTGGGTCACATGGAATTCGGCTTCACACTTTGAAGAACAGAACAGCCGCATGTGAGGTTCCCACGTCTCCGCCCTGACACCTATGATGCTTTCGGTTCCAGCCATCCCAGTGGGTGTGAGGTGTGGTCTCGTGTGGTTTTTATTTGCATTTCCCTGGTGGCTAATGGTGTTAAGCAGCTTGTCATGAGCTTGTTGGCTGGTCGCATATATTATTTGGAAAAAACATCTATTCAAATTCTTTTGCCTTTTTTTTTTGAGTTAGAGTCTCTCTCTGTCACCCAGGCTGGAGTGCAGTGGCGCGATCTCAGCTCACTGCAACCTCTGCCTCCCAGGTTCAAGCAATTCTCTTGCCTCTGCCTCCTGAGTAGCTGGGATTACAGGCGTGCACCACCACGTGGTGGCTAATTGTTGTATTTTTAGTAGAGATGTGGTTTCACCACGTTGGCCAGGCTGGTCTCAAACTCCTGACCTCAAATGGTCCCCCCAGCTTGGCCTCCCAAAGTGCTGGGATTACAGGCGTGAGCCACTGCGCCCGGCCTCTCCCAGTTTGCCCATTTTTTAACTAGGTTGTTTATCTTTGTATTGCTGAGCTGTGAGAGTTCTTTAGCACACTGGTTTTTCACTACCTTACCCTGGAGCCGATACACATCCTTTCTGCTCAGTCATTAGCCAGAAATGCAGAGAAATGCTACTGTGTGACCCCATGACCTCAGCCTGATGTGCAGGGGTCCCCAGAATATTAGACGGGCACTGACTGTCTGCAGGATACAGACCCGGGAGGGTGGCTTTGCACTGCTGATCTGAACACAGCCTCTCACTGATTCAAAACGTCCTTTTGGCGTGTCTGTAATGCCTGCGTGTTCACCGTTCGCATTGTTACTGTGAGCGACCCACGCACCAGCTCCACACGGGGCTCCCTAGGTGCAGCCTCCGGTGTGTGTTAAAACCTGGTGGCCACGGTTCCCTTGTTCATCTTTTGTTCCAGAATTTCCTTAGTTTTCTTACTTATTTTTCCACGTTAACTTCACAATCAATCTACCTGATTCCAGGGTTCTCCGGTGTTTTAATTGGCCCCGCTGTGGCAGCCGGCCAGCACGAGGGACGGCACCTCGTGACGCCCAGGACAGACCGGGCTTGTTGCTGGTCTGTGGTCCTCAGTCAGGCCTCAGACCCTCTATAACAGGTATAGATGTGCCCGCCGTTTGCTCCTAGAAATTTACAATTTTTGTTGCTGTTGGGAATGGTCCCTTTTCTTTCTTCATTGTCTCTCCTAACTGGAAGTGCTTGAATTTGAAAGATGCTGATTCCTGACTCTGAATTTTGTGCACAGCCACCCTCCGAAACTCACCTCTGCCTTCTAATCAGTTTTCCGGGTCTATGAGGAGTCGCAGCAGGCTGTGCTCGGGTGCAGAGCCTCTCTCCAGCCGTGTGCATGCAGCTCTTCCCGGGGCTCTTGGCTGTGAGGCCTGGCCTGTCCCTGTGGCTAAGGCGGAAGACCCAGCTGTCCCCTCCCTGTGCCCTCGCCACGCCCTCCCCGTAACGCTGACCAGACTTTGCACAGGGCAGGGCCCTGGGGGCACATGGACAGGAACTGGCTGTGGGTGGAGACAGCACCCGGCTGAGGTCCTGGGGAAGAGGCCATGCCCGGAGCTCCTGGACACAGGAGGTGGCGCTGGCTGAGGCCCGATGCCTGAACTGGGCATGGGGGGAGGCACCTTTGAGCTGGGGCCTCCTCGGAGCAGCTGCACCCAGGGGCAAACCCTGCCCCTCGGTTTCCATGTCCACATCTTTACTAGAACTGCAGCTGGCATCCGTGGAGCTGTGGGCTTTGTCCAGGGAGAGCCGTGCCCAGCACCTGGGGGACCCTGCAGAGGTGCTAAGGTTCAGGGTTAAAAACGAGGATCCTGGCCTCCCGCAATCCTGTCCCCAGAGGCCCCATCGGAGCCGCCTGGCCTTCCCTGCCAGCCCAAGCATCCGAGGCTTTTGCCAGCAGTGCCTACGGCAGCCTTGGGAAGGGTGGGGGCCCAGGGAGGGGCATCATTTGGTGTTGATCAGGGGAGATGCTGGCGTCACCACGGCCCCAGGGCCTCCAGGCCCGCCCAGGCTCCCTCACTCAGATGTCCCACCCACAAACACCTGACCAGGCCCCACCAGGGGCCCCTCTCACCCCTGAAGCTGTGCAGGCCCTCGGCTGACAAACTGGGACCCTCAGCTTGGATGGGCAGAAAGGTCCAGGAGGGGCCTCTGAGACCTCCTCGCTCGGGCCTGGGGGTTGGGGCCGCAGGAAGCCATGCTCCGCCCGATGCCCACCCCTAGCTCCCCTGGCTGCCTCCTGGCCTCTGTCTCCCTCCAGGCCCCCAACCCTGACCAGGGAGTGGGGGGTTGGGGGCGGAGCTTTTGGGAGGAGGCCACGCCCAGCATTGGGTTTGCATTTCCAGGGAGGGCTTCTCCTGCCTGGTCTCCTCCCCTGGTACTGGGCTGGGGGCTGTCAGGGTGACCCTGCCCTACCCAAGGCTGACCCGGGGCCATGAACAGGAGGATGCCCCCCTCCCTGCTCCTCATGTGTGCCCCCACGGGAGCCAGCGGGCAGCAGCTGGACCCCAGCAGCCTCTCAGGGCACCCAGGACTGGAGAGGGCCCTGCCAAGGGTCTGCGGGTGCCACTCACCCACCCGGCTGCAGCCCCCAGCTCCCCTGGGCTGACCGTGGGCCTAGGCCGAGCTGAAGGGGCTGGCGGTTGTCAGCCCTTGGTCTGGCCCCACCACTGCTCTGCCAGGGCAGGGGGAGGCCGGCAGCCCAGGTTGTGGGGCCAGAGGGCCACGCTGTGACAGACGAGAAGAGGGAGTGACCTGGAGGGCCCGGGGCAGGGACCAACAGCAAATGCCTCCCTAGGTGGTCTCTCCAGGACAGATGTGTCCCCTGTGGGAGGGCTGGGGCGCCCAGCAAAAGCAGCAGCTCCTCAGGGAACGGGGACCCAGCGGGCTGAGTGGGGCTCTTGGAATAGAAGGAGCCTCCCCAGGCTCAGCTCTGCAGGCGGAGAGGGGAGGCAGGGCCTGAGGCTCATGGTAGGGAAGCGGCCTTGCCCTGTGAGGTCTCCCTCAGGGGGCAGAAGAGCCGGGACCCCGCCAGCAGCAGAGAACAAACCCCAGTCTAAGGCGAACCCCAGGTGTGGGGTAGGTGTAAAAGCAGATGGCTTTGACCACGAGTGCACAGGTGAGGGGCAGACAGGTGTGAGCAGGTGTGAGCAGGTGAGGGGATAGGTGGGAGACACATGGAGGGTGGGAGGAGATAGGGACAGGAGAAGAGGCAGTGGGGGCAGGTGTGGGGCAGGTGTGGGGCAATTGGAGGTGGGTGGGGGTGGATGGTGTCATTTGGGAGTGGATGGGGTTAGGTGTGAGCAGGTGCAGGGCGGGTGGGGAGCACGGGGAGGAGGCTGGAGTTGGTGTGGGCAGGTGCAGGGCAGTGCCCGGGAGGCACTGTCAGGTGAATGTGGGGCTGGGCAGAGGCTGACCTGGGACGCCAGGGCTGCTGCTGAGAACCTGCTGTCTGGGCAGGCAGCCGGGCCCCGCCAGGTGTGACTGCCCACTGCACAGAGGGGGTGGAGGCCGGAGGCCTAGACGCCTGTAGGGGCTGGGAGGGATGTGGGTGAGTCCGGCTGCTCGACACCCTCCGTCCCACCAGTGTCCACAGCCCTGGCCCCGGCTGGCCCCGGCGTCCCCACAGTGGGCACCCCCAGCTGGAGCCAGCTTGCATCAGGGACCTGGATAGTGAGTGGCGAGCCCTCCACAGTGGGATCCTACAGACACTGCTACCACTGACCAACGGGGTCAGTAGCTGGTTTAAAAAAGAAAGGGCAGCAGAGAGGCCACCCAGAAGAGCCGCTGTTTCCATGTGCCGCGCTTACACATGCTCCAGAGGGTCCGGCTGCCTAACCATGCGCCGCGCTTACACATGCTCCAGAGGGTCCGGCTGCCTAACCATGCGCCGCGCTTACACATGCTCCAGAGGGTCCGGCTGCCTAACCATGCGCCGCGCTTACACATGCTCCAGAGGGTCCGGCTGCCTAACCATGCGCCGCGCTTACAGATGCACCTAACCTTATATTGTTCAAGTCTCATGTCCTGCCTATCAGGGATGTTTTCGGACCCTACATGGGAAGCCCTTGGCCCGTTTGAAGGTCGGGTCAGGGGGCGGCTGAGGCTGTCCAGGGCAGTGGTCAAGGGCTTGGGGAAGCGGAGGTAGACTCACCAGGTGCTGGTGCTCAGAGGGGCCGGGGAACACCCACGCCCTGGCCGGGCCACCCCGTCCCTCCTGGTGCTTGATGCCAAGGGGAGCGGGTCAGGCCGCGAGAGGCCCAGGGCCAGCCTGGGGAGCAGAGCTGCTCAGCGGGGCAGAGGTCCTCCTCCGGGCGCCGGGCTCAGGGCCCAGTGGCCAGATGGTTTTCTTTGCTGCAGGGAGTGCCGGCTGCGGGGGTAGGCCTGGGAGGGCTCATGCAGCTGCTCTTGGGTTTCTCTGCTGTTGTTTTTTGCTGGAAAATCAATCCTGCAAGTCCAGCTGGGCTCTGGCTGAGAGCAGCTAGGGGTGGGGATGGTGGGTGCTTCCCGGCCCCCACGGGGCAAGTTCTGGGCCCACAGTGGGGAGAGAAGGCAGGATGGGGTGCAGGGCCAGCCTGGGGTGGGGCCCCGAAGAGCCTGGCTCCCTGCCCTGTGCCCTGCTTGGGCCACCCCAGAGGGACTGTCCCGACCCTCCCAACTTCCTGCCAAGGCCCCCGGAGCTGCCTGCAGCCTCCCCTTGCTCCCGTGCCCGGGGCGGAAGTCTACAGGAGACCAGAGCCCGGGTGTTCATCAGCAGCCGCAGGAGAGTTCCCCACCAAGGCGCAGTAGCCTGAGGTGCTGGGGCTGCCCGACCCTCCCCAGCTCCACCCCTCTTGCCTCTGAGCCCTACCCAAGGCCTGGAGAATCACCGCTTCCTCCTGCTCCAGGGGTTCCAGCAGGGCCCTTGGAGGATGTGCCTGCCGCGTTCTCAGCCCTCTCTGCCGACCTTTCTTGAACGGACTCTGGCCACGGTGCCAACGCGTCAACGGTCTGTCCGTCTGCTGTCCGAGCTCAGGGGCCGTCCATGCCTCCACGGCTGGCATACAGTAGCTCTGGTTTTACCCATGAGGGGGAAGCCCAGCACCCGTGCCCTCGATCACATCGCCAGTTCACAAACACACATGCGCACACGCACACGCCGCCCGCCCACCAGGCAGACACCCACACACCTGTGCACGCACGCGCACGCCAAGCCAGCGGGCCCTGCCCCTGCCCCGGAGCCCTCAGTGTCAGAACCAGGCTGCTGTGGCTGTTTCCTCTTTAATTCGCCTGAGTTTTATGAGCCCAAATTCATAGACCTTTGTTGCTGCATATAAACTTGAGGATAAACTTGTTGAATTTGTTCAACGTAAGCAGCTGAAATTCTGCGTGGGGTGGTGATGAACGGCTCTAGCACTCGGTAAAAGGTATTTAAAGCGCATGTAGTTTACAACACTAACAGCCCGCCGCCCGCGAGCACAGCCCGTCTGGTCATCCGGCGGCCTCACCGTTCACCACGGTTGGCGGCCCTGGTCACTCCCACGGTCTTTACCAGCCGGGTGCCAGTGGCTGGGACCAGGTTCTGACCACTGTGCCCACTCACTGTGGAATCGCGTGAGCAGGCCAGACCCTGCGTCGTAAGGACAGAGCAGGACACGTCCTGTCATGGGGCACCCGCTGTCTGCGACTTTGTTTCCGTTTGTTTCCGCCTCAGCTTGGGGGAGACAGTTGGCAGGCACCAGAGGCGCTCCTGTGAGGTCACCTGGCCAGTCTCAGGATTAGCTGCAGGCTTTGGCTGATTTTCTTGGGTCTTGTACACAGATGCTTGTCAGCAAATACCAGAGACTTATCTCTTCCCTTCCAACATGCAAACCTTCCTTCATGTTCTTGTCTTAAGCGTTTTGGCACAACCTCCAGCCTAATACCAGCCTCTAGGGAGATAAACAGTGCTGCCGATTTCACAGGCCAGGAAACCGAGGCTGAGGGCCCCCCACCCACCTCCTGCTACCCCGCACCCCTCCTGGGGCCTTGCTGGGCGGGGTGACTCCCCGGAGGCGGCACCAAGGGGAGGTTCGTTTCGAGGCTCAGAGCACTTTTCTGACAGCTTTCTGTCCCTTACATCCCAGACTCAGTTACACTTCAGCGTCCCGGCTCCCTGGCCGCCAGGCTCACACCACAGACAGCCCTTGGAGGCATTCCATTCCTGCCCCGACCCTTCAACTTGGAAACATGGAAACAATGAGGCCAGCTGAGTGGGAGCCTCCAGGCCTGTGTCCAGAGCTAGTTCCCAGTGTCTGGCTGCCTCTCAGGGCGGGGCCTGTCTCCAGCTGGAGCTGGGAGGGCGGCCCACCCTGCCAGAGGCCAGCCCCACCCTCGGCTGCCGTGGGGGCTGACCAGGGCCCAGTGACCCAGCCCAGGGCTTGCCTGTGGAGAGGCTGGAGTCAGCCGTCAGCGCGGAACTCCTGGTCTTCCCACTGCCACCTCTGCAGCCCCCACCAGAGATATCAGAAAACATCAGCTCCAGCCTGCAGCCCAGACACTTGAAGTCACCTTGGCTGCCCCTCCTCACACCCGTGCCCACGTCAGCAAAACCAGGGCCGGCTTGTTAACCGTGTCCAGAACCCACCCTTCCCACCCTGCCCAGGCCACCTCCCTCAGTGGCCCAGGGGGCTCCAAGTTGAAGAGCCCAAGACAGGTCAGAGATGGGCTGGGCGGCCTCTGCCACTCACCTCCGGAGAGGGCAGGGAGCAGAGGCCTCAGTCATGAGGTGGGGCTGTCCTCGGCGTGGGCCTCGAGACTGGGAGCCACTGCCCATACCCAAGAGACCTCTGCGAGCACTGGGGTGCAGAGCCAGGTAGGAGGGGGCACCCCACCAAAGGCAGCAGCCCCCCCCCGCTTCTTTCTGCTTTATATGGGGCAGGGAGCAAGGGGAGGTTGACACTTGGCGGATGACGCGGCAGGGTCTGGACACTTGGGGTGGCAGGATAACCCACCTGCATGCAGGGAAAGGCTTGGGATGGAAACATCCCGAGGGGACCCGGGTTCCCCAGCACCCGCTGCAGCCCCTCCTCGTACTACCTGGACCCGCTGCAGCCCCTCCTCGCACCGCCTGGACCCGCTGCAGCCCCTTCTCATAAATGAGTTGGGACTCTGCTGATTTGCATGGACCACGCTTCCAAAAGCAGCTCTGAGAAACCAGGAGGCTGGGATTTTGAAGAGGACGCCGGTAAACAGGCTCAGCTGTGGGCCAAGGTGAGGCATGACCCCTTTTGGCTTTTTTGCCCATTTCCGTAGGCTGGCTGACCCATGGTCTGGGGAGCTTCCTCAGCCCTGACATCTGCTTTCCTTCCTCCTGTGGCCCACAGTCTTCCCAGGTTGCAGGCCGGCCTGCAGGAGCTATGCCAAGAAGGGAGGGGTGGGCAGTGGGGCAGGACCTCAGCCAGTCACACCATCATCCACACAACGGCCCGGCTGGCACACTGCTTCCCTCCCACTGGGGCACTGCGGGCAGGCCGCCTCCAAGCCAGGACCCTACAGCGTCCCACAGACCCAGTGGGCAGAGGGACAGGCCCGGTACACACAGAGACCACTGCCCAACCTGCCACTGCACTGTCTCTGGGTCTCTCTTAGGCCGCCCACTTCAGAGAGGCTGAGCTGAGCCGTGGAGGTCACCAGAGCCAGGACTGAGGCTCACCCGTGTCCTCATGAGAGAAAGTCACCAGAATAGATGCTGGGCACGCTGGCTCTTTCCAGGATTTTTATTTCTTTAAAATAATTCATACAAATGGTTACAGTCACAAACATGATTTTAACCAAAATATTGCTAGCCTACCACATCAGCAGGACGGCACTGGTGCAGGCGGGGACGCTGCCACCCTCCACGTCCCCAGGACAGACGTCGATGGGCAGCGGGCACGCTGGGCACCGCCCAAGCTTTTCCTTTTGGAGCTGCTTCGTGATGCCGTCTTCATTTGGAACAAGGGGGGGTTCATGCCAAAATTAGGAAAAACAGCCTTTGTTTTGTTTTTCTAAATTATTCTAAAAATAAGACAAGCAGGTAGAAAAAACAATGCACTGTGTGGCATAAAAAGAAAAACGGGAAGGATTCATTGTCCTGAGAAGTTTGCCAACTGCCTCATTCTGGGGCACGTTCCAACATACAAAAAAAAAAAAAACAAAAAAAAAAACCTCAAATTGACTTCCAAATGCTCCTTCAGGTTTTCTTTTTGTTGACAGCTAAGCAAACAGATCCTTTGTAATGTTCTAAAAACTGTACACAGACAAGAACGTTCATGGGAGAATAACTACTGACTTCTTCTGCTTAACGAGGAACGCGAAGGACACAGGGCAGAGCGCCCACAGGACGGACGACGACAAGCGACACGAGGCCCAGCGCTGCCCCCTCCCGCCTCCTGACAGCCCGGACCAGTCTCTGCAGTGCCAGGGCCACCACACAGATGCCTCCTCCACACACTCTGGTCCGAGGGTTTCCGGGCCCTCTGCCCAGGCGCCGAGGCTGGAGAGCTCCTCCCGGGCTACAACTGGTCACTGGCGTGGTCTCTATCCGCCTCGGGCTTGACGGTTTGGCCAGGAGAAGGGGCGTGGGGCGGGTGGGCCACAGGGGGCAGGCCGTGGGACAGGGACATGGCGCTGGGGACGATACCTTCCACAGCAGCTGGGATGCCAGTGGGGGCCACGCCCACCACGCCCGGAGGGTACCTGCTGGGAGAGGGTCCATCCGTGAGGCCCACCTGTAGGCGGCCTGGCCAGGCCCCACCTGCCCTCCTAGCATCGGCAGCACCGAGGGGGCCTCTCCAGGAGGACCAGCAGTCAGGGTAAGGATCCCGGCCTTTACACGGATGTTCCTGCCTATGGCAGCTACTTCTCAGGGCTGGGGAGGGGAGCCCTGGTGTCTCCAGGTGACTTGAACATGAGGTCTTCGCCTCACCCAAAGCCCCCTCCTCCCACAGGCCCCGTGCCCATGGCACTCCTGTGTCCACTGAGCCCTGAAGGCCACCCCAGCCCAGGCTCCTTCCAAGAGGCCCTGGTTCTCATGGGCCTTTCAGGTGAGGTTGGCCTTACCAATTCTACCCAGATCCTCCAGGTCAGTCAGTGGAGACGCCGCCCCTCCCACCAGGGGCTGTGCTGGGATCCAGGGGAAGCCTGGGGCCCTCCTGGAGGCTGTTCTGGGCCAGCGGGCCTGCTCACCTATAGGCAGCCCCATTGAGCTCAGGGTGCACGACGGCGGGGTCCATGCTGGCCCAGTGGGTGGCGGCTGTCAGATGGTCCTTGTTGACACAGTTCTTCAGGCTGTCTGGGATCCGGCCTGGGAGATGCAGGAGGAAGGAACAGCTGTGGCTCTGAGGGGGCCCCAGGAGCGTGGCCCACTGGGTTGAAGACACGGGCAGCAGGATTCTTGGCAGTGTGCTCCTCCCTCTCAGCCCCGGGGCTCCCAAGGCACGGCAGGGTCCTGTCTCTCTGGGCACTGGCACCCTTGCAGCGTGGGGACCCCCAGCCCAGAGCACGTGCCCAGCTTGCTGAGGGACCTGTCTGCTCAGCCCAGCAACTTCCCAGCAGGTCCTGTGTGTAAGACACGACGCCAGGGCTCAACTTGACTTTGGCCTTAGAGGTCCCTGCTGGGGGTGCAGTGAGAGCACCACGGGCCCTGAGCTGGCAGAACATGGGCCTGGCTGCCAGGCGGATGCGAGCCCATGAGCATCTGGGGCTGGCAGGAAGGGACCCCCAGGCCTGACCGAGCGGCCCCCACGCCCACCTGTGATGGCTCTGCGGATCTCCCGTGCCGCCTCCTCTCGCATCTCGATGGATGCCTGCTCGCTGTACCATGCAGCATGGGGGGTGCAGATGAGGTTGGGTGCATCCTTCAGAGGGCCCTGGCTAAAGCTGGGAACAGCACAGGCATGGTCAGTGCAGCCTGAGTGCTGTGGCTGGGTACGGAGGGGAGGTGGCTGGGCACTGGAACCCCCTGTGGGGGGCCCTGCCTGGGAACCACAGACCCCACGGCCCTGCTCTGCTCGGCAGGCTGGCTGAGCTCAAGAGCACAGCCCCGGGACCATCAGACACACCAGGGGCTCCTGACAGCGGCGGGTGTGGGAGCCCAAGGGATTTAATCTCCAAGTCCCTCGTGGGAGGAGCCCTGATGGGGGGACATGCTGCCTGGCCCCTTCCAGCCAAAGGGTCTGTAGCCCCAGGAGCTGCAGGCTGATACTGCCCCTGTGGGGGTGTCTCCTCTTGCGGCTGAACATCCAACCCAGGGCTGCCTGGGGTCCCAAGGTGCTGTAGGGGCTGCAGGTCTGGACGGGATGCCATGACTCCATGGCCAGGGCCCATGGGGACCACTCACAGACACTGGGGCCTCACTCTCTCCTGGTTGGTCAGGAGCCCTGCCCAAAGAAGGGCTGAGGAGGTTGAGCAGCCCCTCACAGGACCGAGGCAAGGCAGGCCTAGAGCCCGTGGCTCCATCCTCACCCCGCAGCGGGCGGCAAACTCCCCCACTGCTGGCCAGCGAGAGGCCTGAGTACAGGCAAGTGTCCGGCCTGGCAGAGGCGCCGTCTGGAGGTCAAGGCCGGCAGGATGGTGGACAGGGAAGAGCAGGGGGGCGGCACTGGCCGTGGGGGCACCTGAAGGGTTCCGACTCGTGCACATCCAGGGCCGCGCCGCGGATCCGGCCCTCCTTCAGGGCCTGGGCCAGCGCCTTCTCATCCACCAGGCCACCCCGGGCTGTGTTCACCAGGAAGGCCCCTTG
Organism: Homo sapiens; assembly: GCF_000001405.40. Lineage (NCBI taxonomy): Eukaryota > Metazoa > Chordata > Mammalia > Primates > Hominidae > Homo > Homo sapiens. The sequence goes on from NC_000004.12 coordinate 1,214,468, forward strand.
TCTCATCTAGAAGACATAAGGACAGGCCAGGCCCAGTCAGGGATCCGCACAGGGCGGGCAGCCAGGGAAGCAAGGTGGTCACGCACGCCGTTGGGAAGGCCCAGCTCCCTAGCCCCTTCCCAGCCCCACCCTGGGCTCACCACGGCGCTAGGACTGAAGGCCTCGGGCGTGCTGCACCGCGGCCCTGACAGGCTGGCTGAGGATCTGCCCTGTATGGACCTGCACGGCCCCACAGCTCCTAGAGAGCTCCACCCTCCTGCCCAAGCCCTGAGCTGAGGACTGGGCGGGGGCTCCTGGCTTGGTCCCCCTGTGGTACCCCTTTTCTGGGTCCCCTCCAGCCCAGCCTCCCCCACGCAGGGCCTCAGCCCACGAGGTGGGACTCCCTGGGACGGCAAAGCCCAGGGCCGTCTGTTCTGAGGCGTGGTCTTTGACTCCAACCCCAGCGGGGCCTGCAGCAGAGCCTCCGTCTTCGGAACAGGCTCGCTTTTCATGCACTTTTGCAAAAAGCCCTGCGGGTGGCTCTCCCTCGGCTTCGTGGCCAGGGCTTTCCTGCAGCCCCCCCATTTCATTCCAAGAAGTCCACCCAGCCACGGTGCTTGGCTGACAGCTGGGCAGGTCACGGTGGCTTTTCTTTGGTGCACTGCTGCCCATTAAAGCCTCACACCCAAGGTCCTCAGGGACGGCAGGGCTCTGACCAGCATCCACGTGCCACACCCTGTCCCCTAGAAGGCTCCAAACCCACTGACTCTGTGAACAAAGGAAGGGGCAGCGGGAACCTGGCCTCATCCTCCTTGTGGCTACAGGCTGCTGGGGCAGCTAGAGTGGGCGGGTGGCCTCTGACACGTGTGTACACACATGCACATACATACAAGCTCATACAAACATGCAGACACATGCACCCACGCACACTTGCCCACACACATACACATCACTGTGCACACACGATGACTCCCTGAAGGGCCTGGAGCCAGCGGGAGGCAGCCATCCCCAGCTCCACCCACTCAAGGGGAACGCAGGGCTGAGGCTGCACTGCGAGCTGTGCTGAGGCAGAGGCCGACCTGAGCACAGCCCGTTCCAGCTGCAGATGTCAGAGGCCGACCTGAGCACAGCCCTTTCCAGCTGCAGATGTCAGAGGCCGACCTGAGCACAGCCCGTTCCAGCTGCAGATGTGAAACCTGAACCTGGCAGCACGGAAGTCACAAGGGCCGACCCAACGCCCCCAGGTAGCTGCATCTGTCCCCACTGTGACAACAGCAAGGGCTTCAGGGGAATTTGGTGTTCAAAGGTATGAGGTTCTGTCTTGTCCAGAGAGTATTTTAGATGTCCTGAGTAGAACTCAGAACACAGAAAACGCTGTCTGGGCAGACAGGGCTTCCCCCAGCAGGGCTGGCAGCCGCCGCCATGTGGCTCGCTGAAGGCAGGGTCTTGCCCAGGTGCAGATGGCTGCTGGGAGGGACCTGCCTGACACCCCCACCTGTACCTGCCCCGCAGAAGTAGAGTCCTGTGTCCCCGGCTCCACGCACCTGCTTGACGGTGAAGTCGTTGATGAGGTGGTGGTTGTGCTCGTTGAGGCCGCAGTGCAGGGTCACGCAGTCGCTGTGGAAGAGCAGGTCCTGCAGGGTGCTGACACGCTGCAGCCCCAGCGCCCGCTCCACGCCATCCGACAAGTAAGGGTCGTAGAAGAGCACGTTGAAGCCGAAGGCCTTGGCCCGCAGCGCCACTGCCTGCCCCACGCGACCTGGTGGCGTCAAGACACAGTGTGAGACCCTTGCTCACCCGTGGCCGGGAGGCCGGCCCCGAAAGCCAGGGTCGGAGTGGCCTCTGTGCCTCAGTTTGACCATCTGCCAAGGATGACACCAGCTGTGGTCAAGCCAAGGTGCCCACGCACGCTCCACACGAGCGCTCCACGTCCGCTCCAACGCGCCCACTGCCAAGGCGGAGGAGATGCACAGGGGTGGAAAGGGTACACTAGCCCCTCGGCCCACACCAGCTGCCAGCCACACCACTCCCCTGCAGCCTGTCCACAGGACGTGACATGAACCACTCAGTGTCAAACGGACTGGTCAGTGGGTCTCCACCCACCCAACACATGTCCTCCGTGCCCAGGCCCCTCCGCTGGCCTTTCGATCCACCCATCAATGTTTCCGGCATCTCAATTCCAGCCACCACTACGTGGAGACGGCAAAGGGGGCAGGAGGGAAACTTCCAGACCAGGGAGGCCCCGCTGGGCTCAGGTCCTGACCCCTTCGAGTGGAGCGGCAGAGAAAGCCATCCCAGGCAGACGTGCCTGCCCCCACCCCAGCAGTCCAAGGCTGGCACGGGTCCCAGCACAGGAGCCGTGGAGCTTGAGCCACCGTGTCTGGCTGGGGCCGGCTCCTCCTCGGGGAAGGGTCTGCAGAGTGCTCGTGCCCACTGTGAGCCAACAGCATGGCTGCAAAGGACACAGGACCCCAAGCCCGCGAACGTGGTGTCTCCTGCATTGCCTCAGAGGGAACCGCTACACAGGAAGGAAGCAGGTTGAGCGCCGGGGCGGGTGGGAAGTGGGCGCAGTTTCAAAGGCGGCAGCCAGGGCAGGCCTCCCTGAGAAGACCAAGCTTGCTGGAGACATAAGGGGACAGGAAGGGAGCCAGAGAGCTGGAACAACACGTGCGAGGGGCCCGCGGCGGCCTGAGGGCCAAGGAGACCAGACCGCCAGGCACACAGGGTGGCCGGACGTGGCCCAAACGCCCAGGGGACCCCCAGTCACTCTGGGAAGAGGACTGGGGGAGGCTGGGAGGCCAGTCAGAAGAGCTGAGGACCGTCTAAACGCACTACATCCTAGAAAGGGAGGCGCCTGTTCTACGAGAAGGAACATGGTGGCTCCTTCCATCCCCAGGGACGAGGCTGCTGCAGGAGGGAGGAGGGCTCGGCAGGCGGAGGTGGGAGCAGCAGTTCTGAGGGTTGCAGCCACGGCCGGAGTACCCGGGCAGCTCCCCAGGTGCAGAACAGCCCGTCTGTCAACGCCCCCTGCCAGGGATCCCACCAAATGGGGAGGAAGAGAACACAGGCAGACACAGAGAAAGGCGTCTCCCACAGCGCAGAAGGCGGACGACACGCTGTTTCCCACTGCGCACAACACAAAGCCCCGGAAGTCGGGCTGCCGGTGGCGAAAACCAGCTAAAGCCGCGGGCCGGCGCCGGCCACGCCTGACACGGGAGAGCAGCGGCTGTTCGGGGCGAGACCATTCTTCACTTCTGTCTCTGCCATTCTCTTCCACATGATGTCTGGCTTAGGATAAGAAATTATGATGATGCAGGTGAAGAGACAGGAGGATGTAGTTTCTAATTAGAACAAAACACTGGAAGCGGACAGACGCACAGATGACCGAGGCTGGAATCAGCCAGCAAAACCTCTTAATAACTACTATAAACATGCTCAGAGATGACAACAAGTGTGGATGTAAACAGCAGAAAAATGGAGGCTTCCGGAAGATGAATGGTAACTCTATAAAGAACCACATAGAAATTCCAGAACGAAAACATCCCTCTGAAACGGAACTCCCTGGACAAAGCTAACTGCAAGAAAAGGATCGGGAGCTTGAAGGGAGGGGCTCAAAGTCAGCAGATGGCATCCAAACAGAAGCAGAGAGAAAAGAATTTAAAAAATAAATTTTAAAGAACAGGCCTTGGTGGCTGACGCCTGTAATCCCAGCACTCTGGGAGGCTGAGGTGGGCGGATCACAAGGTCAGGAGTTCGAGACCAGCCTGGCCAACATGGTGAAACCCCGTCTCTACTAAAAATACAAAAATTAGCCGGACGTGGTGGCGGGCGCCTGTAGTCCAAGCTACTCGGGAGGCTGAGGCAGGAGAATGGCGTGAACCTGGGAAGCAGAGGCTGCAGTGAGCCGAGATCGCGCCACTGCACTCCAGACTGGGCGACAGAGCGAGACTACCTTCCACAAAAAAAAAAAAGGCAACACATTTTCGGACAAAGAAAAGCAAAAGGAATCGGTCACTGGTGAGCCACATTTCTAAGACAGTCTTTAGGCTACAGGAACGTGACGCCCGAGGACAGCCAGAATCGGGGGGCGTAAACAAGGCAGAAAGGGTGGATGTGTCGGTTGATATTCAAAAGAAAAATTACTGAAAAATTCCTTGACAGACTCATGACTAATAGCTTCTTGTACGGTTTTCTGCATAATAGACGTGGAAAATCGGCCCGAGGGTGAGAGGAGCCACCGCGGGCCTCTGGCCGCCCTGGACGAGTCTTCACAGGTTATGCTGGGTGGCAGTGAGTTATGAAGGCGTATCCTAATCTCTAAAGTAAAACTAAACACGATCACTAAGCAGAGTATAGGTTAAAAAGCAACAACAGATGCAAGGAATCATTTAACACCTGATTAATATAAAAGAAGGCCAGAAAGGAAAAACAAGGATGAACAGAAAACACGTAGCCAGATGACACCGAAATCCAAATCATCAGCAATTACACTAAAAATAAATGAACTGAACACTCAAGAGGCAAAGACTGTCAGACTGAAAAAAGAAAGAGGAACTAACTCTATACTATTAATAACAGACACACTTTAAACATAAAAGACAGAAGTCAGGCGCCGTGGCTCACACCCGTAATCCCAGCACTTTGGGAGGCCAAGGCAGGGTGACCACTTGAGCCCAGGAGTTCTAGACCATCCTGAGCAACACAGCAAGACTTTGTCTCTACCAAAAAATAATAATAATAATAATAACAATTAATTTAAAAAAATTGCAGTGGCACGCACCTATAGTCCTAACTACTTCGGAGGCTAAGGCAAGAGGATCTCTTGAGCCCCAGTGCTCAAGGCTGCAGTGAGCCGTGACCGCACCACCACACTCCAGCCCGAGTGACAGAGCAAGACCTTGTCTCTGAATGAATGAATATAAGAACAGAGATAAGCTAAAATTAAAAGGATGAAAAAAGACATACCACACAAACACTGATCAAAAGAGCTGGGATGGCTGCCTCAACATCAGACCAATTAATTAGACCACAAAAAGACCAACAGGAAACGTCCTACTTAATGGTGAAATGTCAGAAACTTTTTCTCCCACATCAACACGGTAACACCCACACTCACTGCTGCTGATGATTGTAGCTAATGCAAAAAGGCAAAAATAAAGAAATTAAAGAAATAAAAGGTACAGAGATCAGAAAGGAAAATGTAAATCTGTGTTTATCTGCAGATGACACAGCAGTGTGTGCAAGAGAAAATTCAAGAGAATCTGTTTTTGGCAGAGGCAGGTCTCATTACGCCATCCAGGCTGGTTTCTAACTCCTGGTGATCCTCCGGCCTCGGCCTCATAACGCACTAGGATAACAGGCACAAGCCACTGCACCCGGCCTAACATGGAGAATTTAGAACGCTGTGGGATATGAGGTTGGTTTACAAAACTCAAGTGTATTTCTACCTACTAATAACCAACTGTCAAGAAACAATTAGGCCGGGCACAGTGGCTCATGCCTGTAATCCCAACACTTCGGGAGGCCAAGATGGGTGGATCACTTGAAGTCAGGAGTTCGAGCCTGGCCAACATGGCAAAAACTTGTCTCTACTAAAAATACAAAAATTAGCCAGGCATGGTGGCGTGTGCCTGTAATCCCAGCTACTCAGGAGGCTGAGGCAGGAGAATTGCTTGAACCCAGGAAGTGGAGGTTGCAGTGAGCCGAGATCATGCCACTGTACTCCAGCCTGGCAAGAGAGTGTGACTCTGTCTCAAAAAAAAAAAAAAAAAGGGGCAGAGATTGCAGTGTGCCGAAATCACGCCACTGTACTCCAGCCTGGGCGACAGAGCAAGACTGTCTCCAAAAAAAAAAAAAGAAAAAAAGAATTAAACATTTATAACAGCATTACAAATGCCAAATGCCTAACAATAAACTTAATGAACTACGTGGAAACCTTCTACTGATAACGACGAAACACCGTTAAGAAAAGTTAAAATAAATGGAGAGATCATATTTATGTCCCGAAGGTTCAATATTATTAGGAAGTCAGCATTCCCAAAACTGATTTTAAGGACTCAACAAAATGAAAATTGATGAGCTGATTCCAGAATGGAAATGGAAATGCACAGCAGGACCTAAAACAGCCAAGACCCTCGTCAAGAACATGGTGGAGGATCTCAAGGCTCACAGCCGTGCAGACAGCGTCACATGGGAGGAAAGGGAAGAAAAACAGGTCCACGGAACAGAAGAGTCCAGACGGACCCACTCACATGTGGCCAACTGCCTTTCCACAGAGGAGCCAAGCCAACCGGAAGGAGGGCTCCTCGGCGCATCGTGCCGCAGCGACCTGCCATCCCGGGAAAGGGTGGGCCACCACCCCAGCCTCACACCACGTGTGAGTGGCAGCCCAGGAGACCCTGGACCTAGAGGTAGAAGCTTCCAGAAGAAAACACAGAGAACCTGTTACCCGGATGACCCTGGGGTAAACAGATTCCTCAGGACACAAAAGGTATTCACCTAAAAAACGGGTGATACGCTGGGCTTCATAAAAACTGAAAACGTGTTCTCGTCACAGAGAGAGGTCAAGAAAGTGAAAAGTCAAGCCACGGCCTGAGATATTCGTAAACAAGAAAAAACAAAAATTTTGAAATTATGAAAATATCCACAATGCATGTCGATCTGACAAGAACCTGACGCAGACCACGTGAGGGCTTCGTAACCAACACGAAAAAGACGGCCGGAGGTGCTCCGAGTGGCCAAGGGCACAAAGAGGTGCTCAGCCTCCTCACTTATCAGGAAACTATAGGTTAAAATTAAAATATCACAAAATACCTGCTGGAAGGGCTAGAATTACACAGAGTGCTGGCAAGGATACGCGGCTGCCGGAGCATGACGCCGCGCCCCTGCCTGAAGAACAGCGACTCCTTCCAGGCGAAACAATGTCCTGCTCTGGGACTCAGAAATTCCACTCCTAGGTACAAACCCAAGAGACGTGAGTCTATGTGCACAAAAAAGACGGGCAGAAATGTGTTCACACAAGTTTTGTTTGTAATATTAGCCAAAAACTTACAAAATGCATCACCAAGAGTCTGGAGAAGCAAATCGTGCTGTGTTCACGTGATGGAACCGTTATCAGAAACTGCTGGGTCGTATGAAAACACAGGTGAGACCCAGAGGCATCACCCCGACTGACGGGAGGCGGACACAGAAGGCTGCGTGCCCGTGATCCCACCTCGGCACAGCTGGGGAAGGCCCTCTGCTCTAGGAAGCGGGACCCGGGTCCTCGCAGGGTCGTCGCGGGGCCGCCACGGGAGAAGGGGGCCCGAGGGAGCTGTCTGTGTGCAGGAGCCTGCTCTGTCAACGTGCTGGTGGGTTCATGGGGTGAATGTGTACAATGTTTTCCTGTGTGCACCTAAGACAGTGCATTTTTCAGAAGGAAGGAAGGAAGGGAAGGAGGGAGGAAAGAAAGAAACAAGAAGGAGATGTAAGTCACGGGCACCAGAGCCTCGTAGAGCAGAGGAAGCGGCCGCCCCCTAGTCTGCGCCGAGTGGCACCAACACCGTGAGCCACACGCTGCCCAGGGCTTCCACATTCCTGTAGCCACCACACACGCGGATTCCACGCTAAGAACAACCCAGACAGTGTGTGCACAGCAGAGGGCAGATGGGGACATGCACACCCTGGGAGAGCCTGAGTGGCTGGTGCCCAGCACCGGCCCCGCCTGGAGCATGAGGCTCTTCCACAGAGGGTGGGATGGGGCTCAGGGACAAGGGCGAGGGGCGGGGCGGGGGACGGGACGCAGGTGTTCTGCAGTCAAGGGTGCCAGGTGGGCAGCCGGGGTGGGGTAGGGGTCCCGTCCACAAGGTAGAGGCTGCAGCGTCAGGGGGCTCGTGTCCCTAAGGACAGAACTGCTCTCCTCAGCTCCCGAGGCCGAGGGAGCGCTGACCTGGCCTGGTTCATCACAAGATCACCACAGACAGAGGGGCCCGCGCCGAGAGCGAGGGAAGCAGCTGCCCCCCAGCAGCTCCAGGGGGGCCTGCCCGAGAGCCCACAGGACGACCTGGGCCAGTGCAGGGCAGAACGCCCATGGTAAACCCCCACAACCTGCCAGGTCCACCCTGCACTCCTCAGGACGCCGGGGTCCCCGCACCTGCAGTCCCCACCCACACTCCTCAGGCCAGGCCTGGGCGGGGGCCCTGGCAGGTGGGGTCCTTAACGAACGGGGTGGCCACAGCCCTACCCTCTGAGGGCATCCCGACCTGGGTGTTCCAACCCCCACTCAGCACGGGGCCCTGGGAGGGGCTGGTTGGGCCCAGCTCCACAATCAGCCTGGGAAGGCGCCGCCCTCAGGCCTCAGAGTGGCCACGGGAAGAGCCCGGGGCCTTCAGGGCCGGGACCACAGACCCCGACCCCAGGAGAGACAGGACACATGACTCTGGGGGCAACACACCCACCTACTCTTACCAGGGGAACTACAGACATCCCTGGCCACACAGACACAGCCCATACCCCCCCCACATCCCACAGTCCCTCGTACACCTCAGGTGAGGTGTCAGACCTGTGGCTGCAGGACAGGCGGTGACCTGCAGGCAAGGCACACATGAGGCGCCTCCTGTCCTGTGGGCTTGCTCTGGAGACAGCGGAGGCACCGCCCCCTGGACAAGGCCAGCAGGCAGTCCACGAATCTGAAGGTCCACAGAGCCCCGAGTCCCCGGCCCCTCCCGACCTCTGCCCCAACCTGGGCTTCCTGCCCACCCTCCCTCCTCCCCTCAACAAACCACACATGCGGGCCATGGCCCTGACATAGGAGGGGCCGCCCAGGCCTCAGATGGGCAGAGGTGTGAGGAACAGGCACCTCAGGGCTCTGGGATCCTCACAGGCTCCAGCCAGCCCTGGGGTCCTGGTGGGGGCACCAGCAAGACCGTGAGAGACGTGTCCAGGAAGAGACAGGCACGTGTTCCATGCACATCCGTGAACCAACCTCTCCCACTAACCTAGGTGTGGCCGCCTCACCGAGACCACCCGAAACGTCCGATTCCCCAAACGCTGGCGGGACAAGGACAGCGGTCAGCAGGAGTGGGCTGCCTGGATGTTTGGGAAGCGGGGGGCCGGCCGGTCAAGGGGAGTCCCTGGCATGGCAAGGCCCTTGCATCCCCATGGGGCCTCCTGAGGAACCCGCGATCTGGGGAGACAGGCAGCTGGGCCAAGGTGTCCAGGGAGTCTTCAGAAAAGGTACACCACCCCCGCCCACCCTCTCAGGGAGCACCTTCCCACCCCACACCTGGGCCCCGCCCAGATGCTCCCCCTCCCTCACGGGGCCCCTCACCTGGCCTCTCCCAGCTCTACTTTCCCTTAAGACATGGCTCTACTCCCAGGATCTCACACACGCACACACACACGTGCACAAACATGCACACGCTTGCCGCTCTGAGCTCAACCTGGGCCTGGCTGTGTGGGGCCGGTTCACCGCTGCATGCCGGACCCAGGACAGTGCTGGGCCCAGGATAGGCGGCTGCAAAGCGAGTGGGCAAATGAAGAGCGAGGGGTCGCTGAAAGGCAAACCACTCCCCGGGGATAGGGCCAGCGCCAGGGGCAGCTGCTGGTGACCACGGAGGAAGCCCACGGCTGCCCGAACCCCGGCCCCAGCAGGATCTACACAGCCAGCTCCAGGGGACTCAAGGGGCGAGCACATGCTAGACCGTGGTTGATGTGCGTGCCCACACATATGCCGGTATCTATCTGCGTACGTGCCCATGACTGACATCAATGTGTGTCCATGTGAGGTCATGTGTATGGTGTGATATCCATGTGTGGTGCCCATGTGTGCCATGTGATACCCGTGTGTGTGTGCTGTGACATCTGTATGTCCCCGTGCGGCCCATGTGTGTGCTGCGATGTCCATGTGTGATGTCTGTGTGGGGTCCACGTGTGTGCTGTGATGTCCGTGTGATGTCTATGCAGGCCTGTGTGAGACCCATGTGTGCTGTGTGAGGCTGTGTGTACTGTGACATCTGTGTGTTATCTGTGCGTGCCCATGAGGCCTGTGTGTGCTGTGATGTCCGTGTGTGATGTCTGTGAGGCCCACGTGTGCTGTGGCGTGTGACATCCGTGCAGGCCCGTGAGGCCCACGTGTGTGCTGTGACATCCGTGTGTGATGTCTGTGTGTGCCACGATGTCTTGTGTGAGGCCTGTATGTGTGCTGTGGTGTTGTGTGTGACATCTGTGCAGGCCCTGTGTGCTGTGACGTCCGTGCAGGCCAGTGTGAGACCCATGGGTGTGTTGTGATATCTGTGTGAGGCTGTGTGCTGTGACATCTGTGTTATCTGTGTGTGCCCGTGAGGTCCACGTCTGTGCTGTGATGTCCATGTGTGATTTCTGTGTGCGCCCGTGAGGTCATGTATACTGTGATGTCTGTGAGGCCCACATGTGTGCTGTGGCATCTATGACATCCGTGCAGGCCAGTATGTGTACTGTGACATCGGTGTGTGATGTCTGTGTGTGCCATGATGTCTGTGTGAGGCCCACATGTGTGCTCTGATTTCTGTGTGAGGCTGTGTACTGTGACATCCGTGTGTTATCTATGTGCCCATGAAGCCCATGTGAGTGCTGTGACGTCCGTGTGTGTTATCTGCATGTGCCCATGAGACCCACGTGCTGTGATGTCTGTGTGAGGCTGTGTGTGCTGTGGCATCCGTGTACGTTATCTGTGTGTGCCTGTGTGAGACCCACGTGTGCTGTGACGTCCGTGCACGTAGGGCACACGCCTGGGACTCCCGGGCCCTGGTGCCTGTGCGCACTCAGTCCTGTCCTGGGTTGGGACCGACACCTGCAGCAGCCCCACCCCGCCCCGGGCCTCTCCTCCTGGGCACAGCTGAAGAGCGGCAGCGCCAGACACAGGGAGGGACACAGGCGTGGAGCTGCGGCCGACGCACCAAGTCCGATGATGCCCAAGGTCTCCCCGCGGATCCTGGCAGCGCCGGACGCCACCTCGCGGATCTGCTCGACGCTCTGGACTCGTGTGCCCTCCCGCAGCGCCTGGTGCAGCCAGGTGGCCCGCCGGTACAGGTTCAGGATGTGGCACAGCGTCGAGTCGGCCGTCTCCTCCACAGACGCCGCGGGCACGTTGCAGACGGCAATGCCTGTGGGGACAAGGACACGGCGGTCACCCCCGGGCCGGGCCCAGCCTCCGGGAGGACACCGGGGCCGCCGTGACTGGAGCGGGTTTGAAGCTTCCCAAGGAAGAAGCCAAAGGCCGTGTCCCCAAGGCCACCCCGGGAGGCCACGAGATGAACACGTTGCTCACAGGTCGGGCGCAACAGAGCAACTCCAGGAGCCCCACCTCCACTTTAGGTTCACGTGGCAGCACACACACGGCAACTGCTCGGTGTGTGGTAGGGCTGGGGTGTGAGACGCTGCCCTGACCCCTCCCGACTCAGCGCTGGCAGCCCAGGAAGAGACAAGCACGTGTCTCCCCGCGTCACCTCGCCACCCCGATTCCTCTCGGGGGTACCCTGCTGGGAGGCTGTGGCCAGGTCAGAATCTGGGTGCCGGCCCCGCCTGCACACCCCTACGTGGACATCCGCACATGTCCTCAGGCCTCCCCCAGGCCCAGCCGGGCCCCGAAGCCCCTTCCGCCCTCCATGCCCCACCCCTGCAGTCGGTAACACTGAAGCTGGAGCCATTCCTGGAAAGCAAGTCCATCCCATTTCTCCCGAGTGGCCAGGCACGCCCATGTGTGACCCCTACTCCCCGCTCCCGGCCTTGTCCCCAGAGACAGGCCCTTCCCCAGCCAGTGCCCCTCCCTGAGCCTATTTACCCTCATCCCTGGCTTGTCCCTGGCCAGGGCCGCCCCTGCACGGCACTTCCCACCCCATCCGGATGATTGCATTCCTGTGTCCGACTGGCCATCCGTCTCCCTGGGGAGGAGGAGGGGGCAGGAGGCCAGGACAGGGCTGCATTCATAGGCCCGGAAGCTGGACAGGACCGTGTGGTTCCGCAAGGGGTCCCGGGGGCCGGGAGAGGGCCTGATGTGGGGCGGCGCAGGCAGGGGCTGCATAGCCCCTAGACACAACTCACTTGGACGTAAAAATGTTAAACAAGGGAGACTGAGGGAGAGCCAAGCCAGGCGCCACACGAGATTGGAACAAAGACCTCCTGAGGGTGGGCCAGATCCCAGGGGTGCCCCAGACCATCCCTGGCTGAAGAACAGAGCCCAGGCCTGGGAAACTCCACGGGTAACAGAGATGGTAAACAGCAGGGACCCCTCAAAAAGCACCAGGCATGCACCCGACACCACACACCCAGGCCTGCACCCGACACCGCAGCCGGCCCTTCCTGGGACGCCACCACAGAGACAAAGGCGGGAGGAGGCTGGCACACAGGTTTGGCCCATGGGCGCCGGCGGAAGCAGCTGAAGCCAGTGCAGGAGACCCCCAGATGGAGGCATGGCTTCCGACACCACCTGCGTCCCCCGCAGGAACACAGACGGTTCCAACTTTGCAATGCCATAAACTGTATCCTAGGAAAAGGGAAGCAAAACCGTGAGGCGCTGGCCAACTGTGGGCAAGGGCAGGGTACAACCTCGCCTGTTACCAGCATCGAGAGGAGGAGAAAAAACAGACCGAGCCTGGCAGAAAACAGAAAGTGCGCTCCAAGCAGGACGGCCAAGCACCGCCCCAAGTTTGTTCTAATGAGTGTCTGTACATGGATGCAGACACATGTGCATGTTCCATGTGCGTGTAGGTGCACGGGTGCAGACGTGCGTGTTCCATGAGTGTTCCATATGCTGAGTGCACAAGCAGAGGTGCATGTGTTCTGTGTGATGAGCATGTGATCCATGTGCTGAGTGCGTGTGCACAGGTGCAGATGAGTGTGCGTGATCCGTGTGCTGAGTGCATGTGCACGGGTGCAGATGAGTGTGTGTGTTCCATGTGCTGAGTGCACATGCACGGCTGCAGATGTGCGTGTTCTGTGTGTGTTCTGTGTGCTGAGTGTGCGTGATCCGTGTGCTGAGTGCGTGTGCACGGGTGCAGATGAGTGTGCAGGATCCGTGTGCTGAGTGCATGTGCACGGGTGCAGATGAGTGTGCGTGTTCCATGTGCTGAGTGCACATGCATGGCTGCAGATGTGCGTGTTCTGTGTGCTGAGTGTGCGTGATCCGTGTGCTGAGTGCATGTGCACGGGTGCAGATGAGTGTGCAAGATCCGTGTGCTAACTGCATGTGCATGGGTGCAGATGAGTGTGCGTGTTCCATGTGCTGAGTGCACATGCACGGATGCAGATGTGCGTGTTCCGTGTGTGTTCTGTGTGCTGAGTGTGCGTGATCCATGTGCTGAGTGCACAGGTGCAGACGTGTGTGTTCTGTGTGCTGAGTGCACACGTACTGGGTTGCAACACGCTGCTGTTCCCGCTGTGTCTCGGGACAGAGACCTATGAGCCCTATTACAGCCATACACTGACGGCCCTGCCCTCACCCCCAGGGTCCCAGTACCCAAGCAAGGGGCACCAGCCAGACATGCATGCAGACCTGTGTGAAGCCACAGCTGGATTTCCTGCTGCCCAAAAGAGAGGAAGTGCCCTGAGATGAGGCTCTGTGAGGAACTGAATGGCTGCAACCTCATGCCGGCCCCAGACGGGACCACGAACCACCGCCAGCCACACCAGGCAATGTGCAACGGGGTCCTCAGTGTGGCAGTGAAGCCTCCATGGACGAAGCAAGACGGGACGGAGCTTGCATGAATGGGCACAGGAGAGAACTCGGAGCCGGCCTACCTAAATCCCCGGCCGACTTGATGTCGATGTTGTCAAAACCACTGCCAATCCGGACGATGATGCGGAGGGCTTTGAACTTCTCCAGGTCCTCCCTGGTGAGAGTGATGGTGTGGTACATCAGGGCCCCCACAGCCTCGTTCAGGACCTGCAGCGAGAAAGCACACAGGCTCAGCCCGGAACCTGAAGACCCTCGGGCTTGGCCTTCGGGGGTGGGGCTGCCCCGGCTGGGAAATTAGCCTGTGGCCCTCAGGCTTGTTCCCCAAGCACCAGCCCGGACACTGGGAGAGGCTACATGAAGGCTTCCCCGCCACGCGCGGCCCCTCAACCTCTGCCCAGGCGTCCTGAGTCCCAGCAATTCCCACCGCAGCCTCCTCAGCCGCATGTAGGCTGCAGGCCGGCACTGGTCAGAGTTGCCCGCTCCCCACTGTGGTGGCTGAGATGTCTCCTTTTGAGCGTGCGCCCCACCGAGACTCTGCTCAGCCTTGTGGAAGAAACGGGGTCCCGCCTGGCGAGGACACAGGAGGGGGGGTGCGGCCACACCCAGGAAGGACACTGAGCAGGTGCAGCTGGGTGGGGTGGCCAGGGAACCTGAGACCTGCAGGCCCGGGGATGCAGGTAGAAAGTGGTAAGTCCCCGCGGCACACAAGCACGTCGGCGGAGGCAGGCAGACGCCACCCAGCCGTAAGGATACATCCACAGGAGCATGCACTGCCCCCGTGTCGCCCAAGAACCTGCCCAGAAATGCTGCCCCTGGCTGGCGAGGCTTGGGTCTGAGCAGTGTTCACAACAGTCACGTTTTTAATTTCAGTGTCCATGACAACTCTTAGACCGGAACAGCTCCCGCGAACAAAGACCTGGCACACAGCACAGCAGCCCAACCCTGGCGCCTCCACTCAGCCAGTACATGGCATCGCTGTGGTCACGGCCAACCCCACCCTGCCAAGGGCTCCCAGTTACCCCCAGCCCAGGGAGGGCAGGGGCAGTGTGGGGTGCAGAGGCACACAGGTGGAGGAAGTGCCCTAGGCCGAAGAACCAGGTGCAGCACTGGGCACAGGGTGGGGATGTGTGTGCACCACCTGCGCATCCACCCACACCCAAACACATCCACCCGCACACGTCCATCCCACACTCCCGTGCATGACAACGCCCACCCACGGGTGCAGAGATGCTCTGTGCGAACAGCCGTGGCTGAGGACACCAGGACATGCAGGCCTCGTCCACATGGGCATGTCCGAGTCCCCGGAGACACCAGTGAGCCTCCCATGTGGACATGACTCCCACCCACCACCTGTCCAGCGGGGCCCCAGGTACTCCTGACGGATCAATGGCGCAGGCTCAGCACAGAGGTTGCCGGGGCCTAGGTGGCGTCTTTCCCTCCCTTCCTGCCGAGCATGGAGCCTGTGGATCCCGGGCGGCAGTGCCTGGGTTGCTGGACCGCAGGGCGTCCTGTGGGAGCTGACCCTGCCTGGGTCCTGGGCAGAGCAGCTGGTGTTGGGCAGGCATACGTGGGCAGGGTGAGGGCAGCCCCCAGGAAGACGCTCACCACCCAGCTGCAACCCCTTCTCCTACAGTGCCCGGACCTCCAGCTTAGCCAGAACAGATGATTCCCTTTGAGGCTGGCACAGCCTCCCTTCCCTCCTGCCCACCGCAGGGGACCTAGAGGAGAGGACCATGGAGGACCACACAGACCAGGGCCACAGCAGAGGCTGGGCAGCAGGGGAGGGGAGCCCTGGGCTAGCCTGGGCATTCTCCAGGAAGAAGGGAAGGTTGGAGCACCTCGGCTGCAGGAGGCAGGGAGGCATCTACCCGGACCACAGAGGAACAGGTGTGTGTAACACTCATCAGTTCATGGACAGGGCTGATGGCTGCCCCGGGCCTCCTGGGAGGGCTTTGAGGCTGCATGCATGCAGACCCCTGGTGCACCAGACGCAGTGTGGACGGGGTGACCCCTGGTGCACCAGATGCAGTGTGGACGGGGTGAACCCTGGTGTACCACACTTGACCAGACGTAGTGTGGACGGGGTGAGGCCACAAGGACAGCATGGGCAGGCAGAGGCCAGCAGTGGGCGACTGGTGCACAGCTGTGGTGGAGGCGAGCGGTGCGGCCAGGAAGACCCCTGCGCTGCGTGGACTGGAGATGGGCGCCCACACACCAAGGAGGTGCTTCGGGCAGCCTGGCAAAGCAGCCGCAGCTAAGAGAGAGTCACCTGCAGATGAAGCTTCGTCGGCACCCACTGTGGGCAGGAGGGGCTGCGCATGCGAGCGGTGGGCAGAGGCGCAGTGGGAGATGGGCCCTGGGGTCAGGGACAGGCCTGGTGCCAGACGTGAGCCCGGGGGGCTGGCCTGGGCAGCTGGATGTGCAGGGGCCACTTCCACAGTGTGTGTGCAGAGGCTCGGCATGGACAGGCTGGACAGACCCACACCACACAGGCTTGTGTGTACGCAGGCAACAGCCTGCTTTCACCCGGAGCACTGGCCACGGGCCTCGAAAAGTCGATTCTGAACCGCGGCACGTCACCTCCCGCACATTCGGAGGAGACAGCGATCAGATTCACGTGAATATGACGAATATTCATCCGCGCAGCCTTAAGGTTGCTTCCTGCATCGGCTCTTCCGTGATGAAAATCTATCTCATCTAGGTAAGCTCGGAGAAGCCGAAGCGTGCGCCGGCCAAGGGCCCTCCTTTGGGCTCCGGGCGCGCCCACCCAGCTGAGCTGTGAAGCGCAAGCTGCCTCCCCGACGAGGCTTTCATCACTTGCCTGTGCACGATTCTTAATACACTTTTTTCAGGTCCTTGCCCTTTTCCCTACTGAATACAGGTTTAACAACATAGTATTAGGTGAAAGCATTCTCACTACAGGAATCTGAACATGGCTGGGGCACCCCATGCCCCGACCTCCACCACGTACCAGGTTGGCCTGTGCTCAGCTGCAGGGCCACAGCTGCTAGCATGTGCGCTTTACCACGTGGCGGCCACGTCATCCACAGGTCCACAGGCCAGGGTGCCACAGCGGCTCAGCCTCAGGGTCTACCTTCCTTTCCCCCTCGTGGCTGCCACGTGGCTGCTCCACCCCGCCTGTTGCATTGGTCTCCCACGGAGAAAGTCTGCAGGAGGTGGGTGCAGCCAGGTGTGTCCCTTTAGATCGGGGCCCAGCAGCCTCCCAGAAACCACCTCAAGCCAACACCCACTGATGTGTCCCCTCCACCGCCAGGGGCTCAGCCCCACTCTGCTCAGTGCCCTCAACTCCAGTGCTCAGAGCAGGCTGGGGAAAGCTGGGTGCCCAGGAAGCTCGGCTGCCACCGGGCTGGAAACAGACCCCAGGACGCTCCTGGTGGCAGCTGGCTCTTGGGGGTCAGGAAGGGGCCCGCCAAGCCCACCTCCTGCCATGCAGTTCTGCCACCTGCTTCTGTGCTCAGGACTCGACGTCGCACTTACCTTTCCAGACCTCGTGCACAGGGGTGGCTTACTCTGTGAAACTGCTGCTCACATCAGGTCACCATCAGGGCAGATGTTTCTCTACGACACGCAGCCACATGCAGGCCCAGGGTGGGGCTGGGCTGAAGACCGCAGGTTTCAGATTTCCAGAGAAACTGCCAAAGCACCATCGAGACCGGCACGGCCGTTTCTATCCCACATGAAGGGCCAGGCCCAGGCTCCCTCAGCACGGCTGGTGCAGGGCTCAGCGCAGGCCAGGCCAGGGGTTACCGGCGGTGCCTGCTGCACCTGTGAGAACCCAGGAGGCGCACCCCGGTTCTCATACACCGCTCTGTCTGTACCAAACGCCACCGCCCTCATCCATTTTCTGTCGGGATTTTTCTGTTTCTACTGATTGGGAGGAGTCTTTGAATATATAAACTTTTTCATTTACTTATTTTACAGACAGGACCTCGCTGGACTGCAGTGGTGTAATCATGACTCGCTGCAGCCTTGACCTCCTAGGCTGAAGCGATCCTCTGGCCTTGGCCTCTGGATACGCTGGGATGACAGGCACAGCCCCTGCACCAGCTCTGAGTGTTATCAGACATTCACCCTTAGGCTGGCACACAAATTGAAAATACCCAACCCCTACCTCTCCCGTTTTTATTTTTTAAATTTATTTTGCTATGTCATTCTTTCTTTTTTTCCTTTTTGAGACAGAGTCTTGCTCTGTTGCCCAGGCTGGAGTGCAGTGACACGATCTTGGCTCACTGCAACCTCTGCCTCTTAGGGTCAAGAGGTTCTCCTGCCTCAGCCTCCTGAGTATCTTGGACTACAGGCGCGCACCACCACGCGTGGCTAATTTCTATATTTTTAGTAGAGACGAGGTTTCACCATGTTGCCCAGGCTGGTCTTGAACTCCTGACCTCAAGTGATCCACCCGCCTCAGCCTCCTAAAGTGCTGGGATTATAAGCGTGAGCTGCTGCACCCCACCTTGCAATGCTGTTACTTCTAATTGCCATTTAATTAAAGTGACCTTTTCCTCTGTAGTATCACATTTTCCACAGAAAACATTGTATGTTCTGTATTGTCATAACCTCAGGTAATAAACACATTCTCTTGCAAGCGTTCCTCTAACTGCTCTTCATTCAAACACGTGGCCGCTTCAGTAGGCAGCGAGCATCTGTGGTGGGGGGAGCTGCTGCAGTTCCTGAACGGCCACCCCAGGGGCCCCAGAATTCACCGACTCCCCAGTCCTCGGCCCACACACCTGAAAAGCCACTGCCTGAGTCCTTGGGTCCTGCTGGGTGGGATTGTCTCTGATCCTCTGTCCTGTCTACTCTTGGTGGTACCAACACTGCCCAACTGGATCTTCTAGACCTGAGAGGGGGTCCTGGGGTCTGGACATGCCCTGCGGGGGTCGCACTGCACCCGAGGCTCAGCTGGGCACTGGGCAGTCTGCCTGGAAACAGGCCCCTGCATACGGTGATGGGGTCTCTGTCCTCTTGGTCCTAGAAGCGACTGTGACCCGGTATTAAGGTCAGAGCCCACGGCAGCCCGTCTCTGTGCCAGCCGCCAGCAAGAGACCGAGGGGCTCCAGGCCTGTCCTACACTCCATTACCATGACAACGCCAGCTTGTGTGTTTTTCCCAGTCACCATGACAACGCCTGCTTGTGTGTTTTTCCGGGATTTCTAATCACTTCGTTTCCTGCACAGCCCCAGCACCTCTGTCTGGCGGAGCTTTCTGGTGGCCTCCCCACCCCCAAGGCGTGGAGATGCTTGTCTTGCAGGAGTGCAACTGTCCAGCTGGCTGCAGGTCCTCGCAGGCCACTGCGTCCTGTGCCCTCCCGGAGCCGCCCTGCCGCTCCAGGCCCCGCAGCCCACACCGGACGCAGCCTCCAGGCTCCAGGGCTTCCTTTTTCTTGCTCAGCAGTTTGATCAGATGTGCAGTGCTGGGCTGAAAACCCTTCTCCTGTGGAAATTCCAAAGCAGGCGAGTGGGGCTGGGCTGAGTCTTGTGTCCCGGTGGGTGACATCCCCCACCCGTGGTATCAGTAAAATCCCAGTCCTGAACCTGAACACTGGGGCGCCTCCCAGGCCCCGACATTCTTCCCGCTCCTCCTGTGACCGCACTGACGGTATCACGTTCTCTCCCTCCACGGCACTCAGACGGCGGCGACCTCCAACCAGCTATGCGGGAAGTTTCTGCCCCAGGAGGCAGAATTCCTGACTAACAGTGGCACACAAAGCAGGTGTTCAGTTTCCTCCCACGCCAAAGCCTGGAGACAGGGAGCCTGCGGCCCCGCTGCCCTCTCCACAGCCACGAGGGTCCCTGCCTCCTGCCTTGTTGCTCCACGGTTCCCAGCACGTGGCTCCCCTCACAGTCCAAGGTGGCTACCCCGGGTTCCAGCCAGCAGGGACGAGGAGGGGACGGCAGGGAGAGGCCCTGCTCCCCTCTGTTCTGGAGCTCAATCCTTTGGCCACCCCTAGTGGCAAGAAAGCGTGGGCAGCCAAGTCCTCCCACAGGACCACACACTGCGAAACGCGGACTCGGCATCCAGGCAGCCCCTGCAGACTCCACACACAGCCCCGGGAGGTCACGGCTTCTCTTCACCTCTCTGGCTTCTGCAATGTCCCTGTGTCTTTGAGCTTCCTGTTTTTATGAGATTTTCACTCATGTTTTTAATTTCAAGCTCTCCTAGTTCTTGGGGGCTCCTTTCTGTGGCGCCGGCTCTGCTTCTGGTTAGGGGCTGCTTCAGGCCCCTCCAGGATGCCAGGACGGTTCCCAACACTCTCGTCTCTTCCAAGAATCCAGCTGCATCCCCTGGGGCAGTTTTCTGTGTATTTATGTTGTCCTTTCTCTGCCCTGGGCTGTGCAGCCTGGGTGGGGAGCAGGAAGTCTGTCTCATGCCAGGGCCCACGCCGGCCCCACCCCAACCACTGATCTGCATTTTATATGAACCTGTCAAGGCAGTTTGGGATTACTGCAATTTTAGAAAAACATCTGTTTTGCCTTAGCTTTCCAATTTGTTGGCAAAACTGTTTGAGTATTGTTTACGACACCAAAAGTTTTCTACGAGCCTCTTTTTTATTCTTACGTGTGCATCTTTAATACAAATCCAGCTTCCCAATGAGAAAACCGTACCTAACAAAGGGCACTGTCCAAACCGAGCTGGTGCCACACAACTCCCTCAGGTGTGCACCACGGGCAGTTCACCCACAGCCCCTTGCATGCGTGTGGACATGCCCACGTGACGTGCCAACGTGCCCATGTGCCGATTCCAGACACCGGCCTGCCGGCGGCCCCCCCACCTACACCCCGGGCCACTGTTTCCGTCACGCTAATCCTATCACCTGGGGATGAAGAGATCATACAGTGTGCACCCCTTGAAACCAGCTTCTTCACTCGCCATCATGCTGCCGAGATCACCCAGGGTGTGGCAGGGACCCAGCGTTCATGCCTGTTGCTGAGGAGGACACCGAGGGAGGTGGCCAGCATTTGCCTGGCCACTCACCCACTGAAGGACAGCCGGTGGGGGGCGTCCTTCTGGTTTGGGCTATGGTGAGTTAAGCTGCTAGGGAGCATGACGTGCAGGTCTGTGTGTGGACGCGCATTCCGAGTCTCCGGGATAAAGGAGTGTGGCCACTGGGCTGCATTACAAGCACGCATCTACCCGTGTGAGAAACCATGAAGAATCTTCCAGAGCGAACGCCCCAGCAGACGCTCCCGGCAGACCACGCGCATTTTTAACATCAGATTTTCTTCCGTCCATTTTGGAAAGGGTTTTGCTGTCATCATCACTTCCAACCCCTTCCCTCTCCTGTTCTGAAGTTTCTGCAAGAGCGACCCTTCCTCATCTCGCCCTCTCCCGCGTTCTCTCCTTCCCTCCTGTCCGCTGCCGCCTGGTCAGCTGGTAAACCCGCCCCTCAGTTCCACCGATCAGCTTCGCCGTTTTCTCAGATCCGCATCTCATTTTCTCCCCTAACGCTGCTACGCCCCGTTCCAGAGTCATCAGCTCTTCGTCGGTGTCTGGCCCAGCCTCCTGGGGGCTGGGCTGGGGTGATCGGCTCGTGGGCAGCACGGGGAGCTCCTGCGGGTGGCACTGCTTCCCTGGCTTCTGCGTTTTGCGCATCTCCTTGACTGCCTGGTTACCTCTGTTTGCATGTGATGGACCCCGCACCAGATGGTGATTTGTAGAAATGACCCGAGGCCTCGGCTGACGCTGTCTTCCTCTAAAGGGGCCGTCTTACTTCTTTTGCCAGGCACCTGGGGCCGGCAGTGCGGGGTCCCCAAAAATCCAGATTCAAGGTTTCCTGGACATCAGCAGGCTGGGTGCCGATCGTGTGGCGCGTCAGAGTCCAGGTCACCCTCACTCCAGATGTCACCTTTCAGGCCATGGATATCCCGGCAGGGCCCCACACCCAGCAGGCCAGTGATGCCACCAAAGCCAAATTCAGCCTCTCAGCTACTTCTTCCAGAACAGCCAACACCCCAGGCCAGAGTTGGCAAGGCCCGCCCGTTCCTGCAGGTTATAGGCCTCTCCAGGCTGCAGCCTGGGCCTGGCCCTATCCTGTGAGCTCCTGGGGGCCCAGCTTCTTCGTCTGTCTTCAGGGAAAAGCTGCTCTGAATCACTGATCCCTGGCTACAAGTAGAAGCCAGACCAACCTAGTTCTCATCACGGAGGAGCCTGTGGGTCTCCTGAGCAAACAAGAATCAGGAAAGCTGCCCAAAGGCTGCTCACTGCTGGACCAAAGCCAGGCCGCGGGCAATGCCGAGACCGCCCGTGTGAAGACCGCCGCGCAACTGGGGCCGGGGGAAGCACCTTACTCCACCCCCGCCACAAAAGCTGGCATCCCGAGGACCTGCTCTCTGGGAAAAAACTGAAAATGAATCAAGAAGCCACAGGGCAAACCCGGTGTCCACCTCCTGATGGGGCTCAGGACAAACCGAGTGTCCACCTCCTGATGGGGCTCAGGACAAACCCCGTGTCCACCTCCTGATGGGGCTCAGGGCAAACCCGGTGTCCACCTCCTGATGGGGCTCAGGGCAAACCCGGTGTCCACCTCCTGATGGGGCACAGGGCAAACCAAGTGTCCACCTCCTGATGGGGCACAGGGCAAACCAAGTGTCCACCTCCTGATGGGGCTCAGGACAAACCCGGTGTCCACCTCCTGATGGGGCTCAGGGCAAACCGAATGTCCACCTCCTGATGGGGCTCAGGACAAACCCGGTGTCCACCTCCTGATGGGGCTCAGGGCAAACCGAATGTCCACCTCCTGATGGGGCTCAGGGCAAACCCGGTGTCCACCTCCTGATGGGGCTCAGGGCAAACCCCGTGTCCACCTCCTGATGGGGCTCAGGAGAAACCGAGCGTCCATCTCCTGATGGGGCACAGGGCAAACCCAGTGTCCACCTCCTGATGGCGCTCAGGACAAACCGAGTGTGGGGCTCAGGGAAAACCCCGTGTCCACCTCCTGATGAGGCTCAGGAGAAACCGAGTGTCCACCTCCTGATGGGGCACAGGGCAAACCGAGTGTCCACCTCCTGATGGGGCTCAGGATAAACCGAGTGTCCACCTCCTGATGGGGCACAGGGCAAACCGAGTGTCCACCTCCTGATGGGGCTCAGGACAAACCGAGTGTCCACCTCCTCATGGGGCTCAGGGAAAACCCGGTGTCCACCTCCTGATGGGGCTCAGGACAAACCGAGTGTCCACCTCCTGATGGGGCTCAGGGAAAACCCCATGTCCACCTCCTGATGGGGCTCAGGGAAAACCCCGTGTCCACCTCCTGATGGGGCTCAGGACAAACCCCGTGTCCACCTCCTGATGGAGCTCAGTGAAAACCCGGTGTTCACCTCCTGATGGTGTGCAGGGAAAACCCCGTGTCCACCTCCTGATGGGGCTTAGGACAAACCCCGTGTCCACCTCCTGATGGGGCTCAGGACAAACCCTGTGTCCACCTCCTGATGGGGCTCAGGGAAAACCCGGTGTTCACCTCCTGATGGGGCTCAGGACAAACCCCGTGTCCACCTCCTGATGGGGCTCAGGACAAACCCCGTGTCCACCTCCTGATGGGGCTCAGGACAAACCCCGTGTCCACCTCCTGATGGGGCTCAGGGAAAACCCCGTGTCCACCTCCTGATGGGGCTCAGGACAAACCCCGTGTCCACCTCCTGATGGGGCACAGGGCAAAACGAGTGTCCACCTCCTGATGGGGCTCAGGGAAAACCCCGTGTCCACCTCCTGATGGGGCACAGGGCAAACCGAATGTCCACCTCCTGATGGGGCTCAGGACAAACGTGGTGTCCACCTCCTGATGGGGCACAGGGAAAACCCCGTGTCCACCTCCTGATGGGGCTCAGGGCAAACCCGATGTCCACCTCCTGATGGTGTCCAGGGAAAACCCCGTGTCCACCTCCTGACGGCGCGGGACGACTGGGACAGAGGCTGCTCCTGCCCCAGTGGCACCCAGACCTGCTGTGGCCCGGGCCTGCCGTGCTCCCGTCCCTCCAACTCCCCCCAACGTGCGGTTCTGCCAGCCCCAGGCGACCACGTGGTGGTACCTTCTCATGGATCTCCTGCGTGGACTGCGCGTCGCAGAAGGCCACAGTGGCCACGTCCTTCAGGATGGGCATCTCCACTGTGCAGTCCCGGCCATCCAGCAATGCCACCAGGGGCCGCGGGTGCAGGGGCCCGTTCATGATCGGAGGTCGGACGCCTGCAAGACAGAGGCAAGTGCTCAGCCTTGCACCACTGCGGCCCCGTGGCTACAACCCACTCCACGCCACCCACTGTGCACGGGCCAACGAGGGCCGACCGCCGGGGGTTTTCTGGTCTATATGTTGTGATATTTGTAAAAAGTAAATTAAAAATCCACGTGAAAGACAACTCGTGTGTGCCTCAGCTCGCTGACTCAAGTGGACACAGACTGTGGACACCCACTACCATCTCCCTTGGGCACAGGACCTCCGAGACCCTCCAAGTCCCCTCCGAGACCCTCCAAGGCCCCTCCGAGATCCTCCCAGACCCTCTGAGACCCTCTCACACCCTCCAAGACCCTCCGAGACCCCCCAAGAAATCTCCAGACCCTCTGAGAACCTCCCAGACCCTCTGAGACTCCCCAAGACATTTCCAGACCCACCGAGACACCTCCCGACCCTCCTAGGCCCTCCAAGACCCTCTGAGACCCCCCGAGACCCTCCCAGACCGTCCGAGACCCCAGGGCAGCTCCATGAGGCAGGGGGACAGGAGGGACCCAGGACACTGGAGGACACAAGATGACAGCACGGGACTTTGGGAACATGGTTGTCCCTTTCCTGCCTGGGCTACCGCGTGGCTGCCCGGAATCCCTGATGGGGTCACCAGTGTTTCACGTAGGACGCCCCCAACCCTCTGCCTGGCATTACTTCCAATTATAGATGTGAAGAGAAAAGAAACAGAACAAAGGAAGAAAAGGGTTAAAACCTGTTAAAGTCCACTCTGTGCCCCTGACCTTCCCAGAACCAGATGATTAAAGCTCATTAACACCCATTCCTTTCGCGTATGACGCAACTAAGCCTCATCGGGGCCAACTGGAGAAATAAGGGCTCTGAGGCGTCACAGAAGCATGGCAGCTTCCAGGCACCGCCCGACCGCCCCGTGCCAGGCAGGGAGCACCAGGTGGGGCCACTGTCAGCCCCACGGCAGCTGGGCAGAGGCGGAGCTGGGGCCAGGGCCCAGCCGGTCCCTCCCCTCCTCCTCCAAAGACCGGCCACAGGAGACCAAGCAGTACCCAGGACCGTTCGGCCAGCAGGAGGGGAGGCGCACGACAGAACCAAGGAGCAGAGTGACCCAGCAGGCTCTCCAGTGGCCGCGGCCACAAGCACGCTCGGCCCAGTCTCCCGCCCCATCCGCTGCCCCATCCGCCTGCAGGTGAGCAGAGGCCACCGAGCTGCCAGTATCCAGGAAGCAGGGAAGTGCCTCCTGGAACCCATGGCAGAGAAAAGAAATGCTCTGGTGGACAGCCCAGGGGTGCAGTGGGCCTGCAGCACACGCCTGCAGGGGACGGGGCATGGGTCTCCACTGACCACCCCAAAGCCGAGGGCTCCCAGTACGGCTGGGCCCATGCCCCTCCCGTGAGGTCCTCGCGCCCTGGCGTCCTCGGAGGAGCCACTGGCCATTCCACCCACTTTCCTTCAAGATAGGAAACCAGATCCCAAACGTGAGGTCTGCACGGTCAAAACCGCGTCCTGGTTCGCCTGTTCCTTCATTCCCTCTGGACGGGAGCTGCCCACGAGCACCATAGACAGGCCGCCCAGTGACACTGTACATGGCCTCCCTCTGCACGTGGCCTCCCTCCCCGCTGTGTGTGGTGGTGATGACTTCTCATGAGCAGAAAGGTTTATGTTGCTGTTTCTGAGTGAGTGGATAGACATCCGCTCTCAGTATCCTTGGATTTCACTTCTGATGAGGAAGGCATGGACACACGGGATCACTGCAGACCGCTCGGCTGCGTCAGAACCGCCTGGGGGGACTCCTGGGTGCTGGGTGAGTGGGAACCGGGTCCCTCGTCAGAACCGCGTGGGGGACTCCCGGGTGCTGGGTGAGTGGGAACCGGGTCCCTCGTCGGAACCGTGTGGGGCACTCCCGGGTGCTGGGTGAGTGGGACCGGGTCCCTCGTCGGAACCGCCTGGGGGGACTCCCGGGTGCTGGGTGAGTGGGAACCGGGTCCCTCGTCGGAACCGCGTGGGGGACTCCCGGGTGCTGGGTGAGTGGGAACCGGGTCCCTCGTCGGAACCGCGTGGGGGACTCCCGGGTGCTGGGTGAGTGGGAACCGGGTCCCTCGTCGGAACCGCGTGGGGGACTCCCGGGTGCTGGGTGAGTGGGAACCGGGTCCCTCGTCGGAACCGCGTGGGGGACTCCCGGGTGCTGGGTGAGTGGGAACCGGGTCCCTCGTCGGAACCGCGTGGGGGACTCCCGGGTGCTGGGTGAGTGGGAACCGGGTCCCTCGTCGGAACCGCGTGGGGGACTCCCGGGTGCTGGGTGAGTGGGAACCGGGTCCCTCAGCTGAACGGTGGGGAGGGGGGAGCAGGTGGAGACACCAAGCCCCATCAGGCTCAGGCACCCAAGGTGCCTCCTCACATCACCCATGAGCTGCCCCTGACCACCGTGCCAGGGTTCCCCGGACAGCCCACCCTTGCAGGCTTGGGGACACACCCAGGAGGCTTCACAGTCACACGGCCTGTGCTGAAGCAGGCTTTGCAGCATCCCCCAAGCCCAAGGCTGTTTCCGACTGCACGCACTTCCGGGCCAGAGAGCGCAGACCAACCACAAGGAACAGCTCCACAGGGGCCACGGCCCTGCTCCTGGGCCAGCCGGGTGGACACCTGAGATTTCCAGGGTTCCGTGTGGGGCTCCACCCTCGTGCTGGCGGCCTCCACATGGAGGCCCTCCGTGCCTCTCAGACACTTTCCGACAGAAACAGACAGCAGATGCCACGGACAGGCCTGACCACAGCTGTGCTCTGCCACCAGGTGTGCAGGAAGCCCTCCCTCGAGGGGCACCTGACCTCGCCCAGAGCACACCGGGGGTCAGGTGGCAGCAGTCCGGCCCGACGCCCATGCAGCCCAGGTCCCTCGACTTGATCCGAGGCAGTGCCTCCTCCACACGGTCGCAAAGAGACCGGCCGGCTTCACTCTGCCGCCGACGCCAGGAACCCCTACCAACCTGACATCTCTTAATATGGGCTCAGCTTCCACGACCATGAATTCGACTTTTCAAAGCTTTTTATCTTCAGGATCCCCAGGCAGAACCGCGTCCTGTCTCGGAGCCTCATCCCACGTCCTTAATTGTCTCGAGCCAAAGTGCTCAGGCTTCTGATCCGCGGCAATCACTGAAGCCTGCGTCGGGGTCAAAGTCTTACTAAAAATCAAACACAAGAGACACATTAAAATGCCATCGAAGGTCCGACCAGAACTCACAGACTCCAGGGAACGCCTCAGAAGTGGACCTCACTGCATCTGCCACACCCGGGACTGCTGTCTGGGACCTACCTGGACTCGGGGGCCTGCTGACAGCCAGGGGCCCCGGCTCCTGCCGCACACACGAAGGGCGCTCACCCTGAGGTTGCAGTGCCAGGCCCGAGGCCGCGCCCCTGTGGCCCCGAGGCCTACTCCTGGGAACAGTCCCCCAGGGCTGCGGCCACCCCCACAGGCTCTAGCCGCATCCAGATGTCCCCAGTGTCCAAGAACCAGGGGACGGAGGGCACAGGGTGTGTGCTGTGGGCAGGGAAACTGCGGAAAGGCTCTGCCTCCTGTTCTGGAAGCTTCTATCTCATGTCACTGATTCCCGGGCCTCTGTGACCAGGCAAGGACGTGGAACTTCCCAGGAGCCACCGGGAGAGGTGCTGCTGGCTTTCCAGCATCCAGCCTGGCACTGCCTGCACTGAGCCGCGCCGGCTCCACCTCCGACCCTCAGTGCATCCTGGCGACGCTCCCTCAATTCTCCCAAAAAAACTGCTCAGCTCTTCCTGACCGCTACGGCCAGGGCCTGGCGGGAAGCTGAGGGCACGAACCCCAGTGGCTGAATGCACAGGGGCAGGGGGCCCCTGAGAGGGCCAAGCCTTCCAGTAGAGGCTTGAGAGTGCACACGATCGCCCAGCCCTCGGGAGGGTGTCACTGAGCTGCCCACACCTGGCCCCTGCTCTGGCATGAAGACACAGCACCGAGGCTGACCCCAACGTGCAGCTGACATCAGGCTGACCAGGACAGGAGCCGGCCACCACCAGCCCAGCAGCATGGCAGGCGTGGGCTGAGACGACTGCCTGCCAGGCCAGAAGGGGCCACTCAGCCAAGCCTAAGACCCTGGTAGTGTGCTGTGAGGCCGCCCCTGCGCAGAGGCCTCGCAGACAAATCTCCAACCCTCAACTCCCTCTGCAGGATTCAAGCATACATGCCGACCATCTCCAGCTTCCAGAGACACCATCACAGGGGCTGGGGTGCAGCCCCACGCACGCACCTCCCATCCAGGGTCCCCAACACCACTCCTCATGGCAGGTGCTGTGTGGGACTCCCTGACGGAGGGCCCAAGAGCAACACTGTGGAGCGGGATCCCCATCACCTGCGCCTGAGCCCCCATGACCTGCGCTGCAGCCTCCTGCCCTGAATGCCAGATCTCCCCATGGTACCCGGATACCACATAAAAACAAACTAAAAGGACAGGAGAAAACCGCCTAAATGTCACATTTCACCCACGAGCCAGCCTGGCCAGGGGGCAAGGCACCGCGCCACCCACGCCCAGCCAAACTCATCAATGCCAGCCGATACTCATCAACGCCAGCCGATACTCATCAATGCCAGCCGATACTCATCAACGCCAACCGATACTCATCAATGCCAGCCAATACTCATCAATACTGGCCAAACTCATTGATACGGGCCAATACTCATTGATACCGGCTGATACTCATTGATACCAGTCAATACTCATCAATGCTACCCACGGTGGCCCAGTACCGGCTGCTGCTCGTCAAGACCGGCCAATACTCAATACTGCCCACAGCAGCATGGCACCAGCCGCTGCTCCTGGAGGATCATCGATACCCATCAATGCTGCTCAATGCTTATCTATACTGGCCAGTACGTGCCCACACCTGTGTCTCTGAGGAAGAAGCAGATGTGTGAAGGCCACCCTGGCCCTCCTGAAAGGACCCTGCAGTGAGGAGGCCGTGAGCTCCCGAGCTGAGGAACCTGTGGCAGGGCTCCTGGGGCCCTGCACTCCCTGGGCTAGCCCTGCCAGACCTGAGGGGCTGCACCCCATGCCACAGGGACTTCCTGTGGTTCCTTGTTCCAAGGCTGCTCCAGTTCAGGACAGACACCTGAGGCCCAGCACCTGGTTCTCCTCCAGGGACCTCTGTCTCAGAAACAGCCCTGGGGTAGGTCTGCCCACCATCTGCACCACCCTGGGGCCACTGTGCACCCACAAAGCGCCCCCTGCCGGGCCACACCTGCCCCACTGAGAGCCAGTGTCCGAGTCCTGGAGCCCTCACCTAGGGCAATGCCAGAGGCCCTGCGCACCTCACGCCAGGGAGCTGGCCTCCTACGGCCTTCCTGGCTGGCCGGTCAGGGTCAAGGGCTCCAGCTCTGTACCTTGCCCACACACTCCGAGGTGAAGGCACACGGCTCCCAGAGGGGCCTGTGCTGTCCAAATCCAGGACCCACACTGCTTTTCCTCATCAAAAACTCACAGCCGCACACGGCTCTCAGCCCAGCGACACGAGGACAGTCTCCAGCTTCTCACCCTGCAGACGCTTAACCTCATGTTGTAAGAAAGCACTCAAGGGACCCACGAGGGAAGTGAGTGTAGAGCACATGGAAGCTTGTGCTTCCTATTTTCCTGTAAATCTAAGACTGCTCTAAAACAAAAACTGATTTTAAAGTAAATGGGGGTGAGGTGAGGGGCAGCAGCCCCCAGGTTCTCTGGAGGCATCAAGTCCCGGGGGGCTGCACGGTGGCGGCCCGATGACCCCAGAGCCTCCTGGCCACATGTCAACGCCCTGTCTCTGGATGCACATCACCATCTGCTTGCCGGATCCTCCCTCCTGTTGGCCACGCCTGCCCACTCCGCCCCGATCCACGTGTGTGCTGGGCATCGGTCCATTCTGGTCTGGAGAGGGACCGGGTTGCCCCGGCACACTGGGGGTCACCATGGGCTGGGACCTGCCCCGATCCAGACAGCCACAGTGGGTCTCTGGGCACTGGGGGGGGGGTGTTCCAGGAAGTCCCAGGGGGCACCAAGATGCGCCAGGACCAAGCAGCTACCCCTGTTCCTTCCCCAGCCTCAGCACCTGGTCCTCATCCCCGCCTGCTCAGACCCAGGCTCGGCAGCTACCAACCCTCCACGTCCCTCCACTGGCCAGCCCTGCTGGGCCAACCGGTCCGCTCCCCTCCCTCACGACCTCCACCAGGACAGTGTCCCAAAAGCTCCTCCTCACCAACCCCATCTTCTTCCCCCTCCCCACAGCAGCCCCTAAAGCCGCTGCCCAGGAAGGGCTCCCCGACCACCAGAAGGGCACCCTAAGGCTGGGTGGTCTCAGCGGCCCTCACCCTGCCCTGTCCCCATAAGCCCTGATTACTCCGGGCTCGAGTGGCCCTCTCGTGACAAAGCTGCCCTGCCGTGAGTCCCCGGCAGCCATCTGGGCATTGGTGAGATGCCCCCTCTGGCTGTCCAGGCCTGGAGGCCCAAAGACTAGGGCCTGGCGGTGCTGCCCAGCCAGGGGCTGACATGAACGAAGGCTGTGCACAGCCTGACCCGGAGCCTTCCAGTCCTGAGATACAGCCACCTGCCGCCCAGAGAAAACTGAGGCCCTGCCCTGCAATGGCAGAGAAGGCAGGCCCCCAAGAGGGAGCCGCACAGCAGCATGGAGCCACTGGGCTGAGAGCACGGGGCCAAGAGAACCTCCCCCAGACAGACAAGGCCCGTCACCCACAGGTTGAAACAGCTCCTCCGACGACAGCACCCCAGACAGACACTGCCCAAGTCATCCACGAGCCGATACGGCACCTTGGACGGCAGCATCCCTGTGAGCCAGGGAGCCACCGCACTCCACGGGGCCTGCAGGGCCGCATCACAGCTCAGAGGACACAGCGCAGGGGCTGTGATCAAAGGCATGGATTTGCCAGCAAGATTCCTCTCCAGGACATCCGTGGAGCCGCACGTTTCCCTGTTTGTTCAGCGAGCACATGCACACAACCTGTGAGCTCCAGGAACCCCCAGAACGCCACCTTCCTGGCTCCTACCACATGTGGGGTATCAGGGCTACACCTTCCTCCCCTTCCCAACACAGTCTACACACGACACCACTGGAGAGACAGCCTCGGATGCCTCTGAGGCTCCTGCCAGCCACGCAGACAGGGCAGCCCAGGAGCCCCCACACCACAGACGGGCGGCAGGTCAGGGTGGCACAGGAGGGCACGGTGACACGGGCGGCAGGGAAGAGTGGCACGGGAGGGCAGGGTGACACGGGCGGCATAGCAGAGTGGCATGGACGGGCAGGGTGACACGGGCGGCAGGGCAGGGTGGCACGGGTGGGCAGGGTGGCACGGGCGGGCAGGATGGCACAAGCAGGTCAGGGTGGCACGTGTGGGTAGGGTAGCACGGGTAGGCAGGGTGGCTTGGGCCACACCAGGCCTGGAGAGTTAACGGCGGTGCCAGGGGAGGGTGCAGAAGGGGCCTGGTCCCAACACCGCCCACACCTCTCTCAGGGCCATAGCCCCAACGCCTCCCCAACCAAACCAACTGGGCTTCCCTCAGGGCCATCCTCACTCTCCTTCAACACCCGTGAGAACTGGTACCACCTGGGGCCGCCCAGAGAGACAACTCAAGGTTAACGTTTGGCTCGGCAAAGAGCCACCAAGAAATTTCTGGCTTCACAGGGAAAAAAACGAACATTTCCTTGTGGGAGATACCACATGGAATGTGTGGCCGGAGGGGCTTCTGGAAACGATGGTCAGTGACGCAGGTGGCACCTTGTGGGTTACCACGACCCAGTGCGGGGGAGAGCAGTGGGCTCCGGCCACTGCAGCTGACAATGGAGGACCCGGGGGTCCAGACACTCCCGGCACAGAGCTCTTACCCACAACTACCAACATCCAGCGACCACCAGAGGACCCTGGCGCTCCACCCGGCGCTCCGACCAGCGTTCCCTTGGGCGATGCAGTTCAACCACAGAACCCGTATGACACTGCCTGCTGCCTCTACCACCTCCTGGCCACCCCTGGGCCCTGGGCCAGGCCTGCACCGTCAGCACCACCTGGATGGAGCCCTCTCCAGCCCCCAGTGGAGTGGGAAACATTAAGTCCTTCTACAAGGAGAGTCAACCGGGGTAAACACCTCACAGGGCACACACCTTTGACTTGGGCACTGCATGGGGAGCACCAGGGCACAGCCGGGCACAAAGTGCTGCCTGAAGAGTTCTCAGCAACACTAGTGGTGCCAGCCACACGCCTCTTGGCTCAGTGACACCACCGTCAGCTCAGACCAGGTCACATTCTGGGGGTACTGGCCGCAGGAAGTTGAGAGGGCAAGTGACAGTCAGAGGAGAAAAACCAGAAAAACTGCCAGGCTGGTGGGGAACCAGGTGTGGCTTGACGGCCACCTCTAAGCCCCGAGGGAAGAGACTGGGCCTCTCGAGCCTGGGGCCCGTTTCCTGGAGAGCATGACTACTTCTGTCCAGGGTTCCTCCAGAAAAAATTTATTAACAGAATGATGGTTAACAGTTGCTGTCTGCTTACACTACAAATGTCCAAAGAGTGGGGGGCTCCCAGCCCTTGGGGGAGGCAGACAGGACGAGCCAGCACTTCCAATCCCACCAGGACATGGCAGGGGGCCGGCTCTGCGCCAAGCCCACAGGACTGGACCAAGGCTCGTCCCACTCATCAGAGGGACAGGACCAGCCCACAGTCCTGTGCACCCCGGGCCAAGCCTCTCCTCCCCCACTGCCACGTTCTCAGGTTAATGACAAGCGAGTAAAAGGGAAGATCCTACTCGCTGACATCCCCAACCACACGCCCACCTCTCAGAACTAACAGCTGCCCTGGTCAAGGCTGACAGGAAGAAGTGCATGTTGGGGACATGGCAGACACCCCAAAAATGGCCGGGCAGGCGGACGAGGCACCCCCAGGAGTGACCAGATGCCACCCCCAGTGCGTGTCCCTCCCAGAGCTCTGCAGAGGACGCCTGTATGGAAGCAGGTGCTCAAAGATGGGCAACAGAATCACAGAGAGCAAAAGGCGTCTGCGGAGCCGACAGCCCCAACCAGGAGCCAAACCCAGACCCCAGAGGGAGGTGGCCAGGCCCGGGCAGGCAGGGGAGACCTGGGAGGCCGGGTGCTGAGGCCCAGGGCAGAGCCACGCCCTACAAAGTTCCAGGACACAGAAAGGGGGACCCCCAAACCGCAGCTGTCATCCTCAGCTGCAACGGCAAATAGTTACCCCACGGTTCTCCCCCAACCCTGCCCCAAGCTGCAGACGGGTACACAGACGCGCAAAGGCCACGCGCTAGGAGCTCAGCGAGGACGGCCGCGGTGCGGGCCCAGCCGCCAGCGCCGTTTTCTTCCCGAGGGACGTGTGCTCCCTGCCGCGCTCCTACAGAAACGGTGGAGAGGCCGGGGAGGGGGGGGGGGCTCGGGCTCAACGGAACACCCTGCGCACCCGCCGCCTCGGCCCTAGCTCCAGGCCCTCTTGCCCCAACTCTCAGGGTTTCACCTCCCCACTCAGGGCACCGGGAAGGGCGCGACCGCCTTCCCTTTTCCCCACTGGAAGGGAATTCTGTCCCGGCAATCACGGAGACGACAGCAAAAGGGATCTGGCCCAGGCCGGGCTTCCAGACACCGGCGCCCTTGGAGGCCGCCAGAGAACGCTCCAGTCTCGGCCCGGGGCTCAGGCGCACGGACTCTGCCTTTGCAGCCGGGTCGAGGGAAAGAGAGGCTCCGCGCAGCGGCTCGGGCCGGCCCAGGACGCGGGCGCTGCAAGATGGCGATGGTGGCAAGCCCGGCGCCCGCCCGTGCTCCCTGCTTCCGCGGCCGCAGCCCGCGAGGAAGGCGCCCCGGGACCTGGGCGGGCCCAGGCAAGGGCAGGTGGGGGCGCTGGGCCGGTCCGGGACCTCGCGGAGTTCGCGGGAACGGAGACCCCGGGCCCTCCCGCGTCACCGCCGGGGGCTGCGCTTTGGGCCCGGTCTGAGGGCAGCGGCCTCCTCCACGGTCATACCCGGCACCCGCGCCCCGTCCCCTTCCCCCACAGCGCGCGGCCACGGTCGCCGGCGGCCTCCCCGCGGGAGGCGCGCTCCCGCGAGTGGCCCGGGAGCGCGCGCCCCAGGACACCCCGAGCTGCGCACGGCTCCCGCCCCATCCCGGCCCCGCAGGCCCAGCCACGGGGTCATGACCGGGGACGGGGTAGCGGCCGGGGATCGGGACCCGGGGTGCCGTCCCGGGTCCGACGGGGCTGGGGTCGGTGGAGCTGGGGGTCCGGCGGGGCAGCCCAGAGGCCCACAGGCCCTTTTGTGTCACCTGCACGGGCCGCGGGCGGGGAGAGCAGACTGCGGCGCTCGCGCACACGCAGCGGCCCGCGCATGCGCAAGACCCTTCCCGCGGTCCCGCCCCCGACCGCGGCCACGCGCGGACGCCGGCGCGCACGCGCACTCGCACACAAAGCCGGCGGCCCGCGGGCGCGCGCTCGGTCCGCCCCCGCGCCCCCCGCCCGCGCGGCACCCGCCCCGCCCCGCCCCCGCCCGCGGCCGGAAACGCGCGCGCGCGCGGCCTTACCAAGCGGCAGGCCCTTGTTGAGCAAGTGCGAGCTGCCCATCGAGAGGCGCGAGCGGCCGCGGGCCCCGACCACTCCGGCGCGCTGCGCCGCCGCGAGCCCGGCGCGTGGGGCGGCCTCGGCGCCGTCCGCTGCTCCGCCCGCCCGCCTGCGCCTGGCCGCCGCCGTGCCGAGTCTCCGCCGCGCCGCTGAGCCGCGCTCCGACGACCGCGCGGGCGGGGACACGGCGGCGCGCGCGGGCGGGGCCTCGCGGTTGGTCTCCTGGTTCCCAGCGCGGGCGGCGCACGGACTCACGCGGGCGGCTCAGGGCCCGCCCGGCCGGGACGCGGCTGCGGGGCGGGGCGGGGCGGGAGCCTGGCGGGAAGCTCGCGGGGCTGCAGCCCGGCGGAGGCCCCGGGCCTGGTGTTCCGCACGTTCTAAACCGCCTGTCCCCGAGGAAGTCGGGCAGGGTCGGGCCGGACTCAGCGCCGCTGGCGGGAGCGCCGTCCGCCCCGAGGACCCTGCGGGCCCGGAAGCCGAGACAGGGCCGCCCACGTCAGCGCCTGGCGCGGGCCCGAACGTAAATGGCGCTCCTCCGCGCCGCAGCCGCAGCCGCCCCGCTCCCTTCCCGCTCCGCCAGCTGCCGCCCTCCCGCGCTCGCTTCTCGCCCCGCGGCCTGGCCCGTGCGCCTCCGAGGCTGGCCAGGGGCACCGAGGCCGCGGGCCCCCCATCGCCCCCACCCGAGCCCTGATTTACCGTCCGAGAGCCGGCGGCACATGGGACCCCGAGAGGAGAAGCGCGCCTGCCCCAGTGCGTCCCCAGGCGGGGGAGCCCCGACTCCTGGAGGGACCGCGTCCTGCCCGGCCCGGGAAGTTCAGGGCTGGAGAACCCCTTCCCCGACCCCATTTCTCTTTTAACAAGAGTAGGGTTTGTAGCTAACCAACGTCCTGACAGCTCAGCTCTGCTTTCCCTTTAAGCATTAATATCAAAGCCCTGCCTGCTACCGGTGAAGCCCCGACCCGGGAGGGCCCGAAAGTCCCTTCAGGGAGAGGCCGCACTGGGCCTGCTCACCCAGGGGCTGCCCCTGCAGACTCTCCCGAGGGGCCCAGGGATATTCCTCGCGCCGCGAGTGGACGCTTCCATCCACCCCATGGGGAGGGCCTCTGCGCGTGGCTACTCTGAGCCCTCTGGAATGCCGAGATAGTTGCATAATTTCAGAAACCACGGCATGGAGACGGAATGATGCAGACTCCTATCCGCGAGATACCTGCTGTAATTTCGCTGTGGTTCGTGAGGACGCGTCCTGGGCTGCCCTGAGAAGCCTACGTCTCCCCTTCGAGGCCCGGGAAGACCTCCAACCCCGCTGACAATGCTGGGCCCTCAGCCAGACCTGCCCTGCGTGCCACGTTCTGTTCTAAGATCGGGCTGCCGAGCTGTGGCCTGGAGGAAACCTGGCAGGTGTCACCAGAGCTTTGGGGAGGGTGAGGCCCTGTCGGGGAAGCCCAGTGGGAGTCATGAAGGAGGGAACACGTGTGGAGCCCTTGTAGGGGGAGGGGCAGCCCTGCAGAGATCTAAGAAAAAATTCCAGAAAAATGAGCAGCAACCTCCAAGGCCAGGCATCGGTGCAGGGGACAAGGGGTCGTAGCTGGAGGGGCCTAGGTGAGGCTGCCGGGAAGGGACGATGTGGTTGGTGGAGTGCACAGGCAGGGACCTCACTGGACTTTCCTGTCTGCTCAGCATGGACAGGCAGCCCAGGAGAAGGCAGCACGTGGCCGGGTGCAGGGACGTACCACCCCCACTTCCCCAGGGGAGCTGGGGTCAGACGAGTCCCAGGCACTCCATCCTCTGCAGCAAGTCAGGTTGTGATTTACTAGGGGGTGGTGAATATAATGGAGAGACTTCTGGGGAGGAATTCCTGGCTCCCGCGTGGACTTGCAGAGCTCAACAGGCAGCCACGTGGCTGAGTGTCCAGCAAACATCACATAAGGCTTTGGGTCCTGCAGGTGGGGCTGCCATGAGCAGCAAGCTCAGTCCAGAAGAACAGTTCCTCTCCAGGATCCACTTCCTGCGCACTTTTATGTGCAGTGTAGCTGGAGCAGAGCTCCCCGGAATTCCACAGGCAACTGAGAACGGAGAGGGATGCAGGCCAGCCAGGGATCCAGCGTCTTCCCCATCGTCACTCTCCATGGCCTCCGTCTACACACAGTGTTCGTCTGCACAGCTTGTCAGCGCGTTATCATGACTTCTATTTGGCACCGGCCCGTCTGTCCACTGTCCTGGCTTGTTCCAAGCGCTGCCTTCTCCAACTGGGGTCCTGGCTGCAGAGCTGTCTGCTCCCCACGTTGGGCAACTCCAGCCAAGATTCCTACACCCAAATGTGACCGTGTTGCTCACGAAGAAGGCTCAGCTTTGCGTGTGCCCAGCCGTGTGCACAGCTCGTCCCAACTCCTGCGGGTGGCACCTGCCTCTCCCACCTCCAGTCTTTCCCCTGTGATGAGCAGATGACCACCGCCCTCCAGGGTCAGCGTTTGGCTGTTTGTGTGCCTGCCCACCCGCCTCCCTGTGCCTGGGCCTGCCCTGTGCCTGCACACAGGAGTGGCTCATGGCGTTTGCCCTACACGGATGGGCTGTCCTGGGAGCTACTGGACAGTCACCTTGGTGGGAATGCCAGAGGCATGGGCATTAGGTCCCCCCGGCCAGCCTCCGTTGCCACATGGGCTATTTTTGTCCATCGCGTGGGACAACCTAGTATTGGGGGAAAACTCAGTCCACTCTAAAGAAGCATCGGCGTTTTGGATGGACGAATGCTGCTTCATGCGACTCCATGTCAATGGACTATTTTATTCAACTCGGGTATTTATGAGTGTCTCCTCTGTGCCAGCCACGTGTGAAAGAAGAACTCCAAGTTACTGGACACCAGGACAAACCAGGTAGATCACTGCATCCGGTTCCTCCTCTTTCTGCCGACTCTCCCGGGCAACCGTTCTGATTCCTGGCATGGAGTTGGGGGCGAGCTCATCAGTACCCAGAGCGCCTGGTGTGCAGCCAAAGGCCCCCATTTTATTAGTCGGTGTGTTCAGTATCACGCTCAAGACAAGGGCCAACCTATTACTTCACACACCTCAAATACAAAAAGTGCCTGGGAACGTCGATGAGGTATTAAAGGAAACCACTGGTCTTGTCAGTCATGTACACACAGAAAAAAAAACCAGTCATTTTTATTTTTATTTTTTGAGACAGAGTTTCGCTCTTGTTGCCCAGGCTGGAGTGCAATGGTGCAATTTCAGCTCACTGCAATCTCTGCCACCCGGATTCAAGCAATTCTCCTGTCTCAGCCTCCCGAGTAGCTGGAATTGCAGACACCCATCACCACGCCCAGCTAATTTTATGTATTTTTAGTAGAGATGGGGTTTCACCATGTTGGTCAGGCTGGTCTTGAACTCCTGACCTCAGGTGATCCACCCACGTCAGGCTCCCAAAGTGCTGAGATTACAGGCATGAACCACTGTGCCCAGCCGAAAACAACCAAGAATTTTTTAACAATAAAATGACCAGCAAGTAAACTTGAAACAAAAATGGACAAATATCTAAAATATTTTTAAATGTATGTATTTTAATTGGCAAATAATACTTGTATATATTGTTTACAACTTGTTTTAAAGTATGAATACATTGTGGAATGGCTAAATCAAGTTAATTAACATGCATTAACTCACATACTTTTTGTTTTTTGGTGTGGTGAGGACACTTAACATCTACTCTCTTAGCAATTTTCCAGTCACCATGTCCTACTATAGATCCCTAGAACATATTCCTCCAATGTAACTGAAATGTATCCCTTGACCAACATCACTGCCCGGCCCCAGCCCCAGGTAAACACCATTCTACCCTCTGCTTCTGTGAGTTCAGCTTTTCTAGATTTCACCTGTGAGTGAGATTGTGCAGCATTTGTCTTTCTGTGCCTGGGTTTTTTCACATAATGCCCTTCTGGTTCATCTATATTGTCATATATGGTAGCATTGTCTTCCTTTGTAAGGCTGACTGGTATACCATTGCGTATATACACCACATTGTTTACCTAAAATATTTTTTAATACAATCGCTGAAAACTGCCACATAACTTGTATAACTGCTGTAAGGCTTGGTTTTCAGCCATAAGATGGGAAGAGAAGTAACATCTACCTTGCAGGATGACTGCAAGCTGTAAAATGCCACAAAGCGCAGGGGAGCCCAGAACCGCCGCAGCAGGACAGGTCCTCTGGAAGCAGACAGACCTGCCTTGTTACTTTAGCCATCCAGAGTCCAGTTTAGCCAGTGATGAAATGAGTACAAAAGAACACCTTTCTTGTAGGATTGCAAAATGATGTCTTCATCCATTCTGTGCTGCTATAGCAGACTCCTGCACACTGGGTAACTGACAGCTTACAGAAGCTTGTTGGCTTATGGTTCTGGAGGCTGGGAAGTCCAACCTCAAGGGGCTGCATCTGGTGAGGGCTTTCTTGTTGCATCATCACATCGCAGAATAGCAGAAGGGCAAGGAGAGAGAGAGAAAAGAGTGCTGAACCCACCCTTTGATAAGAAGCCCACTCCCATGATAATAGCACCAGCCCATTCAGGAGGGCAAAGCCCTCGTGGCTGCATCGCCTCTCAAAGGTTCCACCTCTCAAGATCATCACAATGACAATCAAACTTCATGAATTTTGGAGGGGACAATTATTCAAACCAGAACAGAGGGGGATGGCAAATGTTCTGAAAACAAGCCTAGAAATTGATCTTAGAAATGGTGCAAAAGTAGATTTCCCCTTCTGTCTTTACCTGTGATGGTCTAACCCCAAAAGCCTCCCAGAACAGAACTTGTGAGCACAAGATAGAAACAACAAACTTGATGCAGAGCTGAGCTCACAAGGAGGTCAGGGATGTGACAGGAACCAGAGACAAACAGAAGGCTGAAAACCAGGTCTTAAAGTGTGAGAGCCAAAGGGCAGCAGCCCAGGAGAGTGTTCGTCTGGAGCCCCGGGGTTTAAGTCTCCACACTCACATGGGAAAGGAGACGAGGCCTCCCTGGATCCACGTGAATCAGGAACTGGAACAAGGGCACTCAAAGGGCTACGCCATCAGGAGAGATGTGAATGAGTGTGCCCACAGGAACAGGAAGACAACAGGATGGTTCTGTGTTTGCCTGCCTGTTGTGGTTCTGTGAGACAGAAACAGTTTTGATGACAATTGATAATCAGGACTCAGAGCCTTGTTAGACTTCAGGTATTGAATTTTTTTTTGAGACAGGGTCTAGCTGTGTTGCCCAGGCTGGTCTTGAACTCCTGGGCCCAAGTGATCCTCCTACCTTGGCCTCCCAAAGTGCTGGGATTACAGGCATGAGCTACCGTGCCCAGCCTAGGTATCGAATTTTCACAGGTTTCACAGTCCAGGCCCTACCACCCCTGCAGCAAATAACTTGATATAAAACCTGGGCCCAGGCTAGTAATACCCTTGAAGCCCATGACAGAAGCAGGCACAGTGATAGAAGCAAAATCACGTAGACATTATCAATCTAGCCCCCTCCAATTCCTACCCATAAAGCCCACTGAAGATGAATTTACAATCATAAAGTACAAAACATGCCAAGAAA
Organism: Homo sapiens; assembly: GCF_000001405.40. Taxonomy (NCBI): domain Eukaryota; kingdom Metazoa; phylum Chordata; class Mammalia; order Primates; family Hominidae; genus Homo; species Homo sapiens. The sequence continues at coordinate 1,254,519 of NC_000004.12, forward strand.
GAACCACATGAGGGAAGTCAGCAGATGTGTGAACAGCAGGAACGGACTCCGCCACCAAAGGCCTTCAAAAGGTGAATCAAGCAAAAAAGAGAACATTAATTAAACATGTTTAACATGGGTAAGAATTACAGGAATAAAAGAAGTAAATGAACAAGAATACGATTGCAAGGGAGTGGTAGAAGAATAGGCAGTTTTGAAGAACTAAATGGAATATCTAGAATGAAAAACCATGCTTGCTAAAATTAACTCAATGAGTGAGTTTAAAAAGCAATTTAGACCCAGCTGAGAGCTGAATTTGTGGTATATGCAGAAATTACTTCTGATGCGAGGCAGAGCATGATGACAGAATGAGGAGATCCCAAACATCTATGAGAGTTCCATTCTGAATGATTAGAAGAATGAGGAAGCAACAGTATTTAAAAAGATAATCACTAAGAAAGTTCTATACTTGATGAAAAATGTGAATCCTAAGATTCAGGAACAGTGTGAGACTTCAGCTGGGGAAAAAAGATGAAACTACACTTCTACATTTAGGAGTAAAACTACAGAATACAAAAGACAAAAAAATTTTAAAGTGAAAAATAAAACCACTCAGATTACATCAAAAGCAGTTATCATGAAAGCAGCCTATCAATTACAATGATAAAAGCCAAGCAATAGTCAAATATCGATTTTTTTCAAAGTCACAAGATAAAATAAGTAGTAACATAGGATTCTGTACATAGCATTATTTGTTACCTATTGGGGCATAACAAAATTCCCCAAAACTTTGCAGCTTAAAAAACATTCAGTATTTCACCATTGCCATGAGTCAGGAATCCAGGCGTGGCTTGAGTCCTCTGCATATTGGCTTCTCACCAGACTGCAATCAGGACAATAGCACAGTATCTGTGGTCTCATCTGAAGGCTTGCCTGAGGAAGTCTGCATCCAAGCTTACTCTTCGTTGGCTGTTGGGCAGAGGCACCCTCAGCTCCCAGCCATGTAGGCTTTCCCATGGTGCAGCTTCTATCAACAAAGCACGCCAGACAAGAGGACAACACACAGTCTTCTAGGAAGAAGAAAGCCACAATCTTTTTTTAAAAAGCAAAGCAATATTTATGTAATTGCCACTTGGTTTGAGAAGTAGAACACTGTGTCAAAAACCCCTCCAAAGCCCCCGCCAGTAACTGCCCTCCTCCTTCTCCCCAGTGCAACCACTGCCCTCACTTCTGTCTTTTTTTCAACTTTTAAAAATTGTGGTAAAATGCATATAACTTAAAATTACAACCTTAATCATTTTAAGTGTACAGTTTGGTGGTGGTAAATACACTCGTGATGTGCAACCATCACCACCATGCATCTGTATAGAACTCTTTCCATCTTGTAAAACTGAAACTCTGTCTCCATTAAACAATAATTCATCATTTCCCTTCCCCTGGCCCTAGTACCCACCATTCCACTTTCTGTTTCTATAATTTTGACTACTCTAACTACCTCATATAAGTGGAATTCTGTGGTAGTTGTATTTTTAGCAACTGGCTTATTTCGCTTGGTGCAGTGTCCTCAAGATTCATCCATGTTGCAGCCTGTGTCAGAATCTCATCCCTTTTTAAGGCTAAATAGTATCCCATTGTTCATACCACGTTCTGCTTATTCATTTATCCATCAGTGGGCACTTGGGTTGTGATATGGTTTGGCTGTGTCCCCACCCAAATCTCATCTTGAATTGTGGCTCCCACAATTCCCACATGTTGTGGGAGGGACCCAGTGGGAAGTAATTGAATCATGGGGGCAGGTCTTTCCCATGCTGTTCTCGTGGTGGTGGATAAGTCTCACGAGATCTGATGGTTTTATAAAGGGGAGTTTTCCTGCACAAGTTCTCTTCTCTTGTCTGCCGCCATGTGATATGTGCACTTCACCTTCTGCCATGATTGTGAGGTCTCCCCAGCCACGTGAAACTGTGAGTCCATTAAACCTCTTTTTCCTTATAAATTACCCAGTCTTGCATATGTCTTTATCAGCAGCATGAAAATGGACTAATACAGGTTGCTTTCATGTTTTAGCTATTGTGAATAATGCTGCCATGAACATGTGCATACAAATATCTCTTTGAGAGCCTGCTTTCAATTATTTGGGGTATATGTGCAGAAATCTAGTTGCTGGGTAACTCTATTTTTAATTTTTTGGGGAAGCACCATACTGTTTTCCATCGTGGATGTACCATTTCACATTCCCAGCAACAGTGCAGAAGGGTTCCAGTTTCTCCACATCCTCGCCAACACTAGTTATTTTCTGGATTTTTTGTGTGTTTTTTTGTTTGCTTGTTTGTTTTATTAATATAGTAACCAACCTAATGGTGTTAGGTGGTATATCATTGCAGTTTTGTTTGGTTTTTGTTTTGTTTTTTGTTTTTGAGACAGGGTCTCACTCTGTTTCCCATGCTGGAGTATAAGTGGTGCAATCATAGCTTACTGCAGACTTGACCTCCTGGGCTCCAGTGATCCTCCTACTCAGTCTCCTGAGTAGCTGGAAATACAGGCATACACCACCATGCCTGGCTAATTTTAAATTTTATTTTATTTTATTTTATTTTTAGAGAAGTGGTGTGGGGGGGTCTCACTATGTTGCTCAGGTTGGTCTTGAACTGGGCTCAAGCAATCCCTTAGCCTCGCCAAGTGCTGGGATTACAGGTGTGAGCCACTGTTCCCCAGCCTTATTGTAGTTTAGATATGCATTTGCCTAATGAATGGTGACGTCAAGCATTTTTATATACATATTGCCCATTTGAGTACTTATTTAGAGAAATGTCTATTCAAGTCATGTGTCTATTTTTGAATCAGCTTTTTGTTTCATTGTAGAGTTTTAGGAGTTTTCTACATATTAAGGATACTAATTCCTGATCACATACACAACTTGCAACTATTTTCTCCCATCTAGTGAGTTGCCTCTTTACTCTGTTGACATTGTTTTTTGCCTGTGCTTTTGTTGTCATATCCAAGAAATTATTGCCAAATCCAAAGTTGTATAGCTTTGTCTTATTATTATTTTTTAGAGTTTTACAGTTTTAGATTGTACATTTAGGTTTTTGTAGTTTGTATATGGTGTGAGGCAAAAGGTCCAGCTTTATTCTTCTGCAAATTAATGTCCTGTTTTCCCAACACCGCTTGTCAAAAAGACTATTATTTTCCCCACTGGACGGTCTCAGCACCTTGTCAAAGATTATTTGACCATATATGTGAAGGTTTATTTCTGAACTCTGTGTTCTATTTCATTGACCTATGTGTCTGTCTCTATGCCAGTGTGGTACTGGCATAAAGATAGACATGTAGGTCCAGGGTACCACACTGGTATGACGACAGACTGTAGATTACTGTATTCTTGATCACTGTAGCTTTATAGTGAGTTTACCAGATTATGAAATTATTGATTACTATAGCTTTGTAGTAAGTATTGAAATCAGGAAGTGTGAGTCCTCTAACTTTCTTCTTTTCTTTCAACATTGCTTTTGCTATTTGGGATCCCTTGAGATTCTATATGAGTTTTAGGATGGGTTTTTCCATTTCTGAGAAAAAAAGGCTTTGTGGTTTTGATGGGGTAGAATTAAATCTGTAGATTACTTTGAGTACTATTGACATCTTCCAATCCATGAACATGGGATGTCTTCTTTATTTATTTATGTCTTCTTTAATTTCTTACCGCAATTTTTTTGTAGTTGTCAGTACAGAAGTCTTTAACCTCCTCAGTTAAGCTGATTCCTAAATATTTTATTTTATTCTTTTTGCTGCTACTGTAAGTAGAATTGTTTTCATAATTTGCTTTTTGGACTGTTCATTGTTAGTTAGCATGAACAATGTATTGATTTTTTATCCTGCTACTTAGCTGAATTCATTTATTAGTTCATTTATTTTTCATGCCTAATTGTTCTGGCTAGCACTTTTAGTACTATGCTGAATAGCAGTGGGGAAACAGGCACCCTTCCTGTGGGTTTTTCGTATATGGCTTTTATTATGTAATGTTGAGGCAGTTTCCTTTTATTCCTAGTTTGTTAAGTGTTTTTCTTTAAATCATAAAATGTGTTGAATTTTGTCAAATGCTGCCACTGCATCAATTCAGATGGTTATGTGGGAGATTTTCCCCTTCTGGAAATGTTGTGTATTGCACTGATCCATTTTCAGTTGAGCCGTCTTAGTACTCCAAGAATAAGTCACACTTGGTCATAGTGTGTAATCCTTTTTTTAATATGCTGCTGAATTAGGTTTGCTAGTATTTTGTTGAGAATTTTCACATCTATATTCATCAGGGATGTTAGTTCTGTAGTTGTTTTGTTTTGTTTGAGACAGGGTCTTGCTCTGTTGCCCAGGCTGGAGTGCAGTAATGCAATCTTGGCTTACTGCAGCCTATACCTCCTGGCTCAAGCCATTCTCCTACCTCAGTTTCCTGAGTAGCTGGGACTACAGGCACATGCCACCATGCCCAGCTAATTTTTGTATTTTATGTAAAGATGGGGCTTCCCCATGTTTCCCAGGCTGTTCTTGAACTCCTGAGCTTCCACCTCAGCCTCCCACAGTGCTGGGGCTGCAGGCATGAGCCACTGTGTCTGGCCCTGGTCTGTAGTTTTCTTTCTTTAAATTTTTTTTTTTTTTTTTTTTTAGAGACAGGGTCTTGCTCTGCTGCCTAGGCTGGAGTGCAGTGGTGCGATCATGGCTCATTGCAGCCTGGAACTCCCGGGCTCAAGTGATCTTCCCACCTTAGCCTCCCAAGTAGCTAGGACTACAGGCATGCACCACCACACCAGCCTATTTTATTCTTTTGTAGAGATGGGGTCTCAATATGTTGCCCAGGCTGGTCTTGAACTCCTGGTTTCAAGTGATCCTCCTGCCTCAGCCTCCCAAAGTACTTGGATTACAGGTGTGATTTGCCACACTTAGCCCAGTTTTCTTTTCTCATAGTGTCTTCGTCTGGCTTTGGCATCAGGATAATGTTGGCCTCATAGAATAGTTAGGAAGTAGTCCTTCGCCTTCAGTTTTTCTGAAGCGTTTGAGAAGAATCGGTATTCTTCATCCAATATTTGGGAGAATTTGCCAGTGAAGCCATCAAGTCCAGGGCTTTTCTTTGTCAGATTTTTCATTACTGATTCAATCTCCACATTAGTTATAATTCTGTTAAGACTTTCTATTTATTCCTGATTTGTTTCTCAGTAGATTTTGTGTCTCTAGGAATTTGTTTATTTCATCCATGTTATCCAATGTGTTGGCATACAATTGTTCATAGTACTCTCTTACAATTTTTTTTTATTTCTATAGAGTCAGTAGTAATGTGCCCACTTTCATTTCTGATTTAGTAACTGGAGTTTTCCCTCTATTTTCTTAGTCCATCTAGTGAAAGGCTTGTTAATTTTGTTGATCTTTCAAAGAACTAACTTTTGGTTTTACTGGTTTTTCTCTATTGTTTTTCAATTCTTTATTTCATTTATCTCTTCTCTAACCTTCAGTATTTCTTTTCTTCTGCTAGCTTTGGGTTTAGTTTATTCTTCTTTTTCTAGCTCCTTAAGTTGTAAAGTTAGGTTGCGGGTTTGAGATCTTGCTAGTTTTTTAGTGTAAGCATTTATAACTATGAACTTCCCCTGTGGCACTGCTTTTGCAGCATCCTGTAAGTGCTGGTCTGCTGCGTTTTCGTTTTCATTCTAAGTATTTTCTTTTTCCCTTGTGATTTCTTCTCTGGACTGTTGGTTGTTTAAGAGTGTGTTGTTTAACTTCCAGAAATTTGTGGATTTTTCAGTTTTACTTCTGTTATTGATTTCTAACGTTATCCTATTGTGGTTGGAGAAGAGTTTGTATGATACCTACATTTTAAAATTGATTGAGACCTAATTTGTGGCCTAACAGATGGTGTATCCTGGAAAATGACTCATGCTTATTTGAGAAGGATGTATATGCTGCTATTGTTCTTGGTAGAATGTCTGGATGTGTGTTAGATCTAGTTGGTTTATTGTGTTGCTGCCCGCCGCTGCCCTACACTCCTCTCACCCAACTACGCATCCAACTCTGCTGAACAGTGAGCTAACACAGCACAGACTGCCCGCCCTACATGCCTCTTACCCAACTACGTGTCCAACTCTGCTGAAACCCGAGCTAACACAGCACAGGCTGCCCGCCGCTGCCCTACACGCCTCTCACCCAGCTAGACTCGCATCCAACTCTGCTGAACCACCAGCTAACACAGCACAGGCTGCCCGCCGCTGCCCTACACGCCTCTCACCCAGCTAGACTCACTGTCCAACTCTGCTGAACCACCAGCTAACACAGCACAGACTGCTCGCCGCTGCCCTACGCGCTTCTCACCCGGCTAGACTCGTGTCAAACTCCAAGCAGACTGGTGAGACAGCGCTGCTACAATACAGGGTACAGGAGCCAAGGGGACGGCGCACAGGGACTTCTGTGTAACCATTTGTGGCCTGGGACCCCAGAGCTAGTGTCTGGCAATGTTTGGGTTTAGACCTAGGGGTGATGGCTCCAGTCCTGCCCACTTTGCCCCATCCTCTGGGTCCCGAGCCTACCCTGGGCCTTTGGACTCCTGCCAGGCCTTGCGGCAGGTGCATCACACTGTTGGGTTCCTAAGTGCCACAGGCCTGGGATCAGCAGACATGAGGAACACCAACGGTGTCCCTGGAAAGCAATCCCCGGGGCTGGGTGAGGCAGGAGGAGTGTAGCAGGTGGGGAAGCTGGATAGAGGTGGCCAGGATGGGAGCTGTGCTCTGTGGGCCATGAGAAGGGTGGAAGGACTTGGGGGCAGGGAGAGATTTTGGGTTTGTCTTCATAAGGGTCACTCTGGCTGCTCTCAGGGGGATTGAAGGAGCAAGGCAGGGAGACACAGTGGCGTTCATGGTCATGGGGGAAGGGCTGCTTTCCAGCGGTAGGGCTGAGAAACGGTGAGGAAGAAGCCTGGGGTGGCGGGTGGCTTGCACTGACTCTGGGCTGCGGTCCTACCTAAGCTCCAGGGAGGACGGGGTTTCTGAGGAGACCTGGGGAACAGGACACATCCATGGAACCCCCCGGTGGAGGTGGATGGCCGATGAGCCTGGGGCCCAGAGGCAGCACTTGAAGTCACAGGAGCTAAGAGCAACAGTGGGTAAGGCAAGGAGAGGGGTCAGAGAAGCGTGGCCTGGGTCAGAGCGTGCCTTCCAGGGAGGTGAGTGAACCTAAGGGGAACCTGGCAGGAGGAGGGATGAGTAGGGTCTGCAGTAGAGACAATGGGGCTGGCAGGGCAGAGTTCGGGCAACGCGGACCTGCCTGGGGAGAAGCGGCTTGGAGCCGATGTGGACGGGTGCACATCCAGTGAACCACAGTGTCAGGGCGTGATCCCCGGGGTGGGGAACGTGAGGACCAGGAGGAGGGGCTGTTTGAGCAGGGAATTGGGTGCAGGGACCTTGGGCGCAGGTCTGAGGAGGGGGATATGGGCGACCCCTTCCTCTTCTCACACCAGGACGCCGGGGTGTCGCTCGTGGAGGATGGGGGATGGGATCGTTTCTTCATCCGTGCATCTTTTCAGGGATGTTTCCGTTGTTTCCGGATGTTTTCGTTTTTTGTTATTTCAAAGAAATCTGCAAACATTTGCACGTAGGTTTTTATGTGAATGTAAGTTTTTGATTCTCTGGAACAAGTGTCCAGCTGTGTGATTGCTGGGTTGTGAAGTAAGCGTATGTTTCACTTTTTAAGGACCCGTCAGACTGTCTCGCCAGCGTGGCTGGACCAGCTCACCTTCTCACCAGTGATATGTGAGAGCTCTGCGTTCTTGCCAACGTTTGGTGTTGTCACTATTTTTAATGTTATCCGTTTTAGCTGTTCTAATAGGTAGGTAGTGATCTCTCTCATTCGGGCTTTCCTTTGCATTTCCCGCGTGACTAGCACCGTTGGATGTCTTTTCATGCGCTTATTTGCCATCTGTATCCAGCTGTCTCTCAGTATCCATGCGGATTGGCTTCAGGGCGCTCCTCAGATACCAAAATCCCCGGATGCTCAAGTCCGTGATGTAAAATGGCACAGCATTTGCACATAACAAAGTATTCGCCCGTGTACTTTAAACCACCTTAGATTATTTATAATACTGAATGCAATGTAAATGCGATGTAAACAGTTGTTATGCTGTATTGTTTAGAGAATAATAACAAGAAAAGAGTCTATACATGTTCAAAACAAACACAATTTTTTTTTTCAAATATTTTGGATCCGTGGTTGGTAGAATCCACAGATGCAGAGCCCGTGGATACCGAGCGACGACTGTATTCTCTTTGGTAAAATTCTTCTTGTCTTTTGCCCATTTACTATTTGGGTGGTGTGGTTTTTTTGCTGTTGAGTTTGTTTTGAGTATATATATTCTAGATATAAGTCCTTTATCAGATGTGTGGTTTGCAGATATGCTCTCCTAACATGAAACTTGTTTTTTCATCCTCCTACCAGGATTTGTACAGAGCAAATGTTTTTAACTTTGCTAAAGTCCAATTTACCAAACATTTTATTTTATAGGTTGTACTTTCAGGGTCATGTCTAATATCTCTCAGCCAAACCCTAAGTCCTAAAGATTTTCTCCTATGTCTCCTTCTAAAAGTTTTATAATTTTACATTTAAACCTATACGATGATCAGTTTGAGCTAATTTTTGTTGAAGAAGTGATGTTTAAATCAAGGTGTTTTTGCTTTTTGTTTGGGTGTTTTTGTTTGTTTGTTTGTTTTTTGCATACAGGTGTCCAATTGCGCCAGGACCATTTGCTGAAAAGACTATCCTCTCCATTAGATTAAGTTTTCACCTTTGTCAAAACCCAGTTAGTTGTACTAGCATGGGTCGACTTCTGGGCACTCTATTCTGTAACATTGATCAATGTGCCTTTTCCTCCATGAATACCACATAACCTTCATTACTATGGTTATATATAGAGTAAGTCTTGAAATGGGACATACTGATTTCTCCCATTTTATTCTTATTTATTTACCTATTTATTTATTTATTTTTTTTAGGCAGAGTCTCACTCTGTCACCAGGCTGGAGTACTGTGGCGCGATCTCAGCTCACTACAACCTCCGCCTCCCAGATTCAAACAATTCTCCTGCCTCAGCCTCCTGAGTAGCTGAGATTACAGGCGTGCACCACCACGCCCAGCTAATTTTTTGTATTTTTAGTAGAGACGGGATTTCACCATGTTGGCCAGGATGGTCTCAATCTCTTGACCTTGTGATCTGCCCACCTCGGCCTCTCAAAGTGCTGGGATTACAGGCATGAGCCACCACACCCAGCCTCTTATTTTTATTTTTTAGAGACAAGGTCTTGCTCTGCCACCCAGGCTGGAGTGCAGTGGCACGATCATAGCTCACCACAGCCTCAAACTCCTGGGCTTAAGTGATCCTCCCATCTCAGCCTCCCAACTACCTAGGACTACAGGCGTGGACCACCATGCCTGCCTAATTTTTTAAAATTTATTTTTGTAGAGACAGACTGTCACTATGTTGCCTAGGCTGGTCTGAAACTACTGGCCTTAAGCAATCCTCTCACCTTGGCCTCCCAAAGTGCTGGGATTACAGGCATGAACCATTGGACTTGGCCCATTTTATTCTTTTTCAAATTGTTTTAGCTATCCTGGTTCCTTTGCGTTTCCATACAAACTTTAGAATGAGCTTATCTGTGGGTTTTTTTTCTTTTTTTTTGAGGTAAAGTTTCACTCTTGTTGCCCAGGCTGGAGCACAATGGCACGATCTCGGCTCACTGCAACCTCCGCCTCCTGAGTTCAAGCGATTCTCCTACCTCAGCCTCCCAAGTAGCTGGGACTACAGGCACGCACCACCACACATGGCTAAGTTTTGTATTTTTAGTAGAGACGGGGTTTCACCATGTTGGCCAGGCTGGTCTTGAACTCCTGACCTCAAGTGATCTGTCTGCCTTGGCCTCCCAAAGTGCTGGGATTACAGGCATGAGCCACCACGCCCAGCCAACCCTCCCACTTCTATTAAATAAAATGTCTGGGGAGCTGAATTTGGGCTGAGCTCCTGCACTAGACCCCAACAGACCAAACTAAAACGTGCTACGTGGCACATAATCAAACTGGAACTTTAAAAAGAACCACAGGAGGCCAGGCATGGTGGCTCACACCTGTAATCCCAGCACTTTGAGAGGCCAAAGCAGGAGGATCACTTGAGCTCAAGACCAGCCTGGACAACACAGTGAGATCTCATCTCTACAAAAAATCAAAAAATTAGCTGAGGGTGGTGGCACACGCCTGTGGTCCCTGCTACTCAGGAGGCTGGAGTGGGAGGATCCATTGAGCCCAGGAGATGGAGGCTGCCGTGAGCCATGACTGAGCCATTGCCCTGAAGCCTGCGTGACAGAGCAACAACCTGTCTCAAACAAACAAACAAACAAAAAACACCACGAGAAATCCCCAAATGGGCCAGTTTTCCAAAAACCAGAAGATTCATGGCAACCAATCAAAAGGGGCCCAGTCAACCCAAGCCGGCATAATCAGGAAGTCAATCCATACAAGGAAAATAGCCTCAGGAGAGCCGGGCTGCTTGTGCTGTGATGGTCCTTGCTACTGAAGCTGCCTTGTCATGGCTGGTCAGCTGCCATGCCCAAAGGAGCTCCTGTCTGTTTTGCAGGCTGGGTGCTGCCCAGTTCATGAATTACTAATAAAAGACAATTAAGCTGGGTGTGTGGTGCACACCTGTAGTCCCAGCTACTCAGGAGGCTGAGGTGGGAGGATCGCTTAAGCCCAGAGCCCTGGCAACCTAGCAAGACTCCATCTCAAAACTCAATTTGCTGAAATTTTGTTCTTTGATGGTTTCTATCCTTAAAACAGAACCAGCTGGAACCCTCTGGAAAGTTCCAGAACCACCAGCATCAGGGTGGCCAAGACGTGGGCACTGCCAGACAGGGGACCATGTGGGGCCAGAAGAAATTATAGGACATAGCAGGTCTCAGACATGACCAGAGACTGCTGCCAGTGGTGGAAGGCTTCCCTGAGCGTGATGACCTGGCCACTCCACAGGAAGCCTCCACACCCAAGGTTAAAGGTGTCCAGCTGCGGCCAGGGTTCCGGGGTACCTGTGGATCCCGTGACGTGGCACCGAAGATCTGAGCTGTGCAGAGGAGCTGCACCACAGAGGCCAGGTTTCCGTGTGGAGAACGCGCATAATGGGAGGCCTTGAGCTGAGACCCAGCCCCCGACCCCCACCCCCACCCACCAGCAGGGGATTCTCCTCAGGGCCTCACAGAGCACCACGTGGTGTCATTGCTGGTCCTGCCATAGCTCCCAGGACCAATGCTTCCCAGAACTCCCTGCTACATAAATACATCCGGTCCCTTTCCCTCGAGATCTTGAAAAGTGAAGACTTCACTTGGCAGTAACGGTAAAACATTTCAACATGGTAAGTTGTCATTTTATGCACACATGGAATGGTGGCCCATAAAGGGCCTGGGGGTCCAATATCCTACATACTGGACTCCTCATTAGTCCTCTGAGTCTTCTGTTCCCCAACACACTGCATTGGGATCAAACTGAATTTGCAGCCAGGCATCATAGCTCATGCCTGTAATTCCAGCACTTTGGGAGGCTGAGATAGAGGATCACTTGAGGCCAGGAGTCCAAGACCAGCCTGGGGAACATAACGAGACCTTGCCTCTAAAAAAAAAATTTTAAAAATTAGCCTGGTGTAGTGGGCATGCCTATAGTCTTAGCTACTAGGGAGGCTGAGGTAGGAGGATCACTTGAGCCCAGGAGTTCAAAGTTATAGTGAGCTAAGAGTGCATCACAGCACTCCAGCCCGGGCAACAGAGCAAGACCCTGATTCTAAACACACCTATACACACACACACACACACCCCACCACCAACAACAATGAAAAACCCTGAATTTACATCCTTCACGATAAAGTGATAGCTTCTGTGACATTTGCACAGAATTCTGAGTAAAGTTGCCTTTTCAGTCACATCTGTTAATGTTGACAAGACATAATCTAAAAATCAAGAGGATGAGAATAGAAGGACCACTTCCCTTCTAGTGACCTCCTGGACCACACCAAGCACCAACATCATGAGGATCCAAGGAATCTCTGGAAAGTTCTATCTCCAGAAGATACCCTGAGAACACTTAGGCCCTCCCAGACCACATGAAGAACCAACGTCATAAGGATCCAAGGCATCCCTGGAAAGTTCCTTCTCCAGAAGAAGGATCCAAGGCATCTCTGGAAAGTTCCATCTCCAGAAGATTCCCTGAGAACACTTAGGCCCTCCCAGACCACACCAAGCACCAACATCATGAGGATCCAAGGCGTCCCTGGAAAGTTCCCTCTCCAGAAGATTCCCTGAGAAGACTTAGGCATGATCTTAAATAAATATTCCTGTTGTTTAAAAGGCCTTAAATTCCTCATATTTAAGCTGTTGGGAGTCCCTTGCAATTCCATATACACTTGAGAATCTACTTTTATTTCTTTGAACAGGGCTGTTGGAATTTTGATAGGCATTGTGTTGAATCTGTAGATCACTTTGGGTAGTATTGACATCTTAACAATATTAAGTCTTCCTATCCATGAATATGGGATGTCTTTCCATTTATTTAGGTGTTCTTTAATTTCTTTTAGCAATCTTTTCTATTTTCAGCATACGAGTCTTTCACCTCCTTGGTTAGACTTATTTCTGAGTATTTAATTCTTTTAGATCTTGTTGTAAATGGCATTGTTTACTTAATTTCCTGTTTGAATTGTTCAATACTGATGCACAGAAACAAATGAATTTTGCGTGTTGGTCTTGATGTGTTGATCTTGTAACTTTGCTGAATTTGTTTATGAGCTATTGTACCTTCTTGTGGGTTCTTTTGGATTTTCTATATGTAGGATTATGTCATCTTCAAATAGAGATCGTTTTACCACTTCCCATCCATTTGGGTGTTTTTCATTTCTTTTTTTGTCTATGTAGGGGCCAGCCCTACAGGGTCTGTGGGTTTTTCTCCCCATGTGTGGAGACAAGAGATTGTAGAAATAAAGACACAAGACAAAAAGATAGAAGAAAAGACAGCTGGGCTCGGGGGACCACTACCACCAAGACGTGGAGACCGGTAGTGGCCCCGAATGCCTGGCTGTGCTGTTATTTATTGGATACAAAGCAAAAGAGTAAAGAGTGTGTCATCGCCAATGATTGATAAGGTCATGTGAGTCATGTGTCCACTGGACAGGGGGCCCTTCCCTGTTAGGTAGCCAAAGCGGAGAGAGAGAGGACAGCTTAGGTCATTATTTTTTCTATGCTCTTTTTAGAAAGATCAAAGACTTTAATACTTTCACTAATTTTGCTACTGCTGTCTAGAGGGCGGAGCCAGGTGTACAGAGTGGAACATGAAAGTGAAACAGGAGCGTGACCGCTGAAGCACAGCATCACAGGGAGATGGTTAGGCCTCCAGATAACTGCGGGCGGGCCTAACTGATGTCAGGCCCTCCACAAGAGGTGGTGGAACAGAGTCTTCTCTAAACTCCCCTGGGAAAAGGGAGACTCCCTTTCCCAGTCTGCTAAGTAGCGGGTGCTTTTCCTTGGCACTGATGCTACAGCTAGACCATGGTCTGCTTGGTAATGGGCATCTTCCCAGATGCTGGCGTTACCGCTAGACCAAGGAGCCCTCTAGTGGCCCTGTCTGGGAGTGACAGAGGGCTCATACTCTTCTGGTCACTTCTCACCGTGCCCCTTCAGCTCCTATCTCTGTATGGCCTGGTTTTTCCTAGGTTGTAATTGTAGAGCAAGGATTATTATAATATTGGAATAAAGAGTAATTGCTACAAACTAATGATTAATGATATTCATATATAATTATATCTATGATCTATATTTAGTATAACTTTTGTTATTTATGTATTTTATTACACTGGAACAGCTCGTGCCCTTGGTCTCTTGCCTCGGCACCTGGGTGGCTTGCCGCCCATAGTCTATAGCATTGGTACAACTTCCAGTATGCTGTTGAATAGTAGTGGTGAGAGCCTTGTTCCTGACCTTAGGGGAAAAGCTTTCAGTCTTTCACAACTGAGTATGATGTTAGCTCTGTGTGTGTGTGTGTGTGTGTGTTTGAGACGGAGTTTCACTCTTGTAGCCCAGGCTGGAGTGCAATGGGTGCGATCTCGGCTTACTGCAACCTCCGCCTCCTGAGTTCAAGCGATTCTCCTGCCTCAGCCTCCCAAGTAGCTGGGATTACAGGCATGCACCACCACACCCGGCTAATTTTTTGTATTTTTAGTAGAGACTGAGCTTCTCCATGTTGGTCAGGCTGGTCTCGAACTCCTGACCTCAGGTGATCCGCCTGCCTCAGCCTCCCAAAGTGCTGGGATTACAGGCATGAGCCACCACCCACAGCCATGTTTTGTTTTTGTTTTTGGAGACAGAATCTTGCTCGTAGTCCCAGCTGGAGTGCAATGGCACAATCTTGGCTCATTGCTACCTCCACCTCTTGGTCTCAAGTGATCTTCCCACCTCAGCCTCCCAAGTAGCTGGGACCACAGGTGTGTACTGCCATGCCCAGCAAATTTTTAAATATTTTTTTGTTGAGAGACGAGCCTTCACTATGTTGCCCAGTCTGGTCTTGAACTCCTCGGCTCAAGTGTTCATCCCAACTCAGCTTCCCAAAGTGCTGGGATTACAGGCATGAGCCACCATGCCTGCCCAGCTATGGGTTTCTCATAATACCCTTTATCATGTTGAGAAATTTTGTTTCCATTCTTAGTTTTCTGAGCTTTTCTTTCTTAAATCATGGAAGGTATTAGATTTTGTCAAATACTTTTTCTGTGTAAATTGAGATAATTATGTGGATTTTTTTCCCTTAATTCTATTAATGTGGTGTATTACATTGATTGATTTTCTCATGTTGAACCATCCTTGCATTCCTAGATAAATTTAACTTGGTCATGATGAGTAGATGAACAATCCTTTTAAGATGCTGTTGCATTCAATCTGCTAATATTTTGCTGAGGATTTTGCATCTGTATTTGTAAGTGGTATTGGTCTGTACTTTTCTTTTCCATGAATGTCTTTATCTTGTTTCAGTATTAGGGTAATGCTGGCTGCATAGAATGAGTTAGGAAGTGTTCCTCCTGTTCAACTATTTGGAAACATTTGAGAAGAACTGGTATTAATTTTCCTTTAAATGTTTAGTTGAACTAACCTGTGAAGCCATATGGCCCAGGACTTTTCTGTGCTGGAAGGTTAATGAGTAATTTAAAACAAATCACTGATTTAATCTCTTTACATGTTATAGGTCTGTTGGGATTTTTTACTTTTTCTTGAGTCCATTTAGGTTAATGTGTGTTTTAAGGAATTTGTTCATTTCTCCTATGTTATCTAATTTGTTAGAATACAATTGTTGACATATTCTCTAATAATCCTTTTTATTTCTATAAGGCCATTTTCACATCTGGTTTCACTTCTGGTTTTTATTTGTGTCTTCTCTTTTTGTTCTTTGTCAGTCTACGCAAAGGTTTATCAATTGTATTGATATTTTTTAAAAAATCAACTTTTGGTTTTATTAATTTCCTCTATTTTTTTTCTTTTTTTGAGACAGGGTCTCTCTCTGTCACCCAGGCCTCAGTGCAGTGGTGCAATCATGGCTCACTACAGCCTCGACCTCCCAGGCTCAAGTGATCCTCCCACCTCCAGTCTCCCAAGTAGCTGGGACTATAGGCACATGCCACCACACCCTGTTTCACCATGTTGGCTAGGCTGATCTCAAACTCCTTGGGCTCAAGCGATCCTCCCACCTTGGCTTCCCAAAGTGCTGGAATTACAGGTATGAGCCACCACACCTGGCCTGTATTTTCTCTATCTCTTCTCTATTATTTTCTTGCTTCTGCTAATTATTATTTCCCTGCTTCTGCTAGCTTTGGGTTTAGTTTGCTCTTCTTTTTCTAGTTCCTTAAGATGTAAGTTAGGTTATTAATTTGAGATCATTCTTCTTTTTTGTTGTTGTTATTGTTTCTTTTTTTAAATTTAAATTTTTATTTTTATTTTACTTTATGTTCTGAGATACATGTGCAGAATGTGCAGGTTTGTTACATAGCTATACATGTGCCATGGTGGTTTGCTGTACCGATCAACCCGTCATCTAGGTTTTAAGCCCCTCATGCATTAGGTATTTCTCCTGATGCTCTCCCTCCCCTTGCTCCCCACCCCCGATGGGCCCTGCTGTGTGATGTTCCCCTCCCTGTGTCCATGTGTTCTCACTGTTCAACTCTCACTTATGAGTGAGAACATGCGGTGTTTGGTTTTCTGTTCCTGTGTTAGTTTGCTGAGAATTATGGCTTCCAGCTTCATCCATGTCCCTGTAAAGGACATGAACTCATCCTTTTTTATGGCTGCATAGTATTCCATGGTGTATATGTGCCACATTTTCTTTTTTTTTCTTTTCTTTTCTTTTTTTTTTTTTTGAGACAGAGTCTCGCTCTGTCGCCCAGGCTGGAGTGCAGTGGCGCAATGTTGGCTCACTGCAAGCTCCACCTCCCAGGTTCAAGTGATTCTTCTGCCTCAGCTTCCCAAGTACCTGAGATTACAGGTGCCCGCCACCATGCCCAGCTAATTTTTTTTTTGTATTTTTAGTAGAGATGGGGTTTCACCGTGTTAGCCAGGATGATCTCGATCTCCTGACCTCGTGATCCACCCGCCTCGGCCTCCCAAAGTGCTGGGATTACAGGCGTGAGCCACTGTGCCCGGCCACAAGCCACATTTTCTTTATCCAGTCTATAACTGATGGGCTTTTGGGTTGGTTCCCAGTCTTTGTACTCTTCTTTTTAACATAGGCATTGATAGCTATCAGCTTCCCTCTGAGTGTTGCTTTTACTGCATTCCCTAAATTTTGGTATATTGTGTTTTTATTTTCATGTATCTCTAATTATGTTCTCATTTCCCTTGCAATTTCTTCTTTGACCAACTGGTTGTTTAAGAGAGTCTTATTTAAAATAATTTCCATAACTTTGTAAATTTTTCAATTTTCCTTCTGGTACTGATTTCTAACCTCATACTGTGATGGTCAGAGAGATTCTTTTGTATGATACTGTATTAGTCAGGGTTCTCTTAGAGGGACAGAACTAATAGGCTATATTAGGGGAGTTTATTAAGTATTAACTTACACAATCACAAGGTCCCACAATAGGCCATCTGTAAGCTGAGGAGCAAGGAGAGCCAGTTCGAGTCCCAAAACTGGAGAATTTGGAGTCTGATGTTCGAGGGCAGGAAGCATCCAGCACAGAGAAAGATGTAGGCTGTGAGGCTAGGCCAGTCTCAACCTTTCATGTTTCTCTGCTTGCCTTATATTTGCTGGCAGTTGATTAGATTGTGCCCACCAGATTAAGAGTGAGTCTGCCTTCCCAAGTCCACTGACTCAAACGCTAATCTCCTTTGGTAACACCCTCACAGACACACCCAGGATTAACACCCTGCATCCTTCAATCAAGTTCACACTCAGTGTCAACCATCACAGATATCGATCCTTTTTAATCTACTCAGGCCTAACTTGTGGCTAATATATGGTCTATCCTGGAGCATGTCCTGTGCACACTTGGGTTTTGTTGTTGGGCGGAGGTTCTGGATGTGTCTATCAGGTATCATTGGGTTTGCTGTTGGGTGGGGGTTCTGGATGTGTCTATTAGGTTTCAGTGGGTTTTACTGTTGGGTGGGGGTTCTGGATGTGTCTATTAGGTTTCATTGGGTTTTGCTGTTGGGTGGGGGTTCTGGATGTGTCTATTAGGTGTCAGTGGGTTTTGCTGTTGGGTGGGGGCTCTGAGTATGTCTGTTAGGTTTCAGTGGGTTTTGCTGTTGGGTGGGGTTCTGGATGTGTCTATTAGGTTTCAGTGGGTTTTGCTGTTGGGCAGGGGTTCTGCATGTGTCTATTAGGTTTCATTGGGTTTTGTTGGGTGGGGATTCTGGATGTGTCTATTAGGTTTCAGTGGGTTTTGCTGTTGGGCAGGGGTTCTGCATGTGTCTATTAGGTTTCATTGGGTTTTGTTGGGCAGGGGTTCTGGATGTGTCTATCAGGTTTCATTGGGTTTTGCTCTTGGTTGGGGGTTCTGCTTGTGTCTATTATGTTTCATTGGGTTTTGCTGTTGGGTGGGGGTTCTGGATGTGTCTATTAGGTTTCAGTGGGTTTTGCTGTTGGGCAGGGGTTCTGCATGTGTCTATTAGGTTTCATTGGGTTTTGTTGGGCAGGGGTTCTGGATGTGTCTATCAGGTTTCATTGGGTTTTGCTCTTGGTTGGGGGTTCTGGATGTGTCTATTAGGTTTCAGTGGGTTTTGCTGTTGGGTGGGGGTTCTGGATGTGTCTATTAGGGTTCAGTGGGTTTTGCTGTTGTTTGGGGATTCTGGATGTGTCTATTAGGTTTCAGTGGGTTTTGCTGTTGGGCGGGGGTTCTGGATGTGTCTATTAGGTTTCAGTGGGTTTTGATGTTGGGTGGGGATTCTGGATGTATCTATTAGGTTTCAGTGGGTTTTGATGTTGGGTGGGGGTTCTGGATGTGTCTATCAGGTTTCAGTGGGTTTTGTTGTTGGATGGGGGTTCTGCATATGTCTATCAGGTTTCATTGGGTTTTGCTGTTGGGTGGGAGTTCTGGATGTGTCTATCAGGTTTCATTGGGTTTTGTTGTTGGGTGGGGATTCTGGATGTATCTATTAGGTTTCATTGGGGTTTGCTGTTGGGTGGGGGTTCTGGATGTGTCTATTAGGTTTCATTGGGTTTTACTGTTGGGCGGGGGTTCTGGATGTGTCTATTAGGTTTCACTGGGTTTTGTTGTTGGGCTGGGGTTCTGGATGTGTCTATTAGGTTTCATTGGGTTTTGCTGTAGGGTGTGGGTTCTGGATGTGTCTATTTGGTTTCATTGGGTTTTGCTATTGGGTGGGGGTTCTGGATGTGTCTATTTGGCTTCAGTGGGTTTTGCTGTTGGGTGGGGGTTCTGCATGTGTCTATTAGGTTTCACTGGTTTTTGCTGTTGGGCGGGGGTTCTGGATGTGTCTATTAGGTTTCAGTGGGTTTTGCTGTTGGGTGGGGGTTCTGGATGTGTCTATTAGGTTTCATTGGGTTTTGCTGTTGGGTGGGGGTTCTGGATGTGTCTATTAGGTTTCATTGGGTTTTGCTGTTGGGTGGGGGTTCTGGATGTGTCTATTAGGTTTCAGTGGGTTTTGCTGTTGGGTGGGGGTTCTGGATGTGTCTATTAGGTTTCACTGGGTTTTGCTGTTGGGTGGGCGTTCTGGATGTGTCTATTAGGTTTCACTGGGTTTTGCTGTTGGGTGGGGGTTCTGGATGTGTCTATTAGGTTTCACTGGTTTTTGCTGTTGGGTGGGGGTTCTGGATGTGTCTATTAGGTTTCATTGGGTTTTGCTGTTGGGTGGGGGTTCTGGATGTGTCTATTAGGTTTCAGTGGGTTTTGCTGTTGGGTGGGGGTTCTGGATGTGTCTATTAGGGTTCAGTGGGTTTTGCTGTTGGGTGGGGATTCTGGATGTGTCTATTAGGTTTCATTGGGTTTTGCTGTTGGGTGGGGGTTCTGCATGTGTCTATTAGGTTTCACTGGTTTTTGCTGTTGGGTGGGGGTTCTGGATATGTCTATTAGGTTTCATTGGGTTTTGCTGTTGGGTAGGGGTTCTGGATGTGTCTATTAGGTTTCAGTGGGTTTTGCTGTTGGGTGGGGGTTCTGGATGTGTCTATTAGGGTTCAGTGGGTTTTGCTGTTGGGTGGGGGTTCTGGATGTGTCTGTTAGGTTTCACTGGGTTTTGTTGTTGCGTGGGGGTTCTGCATGTGTCTATTAGGTTTCACTGGGTTTTGTTGTTCGGTGGGGGTTCTGTATGTGTCTGTTAGCTTTCAGTGGGTTTTGCTGTTGTGCGGTGGTTCTGGATGTGTCTATTAGGTTTCACTGGGTTTTGCTGTTGGGCGAGGGTTCTGCATGTGTCTATCAGGTTTCATTGGGGTTTGCTATTGGGCACGGGTTCTGGATGTGTCTATTAGGTTTCACTGGTTTATGTTTTTAAGTCCTCCATTTCCTTAATTATCTTCTGTTCCATCTGTTATTGAGAGTCGGGTTTTGAAATCTCCTGCTATTATTGTAAAACTGTCTATTTATCCCTTTGATTCTGTTGCATTTTCCTTCATATTTTGAGCGTCTGTTGTTCGGCGGGCAAATGCTTGTATTTACTGTATTTTTGCTGTACTGAACGTTGTGTTAATCTATAATGTCCTTCTTTGTCTCTTGGAGGGCACATGTCTCTCGATTTAAAATCTATTTGGTATCATGTTGGGATAGCCATACCTGCTCTCTTTCTGAGACTGTTTGCACGGAACATCTTTTTCCCTTCCTTTCTCTTTCAACCTGTGTCTATGGAACTAACACGAGTCTCAGATAGGAGTGCATGGTTGAATCCTGCTTTTAAATTCATTCTGCCAATCTCTGTCTTTGATTTAAAGGGAGAACGGATAAGGAGGATTTTCTTTGACTGCTGCTGCTTGTTTTCTACATGCCTGGGAGCCGTTCTGTTCCCCATTTCCTCCGTTACTGCAGTGTTCAGCGAATTTTTTTGCAGTGACATTTTTGATTCGCTTCTCATTTCCTATTGTGTATATTCTATAGCTATTTTCTTTGTGGTTACCGTTGAGAATTGCATTACATACAATATCCTGAAGTTCTAACACTGCCGTCTGAATTTGTGCCTGATTAACTCCAAGAGCATATCAAATCTCTCCTGTCCTGCTCCGGAACCTCTTCTGTTGATGATGTCATAAATTAGATCTTTATACATTTTTTGCCCAATAACAAAGATTAATAGTGATTTTTATGCATTTTTTAAATCGTGTAGACAATAAAAAAAGAAGTTACAAACCAAAAATACAACAGTACTAGCTTTTATAACTACCCTTTAGCAGAAACCTTTATTTCTTCATGCGGCTTCAAGTTACTGTCTAGTGTCCTTTCATTTCAACCTGAAGGACTCCCTATGTCATTGTTGAAAAAGAAGAATAAGGCTGGGTGCGGTGGCTCATGCCTGTAAAACCAGCACTTTGGGAGACCAAGGCAGGCGTATCACAAGGTCAGGAGATCGAGCCCATCCTGGCTAACACGGTGAAACCCCGTCTCTACTAAAAAGTACAAAAAATTAGCCGAGCGTGGTGGCAGGCGCCTGTAGTCCCAGCTACTCGGGAGGCTGAGGCAGGAGGATGGCGTGAACCGGGGAGACGGAGCTTGCAGTGAGCCGAGATCATGCCATTGCACTCCAGCCTGGGTGACAGAGTGAGACTCTGTCAAAAAAAAAAAAGAATAAAATTGGAGTACTCACACTTCCCAACTTTGAAACTTACTACAATGTTACAGTAATTCAAAGAGTATGGCACTGCAGAATGACAGACATGTAAACCAATGGACTAAAGAACTCAGAAAAAAGCCCTCACATTGTGGTCAATTGATTTTTGATAAGGGTGCCAAGACCGTTTAATAGGGAAAGGACAATCTTCACAACAAACAGCAATGGGGAAATTGGATATATGTGTGCGAAATAATGAAGTTGGACCCTTATCTTACACCGTAAAGCAAAATTAACTCAAAATGGATGAAAGGCCTAACTTAAGAGCTACGACTATAAACTGTTAGAAGAAAACACAGGGGGAAATCTTCATGATGTTGGATTTGGTAATAAGTGCATGGATATGACTCCAAAAGCACTGGCAGCAACAACAAAAACATCGAGAAGTTGAACTTATCAGAGGAAGAACTTTTTTGCATGAAAGGACCCCATCAAGAAAGTGAAAAGACAGAATGGGAGAAAATATTTACAAATTATCTATTTGACAAGGGGCTAATATTCAGAGGGTATAAAGATGTCTATAACTCAACAACAAGAAACAAGAAGAAATTAAAAATGGGCAAAGGATTTTTTTTTTTTTTTTTTGAGACGGAGTCTTGCTCTGTCGCTCAGGCTGGAGTGCAGCGGTGTGATCTCGGCTCACTGCAAGCTCCGCCTCCTGGGTTCAGGTGATTCTCGTGCCTCAGCCTCCCGAGTAGCTGGGACCACAGGTGCACACCACCATGCCCTGCTAATTTTTGTATTTTTAGTAGAGACAGGGTTGGTCAGGCTTGTCTCAAACTCCTGACCTCAAGTGATCCGCCCACTTCAGCCTCCCAAAGTGCTGGGATTACAGGTGTGAGCCACCGTGCCTGGCCCTGGCAAAGGACTTGAGTGAACATTTCTCCAGAGATGATAGACAGGTGGGCGATGAGCACATGAAGAGATGCCCAGCACCATTAGTCCTGGGGCACACGCAGACTGAATCCACCCAGAGATGCCGCTTTCCACCAATGACAGTGGCCATCATCAAGGAAATGGAAAAAGACCAGCATTGGCGAGGACATGGAGAGGCTGTAACCCTTGTGTGTGCACTGCTGCCGGGAATGGAAGATGGTGCAGACTCTGTAGGAAACGATTTGGCAGTTCCTCAAATGGCTAAAAATAGAACTTTCTTATGGCCCAGCAATTCCACTGCTGGGTTTAGATCCAAAAGAATTGAAAGCAGATACCTGTACACGAATGTTCATAGCAGCATTATATACAATAACCAAAAGCTGGAAACACCTAAGAGTCCGTCCACAGAGGAATGGATACACAAAGCTTGGTCACACATACAATGGAATACTATTTAGCCATGAAAAGGAATGTCCATGGGACATTCTCCAGGATAGACTACATGTTAAGCACAAATTAAGCCTCAGCAGATTACAAAGGATAGATATCATACAAAAGAATCCTGTCTGACCATCACAGTATAAAGTTAGAAATCAGTACCTGAAGAAAAATTGAAAAATGTACAAAATTTATAAAATTTACAAAATTTGACTTTGGGGCATGCTACAAGATGGGTGGACCTTGAAAACATTATGCTTAGTGAAATAAGCCAGACCCAGGAGGACAGATGTTATTCCACTTAGATGAGGTACCTAGGACAGGCAGCCTAATAGAGACAGAAACTAGAACTGATGTTACCAGGGGCTGGGGGCAGAGGGGAACGAGGAGTTCTTGTTTAATTGAGGCATCGTTTATGTTAGGAATTATGAATGTTTTGGGTATAGATAGTGGTATGGGTACCTAACATTGTGAATATAGCTAATGCCACTGAATCGTACACTTACGAATGATGAAAATGAGAAATATTATGGTACATATTTTTTACAAGAAAAAACTATCTTTTAAAATTCCTCAATTTTATTTAACAACAAATAACAACATCTCTAGGCCAGTGTCCAGTCTTCCCCTGAGGTGCAATGCCCAGAGAGGAGCCCTGCCTGTGGGGTGGCCCCTCACCTGGGGTGGGCAGTACCCGGGAGGCCCAGATGCGGCATGAAGCTGCCCCAGGTGGGCAGATGGAGACCCCGTGCCAGCGGCAGTCACCTCCCATTTCCACCCCCATCCAGCAACTGTCAGTCTGATCCTGTCCCTACGGATTTGCATTTTCTGGACATTTCCTAGTACTGGAGTCACACGCTATACACTCTTCTGTGACCGGCTTAGCTCCCTTAGCTGGTGTTTTTGAGGTTCACCTGCATTGTGGCACGTGCTTGTGTTTCACTCCTTTTCATGGCTGCATGATATTCCGTCATGTGATGGGCGATGTGTTGTTCATTTATTCACCAGTAGATGGGCACCCGTTTCCACATTTTGGCTGAATAGTGCTGCTATTACATGTGTAAACTTTTGTTGGAATGCCAATTTTCAGCTCTTTGGGGTATCTACGTAGGAGTGAAATTGCTGACTATGCTAACTCTGTTTAACTTTTGGGAACCTGCCAAAGTACCTTCCACAGCAAGTGCATTCATTTTGCACCTACCAGCAAAGTAGGAGGTTCCCACTTCCCACAGTCTCCTTGACGCTGGCCACTTGGATTTGGCTTCCTGGCAGCTATGAAGCCATGTCTCAGTGTCACGATTCACCTTACCTGGTGACTCATGGTGGTGAGCCTCTTTCAGTGACGAATTGGTCATCTGTAAGTCTTCTCAGCAGAAATGTGTACTCAGTGCTTTGTCCATTTCTTAAGGGGTTGTCTTTTTGTTGTTGAGTTGTAAACACTATATATTCTGTCTCCAAGTGTCTTATCTAATATGATTTGCAAATATTTTCTCCCATTCTGTAGGTTGTCTTTTTGCTTTCTTTGTAATGTCCTTTGATGCACAAACATTTCTAGTTTTGATGAAGTACGATCTTTCTGTTTTTCATTGTGTTGCTTGTACCTTTGGTGTCATAGCTGAGGATCCTTTGCCAATTGCGCCCTGGACTTCCCAAGTCATGCTCTGCCCTGGCCTCTGCGTCCTCGCTCCTCCCTGGTCCTCTGCGTCCTCGCTCCTCCCTGGTCCTCTGCGTCCTCGCTCCTCCCTGGTCCTCTGCGTCCTCGCTCCTCCCTGGTCCTCTGCGTCCTCGCTCCTCCCTGGTCCTCTGCGTCCTCGCTCCTCCCTGGTCCTCTGCGTCCTCGCTCCTCCCTGGTCCTCTGCGTCCTCGCTCCTCCCTGGTCCTCTGCGTCCTCGCTCCTCCCTGGTCCTCTGCGTCCTCGCTCCTCCCTGGTCCTCTGCGTCCTCGCTCCTCCCTGGTCCTCTGCGTCCTCGCTCCTCCCTGGTCCTCTGCGTCCTCGCTCCTCCCTGGTCCTCTGCGTCCTCGCTCCTCCCTGGTCCTCTGCGTCCTCGCTCCTCCCTGGTCCTCTGCGTCCTCGCTCCTCCCTGGTCCTCTGCGTCCTCGCTCCTCCCTGGTCCTCTGCGTCCTCGCTCCTCCCTGGTCAAGGGCTGCATCCTTGCGTTCTGTGAGCTCTGCCCGTTGGGAGCATCCATGCTGATGTGCAGGGGCCGTGCAGCACTGCATTCTTCTTGCCTTCTCTGTTCTGTTTAGTACAACCACCCCAGCAGGTCTCCAGTTCCTGCCAGGTTAGTGTGGATGGCCCAGCACCATCTCCTCTCCATCTTGTTGGCTATCCTCTCTTGTTCCTCACAACCCCGCCAGGGTCGCGGCTCAGGAGCTCTGCCGTGTGAAGTGTGCTCAGCAGTTCTCCTCACATGTCTACGCAAAATCTCTGGCTCCCTGTGTGTCTGAGCCCAACAGACACACTGAGCACAGGAGTTGGCTCTCAGCTCCTCCCAGCTTGCCGTGACTGAGCCCTGCCGTCCTGTGGCACCGCCACGGAGACCACAGTGTCCAACTGTCCAACCTTTACGTAATTGGCATCCCAGGAGGAGAAGCAAGAGTGAATGGGGCAGGAAAAGATCATTAAAGAAATCGTGGCTGACATAAAAAAGGATGAGTTCATGTCCTTTGTAGGGACGCGTGGATGAAGCTGGAAACCATCATTCTGAGCAAACTATCGCAAGGACAGAAAACCAAACACCATGTGTTCTCACTCATAGGTGGGAATTGAACAATGAGATCACTTGGACACAGGGTGGGGAACATCACACACCGGGGCCTGTCGTGGGGTGAGGGGGATGGGGCAGGGATAGCATTAGGAGATATACCTAATGTAAATGACGAGTTAATGGGTGCAGCACACCAACATGGCACATGTATACATATGTAACAAACCTGCATGTTGTGCACATGTACCCCAGAACTTAAAGTATAATAAATTAAAATTAAAAAAAAGAAATCGTAACTGGAACTTTTCCCAATTTAATTCAAGAAACAAATCTGCAGATACGGCCGGGCAAGGCGGCTCACACCTCTAATCCCAGCACTTTGGGAGGCCAAAGCGGGTGGATCACTTGAGGTCAGGAGTTTGACACCAGCCTGATCAACATGGTGAAACCTTGTCTCTACTAAAAATACAAAAATTAGCCAGGTGTGGTGGTGCACATGGGTAGTGCCCTACGAACACAGAATTCTGAGGGGTCCACGAGGTGTGGAAGGGCAGCAAGGTTTCCAGTAAATACAAGTAAGGGTGTCACATCCAGGACGGAGTGAGCAGGGGCCCCAAAGCCCAGAGAGGCCATGCCTTCTGTTTGAACCAGAACATGCCATAAACACAGAAGAAACGGGAGTGCTAAGAAACACATACCCCATCATGTACTTCTTACGCATGGGACTTCCTCACATCAGAACTGCGTGTGCTTGCAATCCCAGCTACTCAGGAGGCTGAGACAGGAGAACTGCTTGAACCCAGGAGACAGAGTTTGCAGTGAGCAGAGATTGCACCACTGCACTCCAGCCTTGGCAAAAGTGCGAGACTCTGTCTCAAAAAAACCCCAAATCTTGCATATACAAGATGGTCAACGGTGAGAGACATCCCATCTGCACCTGTTCCCGGCACCCCAGCTGCATAGAGCATGGGTAGTTCCCCACGAACACAGAATTCTGAGGGGTCCATGAGGTGTGGAAGGACAGCAAGGTTTCCAGTGGGTGCAAGTGAGGGTGTCACATCCAGGACGGAGTGAGCAGTGGCCCCAAAGTCCAGAGAGGCCATGCCTTCTGTTTGAACCAGAACATGCTATAAACACAAAAGAAACAGGGGAGTGCCAAGAAACACATACCCCATCATGTACTTCTTACGCATGGGACTTCCTCACGTTAGAACTGCGTGTGCTGAACATGGTGGACAGGAGGAAAGATGAGGCAACCCACAGTTCCTTTTCCCTCCAGACACCCCTTACTTGTCAGTAAAAGTAGAGGGCATTGGTAAAATATGTGCACATCAGAAATGAAATCACAGCTGCATTAGCTTCATGCAGCACTCCATGAAGAAGAACAAAACAGGTCTGTGCAATCGAGCTGGGAAGCACAGGCCTCGTGAGTTTGGTGACGCAGAGTTCGAACTAAAGCACTTACGTTTGCATTTAAAACTGGCGTCAGACAAATGATGGTGAACACTATGATTTGCTTATGTTTGCACTTAAAACTGGCGTTGGACAGGCTGGGTGCGGTGGCTCGCGCCTGTAATCCCAGCACTTTGGGAGGCTGAGGCGGGCGGATCACAAGGTCAGGAGATCAAGACCATCCTGGCTAACACGGGTGAAACCCCCTCTCTACTAAAAATACAAAAATTAGCCGGGCATAGTTGGCGGGCGCCTGTAGTCCCAGCTACTCAGGAGGCTGAGGCAGAAGAATCGCCTGAACCCAGGAGGTGGAGGGTGCAGTGAGCCACGATTGCACCATTGCACTCCAGCCTGGGTGACAGAGCAAGACTCCGTCTCAAAAATAATAATAATAAATAAAAATAAAAATAAAAAATAAAACTAGCGTTAGGTGACGATGAACACTACAATTCGTGTGAATAACTGCTTATTTTTCTTTACTTAGAATGACATTAAATGATGAATTTTAAAAATGCCATGATGTGGGCCAGGCGCGGTGACTCACGCCTGTAATCCCAGCACTTTGGGAGGCTGAGGTGGGTGGATCACACGGTCAAGAGATTGAGACCATCCTGACCAACATGGTGAAACCCCATCTCTACTAAAAACAAAACAAAACAAAAAAACAAAAATTAGCCGGGTGTGGTGGTGGGCGCCTGTAATCCCAGCTACTCGGGAGGCTGAGGCAGGAGAATCACTTGAATCCGGGAGGCAGAGGTTGCCGTGAGCCGAGAGCACGCCACTGCACTCCAGCCTGGCGACAGAGTGAGACTCCAACTCAAAAAATAAATAAATAAGATAAAATAAAATAAAATAAATGCCATGATGCAGAGGCTGCAGTGAGCTGAGATTGTGCCACTGCACTCCAGCCTGGGCGACAGAGCAAGACTCCATCTCAAAAAAAACCCAAAAAAACCCACTATGATGGAAACAGTCAACAGAGGGTGGAGACGACCTGTTGAATGGGAGAAAATATTTGCAAACTATTCATCCAACAGGGGACTAAAATCCAGAGTATACAAGGAACTCAAGCAACAATAAAAAAAAAAATCCCACTAGAAAGTGGCCTGAGGGCACTTTTAGCCCCCAAAATAGAAATGTCTATTTTGGGAATAAACATATCTCAAAAGAAGACAGACAAACAGCCAACAGGTGTATGAAACAATGCTCAGCACCTCTAAGCATCGGGGAAGGGCAAGTCACCACCACGACGAGACGTCATCTTACCCCAGTTACACGGGCTCTTATTAGAGAGACAAAAAATAACAGATGCTGCTGAAGATGCTGAGGAAAGGGAGCTCTCACACACGGTGGGTGGGCGTGTACATTAGTGACGGCCGTACCGGTTAACAGTGAGAACGGTGGGTGGGCGTGTATTTTAGTGACGGCTGTACCGGTTAACAGTGGGAACGGTGGGTGGGCGTGTACATTAGTGATGGCCGTACAGGTTAACAGTGAGAATGGTGGGTGGGCGTGTACATTAGTGATGGCTGTACTGGTTAACTGTGGGAACGGTGGGTGGGTGTGTACAGTAGTGATGGCTGTACTGGTTAACCGTGGGAACAGCGGGTGGGCGTGTACATTAGTGACGGCCGTACCGGTTAACAGAACGGTGGTCGTGTACATTAGTGACGGCTGTACTGGTTAACTGTGGGAATGGTGGGTGGACATGTACAGTAGTGACGGCTGTACCAGTTAACAGAACGGTGGGCATGTACATTAGTGACAGCTGTACCGGTTAACAGTGAGAACAGTGAGTGTGTACATTAGTGACGGCTGTACCGGTTAACCGTGGGAACGGTGGGTGGGTGTGTACAGTAGTGACGGCTAACCGTGGGAATGGGTGGGCGTGTACATTAGTGACAGCTGTACCGGTTAACAGTGAGAACAGTGAGTGTGTACATTAGTGACGGCTGTACTGGTTAACCGTGGGAATGGTGGGTGGGTGTGTACAGTAGTGACGGCTAACCGTGGGAATGGGTGGGCGTGTACATTAGTGACAGCTGTACCGGTTAACAGTGAGAACAGTGAGTGTGTACATTAGTGACGGCTGTACCGGTTAACTGTGGGAACGGTGGGTGGGTGTGTACAGTAGTGATGGCTGTACTGGTTAACCGTGGGAACAGTGGGTGGGCGTGTACATTAGTGACGGTCGTACTGGTTAACAGAACGGTGGGCATGTACATTAGTGACAGCTGTACTGGTTAACTGTGGGAATGGTGGGTGGACATGTACAGTAGTGACGGCTGTACCGGTTAACAGAACGGTGGGCATGTACATTAGTGACAGCTGTACCGGTTAACAGTGAGAACGGTGAGTGTGTACATTAGTGACGGCTGTACCGGTTAACCGTGGGAACGGTGGGTGGGTGTGTACAATAGTGATGGCTGTACTGGTTAACCGTGGGAACGGTGGGTGGGCGTGTACATTAGTGATGGCTGTACCGGTTAACAGTGGGAAGTCCCTCCACCAACAGTGGAATTTCTCAAAAAACTAAAAGTAGAACTACCATCCAGCAATTCCACTACTGGGTATTTATCCAGAGGAAAAGATGCTTGGCCCAACCGAAGCTACCTCAAGCACTCACCTTGGCTGGGCCCCACCTGGGAGCAGGGAGGCCACCGTCCAGCACTGGCAGGTGTCCGGCCTCCTCCTCCAGGGAGCCGGGAGGCCTTTACTGGAGACATTTACAAACAGATGTTGTGAAGATAACAATTGTGTGGCTTGAGTCGATTCCACCTCTACAGCTAACCATAGGAACTAATTATAGTTTGTATTACTAAATACTTTTAAGGGAAAATCAGATGCTATTTTCTTACCAACAAAACAGTCAGTGCTCAAGCCCAGGAGTTTGAGACCAGCCTGGGCAACATGGTGAAACTCTGTCTCTGCAAAAAAACTTTAAAAATTAGCTAGGCATGATGGCATATGCCTGTAGTCCCAGCTACTCAGGAGGCTGAAGTGAGAGGATCGGTTGAGCCCGGGAGGTAGAGCCTGTAGTGAGCTGTGATCGTGCCACTGCACTACAGCCTGAGTGACAGAGCAAGACTCTGTCTCAATAAATAAATAAATAAATAAAAACCAACAGAACAGTGAACTGTGTAAAATCTTGTTACCTGATGTGAGGTACATGTTTCATTCATTCAAGAATTAAGTTTTTCAGCAGGTGTTAACCACCTCCTAAGAGATGTGTGGATCAAAATAACGACAGGGGCAACTCCAGCGCAGAAAACGGATCTGGCTGGGTGAGAGGAAGGGCTGTGTCGTGCAGCTTGGGGCAGAGTCACCCCCTCGAACTTGAGGGGGTTACCTTTAAGTAGCAGAGCCCTGACGTCCGTCCATCAGTGGAGATAAGAAGGGCCCCAGGATGTGGACCCCCTGCAGCATGTGATGTGAGCTGGCTATGACAGTGCGTCCCTGAGCCACAGGTCAGGTCCTCCCACACGGCCATGCAGGAGGCACCCAGCACCATCCGTCTCTGGGCTGCTTTTCTCTGCGTGCTCCTGGCCCACCCACACAAGGGAACCACGTGTGCCCCACAGCTCATCCCTGGCATAGCTGATTAGTCCAGATGGACAGCCAACCCACACTGGGCAAGACTTTGGAGCCTAAGATTTTGGAAGTTTGAACCAAGAGACGCAGAACATGGCAGCTGTTGAATGCTATACTACGACAAAAAGTATATTTGGTCTTGGTCCCTGGTTCCGGTCACCAAGTGTCTAAAACCCTTGCGATTTCCTGAGTGTGGGAGCGTCTTCTTTCTTCATAAGGAACTCCTTCCCACCACACCTGAGTTTATGTTAATGAAGTGACTCTGGGTGGGGCCTCCAGATATCACTAGAAAGACCCGGAGATTGGTTGGCAGGAATTCTCAGCCCCTCTCCCACTCCACCTCCACCTCTGGGGATGAGGGGGGCTGGGGATTGAGATATGAAAATGTGTGAATAATGAGATTCAGGAGAGCCTCCTGGCTGGTGGATGCCCCGAAGTGCTGAGCGGCTGCCGCGCAGAGAAGGCTTGGGAGCTCCTCGCCCCACCATGCCCGATGCACTCCCGTTAGCTATTCCTGAGCTGTGTCCTTCATAATAAGCTGGGAAGCATTAAGTGTTTCCTGAGCTCTGTGAGTCATTCTAGCAAATTATTGAACCTGAGGAAGGGTTTGTGGGAGCCCCAAATGTGTCATCTGCCTTGTGGGTGGCCTGGGCACCCCATGTGCAGCCGTCACCTGGAGTGGGGACAGCCTTGTGGAACGGAGCCCTTGGCCTGTGGGGTCTGTGCTAACTCTGCGAGTGAGTGTGAATGGGGTTGGATTGTAGGATAGCCAGTTGGTGGCAGAGTCTGACAGCTGGACAATTTCAAGTTATATAAACCAAAAATAAGATACTAAGCTCCCCCAACTGACTGAATGGAACCCCCTACCCCCACCTTCAGCCAAGGGGGTTTCAAAGAAACCTGAAAAATCAGTTCAGGACACGATGGCGGCGCATGACTTTTCTTGGTCACTTGTCAGCCAGAGACCCCCAGCCAGCGACACCCTTGCTCAGGCCCAGGTTTGCCACAGGAGATGCCCATTCACTTGGCCCATCATGTCATGCCAGGCCCGCACTCCAGCGTTTGCGGCTGTTCCGACTGTGCACTCAGCCCCCAGTGGGAGGGGGTGTGAGCGAGTGAGTGCGGGGTCCAGCCAACGGTTCCAAGTGTCAGCACAGACGCAGGCTCCATGCAGGGCTTGTGGCTGGACCAGGCATGTTGCAAGCCACTCCCATGGTGGACTCCGGCGTCCAGACAAGGGGAACACGGTGGCGCCCAGGTAGGGGTGCTGTGATCCTGAAGCCCCAGAGGGGGTGTTACAGCATGCTAATTAGCTCTTTTAGTCTGCATCCTGATGGACAGTGGTGCGTCAACAGCTCTGTCAGCCGCTTGCCCCGCATCAGCCCATGGCTCCAGGGCTGGCTCAGTCCCACTGCTGCTTCTGTCACATGGGGTGGCTGCCCTCTGCTGGTGAAGGGCAAAGGGTTATGGAGTTACAGCCTTCTCTGTATTCACATTTGGTGCATCCTGAGCTCTTGTCCCACGTCCAAGAAGAATGATGATACACTGACAATTGAAGGGTGAGGAGGATGGAGAAGAATTTTATTGAGTGACAAAGCAGCTCTCAGTGGAGCAGGGATGTGAGGGTGGTCCCCCACCTGAAGTCGGATGGTTTCTCTCTCCATGTGGCTGGGTTTGGGGCTTTCATGGGCTCAGAGTGCACACTGATTGGTTTGTGAGGATGCAAAAATGGCTAAAACAAAGGCATCACTCAAAGGTGGGGACAACAGTGTAAAAAGCAATTAGGGGCTGGGTGCGGTGGCTCACGCCTGTAATCCTAGCACTTTGGGAGGCTGAGGTGGGTGGATCACAAGGTCAGGAGATTGACACCATCCTGGCTAACACGGTGAAACCCCATCTCTACTAAAAATACAAAAAAAATTAGCTGGGCGTGGTGGCGGGTGCCTGTAGTCCCAGCTACTCGGGAGGCTGAGGCAGGAGAATGGCGTGAACCTGGGAGGCAGAGCTTGCAGTAAGCCGAGATCGTGCCACTGCACTCCAGCCTGGGAGACAGAGCGAGACTCCATCTCAAAAAAAAAAAAAACCAAAAAAACAACCAACCAACAAACAAAAAGCCAATTAGGGAAGGATAGGTATATGTAAAATAGGTGAAGGGTGGGGACCAATCAGAGGAAAGCATGCCAGGCAGGAAGACAGGTTCCCAATCTAGTCCATGGATTTACCTGGGACTTGTAGGTCGGCTTTAAACTGTCTTCGGCTTGAAGGTCGGGTTTCACTGGGTAACTGCTCGGTCTGCCTCCTGCCACTATTAACGTGAAGGGAGAGTTGGACATGCCTCAGTATCCCCTCCTCCCTTTCGAGTTCAGGCACAAAACTTACCAGCATTAACATTAAAACAGAGATCTTAAGACTGACAAAACAGACTCTGTAGCAATAAGATGCCAAATTCCAACTTGACTCTAGTAGAGCATCACATGACAGATAGCTGGCCTTGAAGGAAATCAAAGTGTTTTACCCCAAAATATATTTCTTTGACATATTTTGAAAGGGCCCTGCAAAGCTGTCTCTTGTGGGAGAAATTTACATTCTGTAGGGAATCCCTTGCCCTTCCTTTCCGGGTCTTTTCTGATTCTGAAGAAGTTAATGGTTAACTGAGAGTCTAGCAGCTCTTGTTTTTTTTTTTTTTTTTTTTTTTTTTTAGGAGTCTCGCTGTGTCACCCAGGCTGGAGTGCAGTGGTGTGATCTTGGCTTACTGCAACCTCTGCCTCCCAGGTTCAAGTGATTCTCCTGCCTCAGCCTCCCAAGTACCTGGGACTACAGGTGAGTGCCACCACATCCAGCTAATTTTTGTATTTTTAGTAGAGACAGGGTTTTACCATGTTGGCCAGGATAGTCTTGATCTCTGACCTCGTGATCCGCCCGCCTCGGCCTCCCAAAGTGCTGGGATTACAGGCGTGAGCCACAGCACCCGGCCAAGTCTAGCAGCTTTTTAAGATCTAGATATGAAACATTTGCCATCTATTGCTTCTAATGGTGGCCACCTATGAGGCTTCATCTATGTAATAAGAACGTTGGTCTCCACAACCCCTTTTAACCCAGATGCTCCTTTCTCTCGATTCCAGATCTTTAGATAAGCACTCTTTCAACCAAATGCCAATCAGAAAATCTTTGAATCCACCTGTGAGCTGGAAGCCCCGCTGTGCTTTGTGTTGTCCTGCCTTTTCGGACCAATGTAAATCTCACATGTACTGATTGATGCCTACATCTCCTTAAAACGTATAAAATCAAGCTGTAACCCAACCACCTTGGGCATGTGTTCTGAGGACCTCTTGAGGCTGTGTCACTGGTCATGATCCTTAACCTTGGCAACATAAACTTCTAAACTGATTGAGATCTGTCTCAGACACTTTTTGGTTTACAAAAGGACTAATTCAAATACAGTTTTATCTTCCAACATAAGAAAACCTAGAATGAATGACTCAAAGGTTGTAGAGGGTTAAACAACCTCTCCAACGTGCAAACCTCTGCCTTATAATTCCTAAGTATTTCTGACTGTAGATGGTACTAGGATAGGATCATTTTACCATGGAAATGAAACCCGTGTCCTTTCCTTTGGGTTAATCTTGAATCCCTGGTGAAGTGAAGGCAGTCTCTAAGAGGAGTGCAGTCCATCCAACTGCTGCAGTGCTCCTGTGTACTACTGGGACCATCCCGGAGAGTGGCAGACACGATGCGAACCGTGAAAGGACGCAAAGAGTACAGAGTGCATGCTTCCATCTCTATAGGAAGGTCAGGAACGCTGTTACGGGGAGCAGGGTTAGAATGATGGGGATATAGCCCGGGAAGGGGCAGAGGAGCTTTCTGTGCCACGGGAAATGTCCTAAATCTCAACCAGGACACGGTTAGATAAAAGTGCAAATATGGGTGAAAATTCATTAAAGCTGTATAGTTAAGATTTGTGCACCTCACTGTAAAACTTACTTCAAATGTCTAAAAGACTGGAGTCTGCAGCCACACACTTGAGGAATAACACTTTCCTTAGTCCCAACTCCTGTTTAAGTAAGACAGAGAAAGATTCCACAGTGCGGGTCGGATGTCTTGCGGCTGTAACATGTAGCAGCCTCCAAGCGGAGGTTCTCCCTTCATCGCTGTGTCACCTTAGATGTTTTTCCTTTGTTTAAACACCAAATATTTTAAAAGTTGTTTAGAAATGTGTTATGTGAAACACAAGGTGGTTTAATTGGGACGTCATTTCCTAATTAATAAAATCTAATTTCAGTTTTAT
The DNA here is from genome assembly GCF_000001405.40 of Homo sapiens. Lineage (NCBI taxonomy): Eukaryota > Metazoa > Chordata > Mammalia > Primates > Hominidae > Homo > Homo sapiens. Next base: position 1,289,189 of record NC_000004.12, read on the forward strand.
TTTGGAAAGGAGGGAGACGGGTGGTGTTTGAAAGGCTGAGAATGTGAAGTGGCTGAAATGAAGGCAGCGCACGACCTGGATGCCAGCGCTGCCCGCCCTGCAAGGAGAGGGCGGAGAGGCCACACGCTTCTCATGCTTCGGGAGTTTCTGTCCATAAATCAGTTTTAGGTACTGGGCCTTTCCTCTTCCGTTGGGAAGTCGGAGGTTCCACATCAGGATTCCAGCAGCTGTAAATCGGTCAAAATAAGGCCAAAGAAAAATAGCTGGCTACAGGCGCATGCGGCCAGGCGTTTTGTTGGCGTTGCCCTTGGTACCGCAGGCACGAGGGACCCACAGGGGACCACCCCGCGGGAGCCCCAAGTAACTGGACGGACGCCAAGTCCCCCAGCCCGCTCGGCCCCAGCTCCACCCGCCCGGGCCGCAGCCCGCACCCCATCGGCCCGCCCCGGGCCAGGAGCATCCCCAGCTCCGGCGTCTGCGGCCTGAACCCGGTAGCGAATTCAAGGTGGAAACCGCCAGCCGGGGCTATCGTTGATTGGCTGAACGAGAGGAAACCCGGCAGTGATTGGTTCGCGCCTTCTTCCGCCTCCGGCCGACTGGGCGGATACGATTGGTGCAGGGGCATCGGCCCGCCCCCATCCTGCTCCGGCCGGCGCGTGGCGTCATTTCCCGGCGTGCAGCGCGCTCGCGCGTCCCCCGCCCGCTAATGTTTTGGCCGCTTCAAGATGGCGGTGCAGGAGTCGGCGGCTCAGTTGTCCATGACCCTGAAGGTCCAGGAGTACCCGACCCTCAAGGTGGGCGCCTGCGCCGCGCAGGCTGAGGGCAGCGAAGGCGTCTCCAGCCAGTGCCCTCGGGCCGCGAGGGGCCGCCCCGGGAGGGCCAGCGGCGAGGGCGGCGGGAGCTGGGCGCGGCCTCGCGGGGCCGTGCGGGCTTCTCAGGGGCGCCCGGTCCGCGCCGGGCAGGTGTGGCGGGGGCGGCGGCTTTGGCCCTGCCAGGCGCCCGACTGTGGCCCCTCTGCTTGAAGAGCTGCGTGAGCCGAGCCAGCGACGACTCTGGCAGCGCTAAGGGTGGCGAATTTGGGGCTGGGGTGGAAGCCGGAGTTTGCGGGGCGTGGGGTCTCTGGCGCCCAGGCAGACGGAGTGCGCGGCGTGCCCAGCCAGTGCCCGGCCGCCCTCCCGGGAGCCCAGGGCTGGGAGGTGCCGGCTGCGCCGGTCGCTAGTTAGGAACTGTAGGGAGAAACCTCACGGCCTGATGGCACCCAGCGACCTTTTTGATGGGCGTCACCAAACCTGAAATACAGCTCTTGCCGTCCGGCTGCCGGTTGCGTGACCTTGGGTGGTCACCTAGCCACGTCGCACTTCTTAGAATGAAATTTGTGCTCCTAGTAGAAGGAGCCGATACTTGTTCTTTACCTAGTTAGTAGAGGATTTGATATGAAGCACCTGGGAAGGAATTCCTTAAAAGATCAAGGTCATAGCTTTCCTAGAGCTGCGGCTGAGCTTCGTGGTTCTGTGTTGCCTTCCTGGAGAGCTGCGTAGTTTCTCTCTCCTCCCAGAGCGCCCTGGTGTTCACGTCCGTCTGAGGACGGACGGTGTGGCGACAGGTGTGGAGGATGCAGTATGGCCAGGTTGCTGTGCGTTCCCCCAGCCCCAGGGCAGTTCAGCGAAGGGCTGAAGAGCACAGGCTGTGAGCCATCCTGCTGGGGTGTGAATCAGGCTTCTCTGTATTCGTCCTTACTGGGAGACATCAGGGCCCGGTTGGTGACTGTTTATTCTTGTCAGGTTTAAGCAGTGGTAGCGCCTGTGTCACCTCAGGGTGAAATGAGTGACCACGTATTGTTTCAAACAGTGCCTAGCATTCATTAAAAGGTCCCTGCTACAGTTAGCGCTGCTGAAGTCAGGCTGTACCCTGCTGTAGCTGGTCTTCATAGGAAAGCAGAAGCAAGCTTCTCCTCCTCTTTATTAACTAGCGGTTTATTTCATATTTTTAAAAAGAAACGGGGTTTCACTGTTGCCTAGGGTGGTTTTGGATTCCAGGACTTAAGCGATCCTCCTGCCTTTTGACCTCCCAAAGCGCTGGGCTGACAGGTGTGAGCCACGCGCCCGCCACACTAATGGTTTCGCAGTGGGGTTTCATGGTGCTTGTGTGTCCAGCACTTCTTTTGATCAAGGAAGGGAGGGCAATGTTGCTGACGTTACCAAAGGTCTAGCCTCTTGCTAGATCCCTCCAAGATGTAGGTGGTTGGTTTTTAATACTCAGTGACATTGGTGGATCTCTGTTGGTTTAGAGATGGAGACCCTGCAGCTGAGAGAAGTCTATACAAGGACATTGTGGTGATATTAGTAGGGAGTCCTAACCACTGACCACTTTGTCTCACGCAGTGCACCTCCAGGCCTGTCATTTCAGCTAACACACAAGAAGGTTTGAAGATCAGAACCGTGGTGGTTTGTCACTTCTGGTACTGGCTGGTGAATGTGGGAAACACTAGATAGGAAAAGTTTCCAGAAATCCTTTCATTGTGTATTGAAGGAACTAGGAAGGGAGATGGAAGGTCTCCGGAAAGGATTCTTCTTCAGGTCTTCTGCTGTTTTGTAATCGTGAATGTAATTTGTATTCCAGAGTGATTGCATAGCTTCTGATTAAAATAGTCATGCAGATAGTCATACAGGTAAAGAAATATTATAGTGTCATAATTTCTCTGTTGACACTTGTGTCACTACTGAGTTAAAACTTTTTTTCATAGAAGTTTTCAGGAGTGATTCCTAGTGGATAATGGAGGTGTTTTGCTGGGAAACTAGGGATCCTTGATTTAGAAGCATTTATTGGTATAGAACTAAACAGAACATGCTGAGCTCACAGCTCAAGAGCTGCACTCTTCAGTTTCCAGGAGGGGCCAGTGCAGATGTCAGAGAAGGGACCGAGGGCTGCAGGACCGGGGTTGTGGAAGGTGGGGGGTGGATGTTCTGCTTCTCTAGTCTGAGAGCAAGTCCTCCTGCAGGGTGGTAGCAGCTGGCATGCTCTGGACTGGATCTTCACCTGGTAATAGTTAAACTGCTTTCCTGCCATGTGAGTCCTCCACAGACTCACAGGGGATTCCTTTCTCTTCAGAGGGCTTGGTAGCCCTAGGTGGGTTTCAGCAGTAACACTTGGGATGTCTGCTTCCTCACAGCGTCAGGGCGGCTGGTGGGGCTCCTGGGTGCCTGGCAGGTACTTATTTTTCTATTTTCCTGGTGAAGTGGGAAGAGAATGGAACAGACGTGAATTGCTGCAGCCAACACGCACTGACCTTGGGCACCTCTGTCGTCATGAGCTTCTATTTCCACCAAAGGGGTGGACCGGCCTGCGAACGTTTGGGCTGGAGGAGCCTTTGTCGGTGGTGGGGGCTGTGCAGTCTAGGATGTCTAGCAGCATCCCTGGTGTCTGCCTGCCAGATGCCAAGAGCATGCCCCCAAAATGTCTTCAGACATTGCTAGATGTGCCCTGGGGGCATGCACACACCCCTGAGAATTGCTGGGCTGGATCCTGCTTTAAGGGACTTGTTTCTTCCTCTTACCAAACGGAGGTGTGGCTCATGAGGACTCAGCCTTGCGTCCTGGCTGTGGCTGTGTCTTTTTGCTGTCAAATGCTGTGAACGCCGTCCGGTGTAGGGTGGTGGGTAATGCCTTGTGGGGGAGGGGAAAGATGAATAACTCACCATCTTTTTTTTTTTTTTTTTTCTTTTTTGAGACGGAGTCTCACTCTGTTGCCCAGGCTGGAGCGCGGTGGCACAATCTCAGCTCACTGCAACCTCTGCCTCCCAGATTCAAGCAATTCTCCTACCTCAGCCTCCCGAGTAGCTGAGATTACAGGCACCCGCCACCATGCCCAGCTAATTTTTTGTATTTTTTAGTAGAGACGTGGTTTCTCCATGTTGTCCAGCTGGTCTTGAACTCCTGACCTCAGGAATTCACCATCTTTCAATTCAACATGCATAGTTCACCATCTTGAATTGGAAGCCCTTGCTTTCATTATTTTGTAAAAGGTTTTTTTTTTTCTGATTATAAAAGTAATTTGATGAGTTGGGTGCGGTGGTGTGCGCCTGTAGTCCCAGCTAATTGGGAGGCTGAGGCGAGAGGATCACTTGAGCCAGGAGATCCAGGCTGTGGTGAACCGAGATTGCACCACTGCCCTCCAGCCTGGGTGACAGAGTGAGACCCTGTCTCAAATAATAAATAAATAAAAGTAATTTGTTTTTTCTTCAAGTTACCCTGCTGCACAGAGAGAACTTCATTAACATTTTGGTGTATTTACTCCTACTATTTCCCTTCAGATAGCCGAAGAAAAATAATAGTTTAGAGAATTTCACATGGGTGTCTGCACAGCCCAGGGCGGGAAGTGGTGTTCATCACCTGGAGACCCTGGTCTGGACCTGGCTCCTCTCTGTGAACCCCACCTGGGCCCACCTCTCCTCTCCTGGAGCCCCAGCAAGGGTTCCCAGCTCCAGTGAGTCCTCTCACACCCAAGGTGGTGATGCTGTCCTCTCCCCAGAGGACAGGCTGAGAAACACCGGGCTTGTGGTTGCATTCTCAGGTGTCTGAATTCTCTACAGGAAGATTTGCATGTTCTGCCTTTGGTTTGATGACAGTCTGGTTGCCCAGGCATGGCCCTGATGCCTCACAGCCTGGGTCTGTGCCTGTGGTAGGGAGTTCGGGTGCCAGCTGTGTGCTGAAGTTGTAACTGCTCCTGCGCCTTTTGTAGTTTTCTTCACTCCATCTTGGCTGGATTTGGGAGGATCATGTGTTCTCGAGTGTGAGAAACACAGGCAACCACGAAGCGTTTGACTTACTGACACACACATTGGGTTGGACCCTGGTGATGCCGTGTCTGAGGAGTCTTAGGCCGGGTCTCCACCTCTTCTGTGGCCGGCTTTTTCGATGTACTTTATCTGCAGTAACGTCACAGCCCTCCAGAATCCGCCCGGTCTCTAGAGCACAGTGGAAATTCCTTCTGCCCAGAAGAGCCATGGTCTGCCCTTTGTGGCTCCCAGCTCCACTCCCCTCGCCTCTCCCACCGTTTGCTGGTGGTTTGGCCCTGGGCTGGCTTCCGCGGCCTCCGCGCTGGCACAGGTCTTCCCTCCCAGGCCTGGGCCTTTCCAGCTGGTTGGGCAAGGCTGAGATAAGGATGTAGACTTGAATTCACTGCTAGCTGGGGGGTTGGTTTTGTTTTTGTTTTTTTAAGTATTATTTTTTTAACACATTTCAAGTCAAGAAAGTGCTTTTTAATGCCTGATTCACCGTAATGGCTGGGCTAGGTTGGAGGCAGTACTGACGTGAGGCCTGGAGCGGCCCTGGGACCTAAGCAAGGCACCGCCGCCGGGCTGCAGAGCAGGGCTGCAGGTGCACTTAGCTTCTCCCATACCCCCCTCCGCAGCAGTGGTCTGAGAGCCTCCATCGGCCAGGTACGGTCAGGCCCTGCACAGTCAGGCCCTGGGCTAGCATGATGGGGAGACAAGTGAGGCCCCTGTCTACGCTCCGGTGGGAGGGAGGCATCAGCACAAGCACACACAGACATCTCAGATCCTTTAAAGACGCTGATGAGGTTGAGGTGATGTTGGACAGTGGCAGGGGACGGGGGTGGGGCCGGGGGCAGGGGCAGGGGCAGGGGCGGGGGTGGGGATGAGCTTCCTCCAGTGAATGCGATATTGTGAGCTGGTTGGCGGAGCTAAGTTTTGGGGTGAGGCTCTGTGGACCGTGTTGAAGTCCTGGCCGGCTCTCACCCCAGTAGGCACACAGGCACACAGCACCATTGGGGTGATGTGGCTGGGGGTGTCCCAGAGCTGTGCAGGGAGGGTCTCACAGTGAGACTGGGTGCTGGGCAGTGACTCGGTCTGTGGGTACAGGGGTCAGCAGAATGGGAAGCAAGCCCAAGGAGACACATTGGCACCAGAATGAAGACAAGGCCGGCCGGTGCCTGTAGCATGTGACTGCCCCGTCTGCAGAGAGGCTGTGCTGCGAGCCCCACCCTCTGGGGGCTTCAGGCCGAGTGGGGATGTCTGGGTGCTGACCCAGGCATCGCAAAGCACACTTCCTGCCGGGGTAACTGCTGATGATTTTTAGGTCTGTTATTTCAGAATCGTTATAGCTAGGGGCCATTATTTTGAAAACCTGAACAAAAAGAATTATTCACTGTGTTAATACCACATTTAGTGACTGTTGAGCTGAATGTGGCTGAGCAGAAGAAAGCACCTGCTGTGCTGATGGCTGACTGTGGACCCGGACCGGGACCCTGAGTGCTGCCCCACTCGAGGGAGGGGCCCAGAGCAGCCTCCTTCCTCTCCTCCCAGGCGAGCCTTTCATACCTGTCCTTCTCTCAGACTTTCCCTCCTACTTCATGCTCGCCCATGCCTGTCACGCAGACCCTGCCTGACCTGCACCTGCTCCCACACCCGTGGTGGATGAGCCCCATCACCCGTACCTGTACCCCCCTCACCCGCTCCTGTACCCCCTCACCCGCTCCTATACCCCCTCACCCACACCTGTACCCCCCTCACCCGCTCCTGTACCCCCTCACCCGCGCCTGTGCCCCCTCACCCGTGCCTCTGCCCCCCTCACCCGCGCCTGTGCCCCCCTCCCCAGCGCCTGTGCCCCCTCACCCACGCCTGTGCCCTCCTCACCCATGCCGGTGCCCACCACACCTGCGCCTTTGCCCCTTCACCTGTGTCTGCACCGCCCTCACCTGTGCTGCCTTCACCTGCACCCCCTCACCCACACCTGTGCCACCCTCGCCCGCACCTGTGCCCCCCTCACCCACGTCTGCACTGCCCTCACCTGTGCTGCCCTCACCTGTGCCCCCCACCTGTGCCTGTGCCCCCCTCACCTGCTCCTCCCTCACCTGCTCCTCCCTCACCTGCTCCTGCACCACCTTCACGTGCGCCCCCCACCTACATCTGCACCTCACCTATGCTACCCTCACCTGTGCCCCCCCACCCGCACCTGTGCCCCCCTCACCCACGTCTGCACTGCCCTCACCTGTGCTGCCCTCACCTGTGCCCCCCACCTGTGCCTGTGCCCCCCTCACCTGCTCCTCCCTCACCTGCTCCTCCCTCACCTGCTCCTGCACCACCTTCACGTGCGCCCCCCACCTACATCTGCACCTCACCTATGCTACCCTCACCTGTGCCCCCCCACCCGCACCTGTGCCCCCCTCACCTGTGCCTGTGCAGCCGTCACCCATGCCATTCCTCACCTGTACCCCTCACCCATGCCTGTGCCGTTCCTCACCCGTGCCTGTGCCCCCCTCACCCGTGCCTGTGCCTCCCTCACTTGCGCTGTGCCCCCCTCACCTGTGCTGTGCCCTTTGCCTTGTGGCTGCTCCTGCACTTGGTTCTCTCTCTGTTGGTCGGTTTTCCCATTGGCTGTGCAGCTCCCTGGTGTGCACGTGGCTCTGAGTCTTCCTCTCGTGAAAACCCCTTCCTTGCCCCCGTCCTCCTCCAGCTACTACTCCCTGTCTCTGCCCCTTCATGTCTCTCTTCCTGTTTTACCTAAATCAGATTTTTGCCCCCCAACACTCCACCCAGATGTTCCTCTTGAGGACAGGATGATGCTCCTGAAAGCGGTCAGTCCACAGCGGACCCCACTGCCTCGAGACGCTCCCATCACTCGGCTCCCGTGACACCATCCTCTGGGCTCTCCCCACCCCTCGCTGCATGTCCTCACTTGCCTATGCTGTCTTCTCTAGTCTTGGAGGCCTTTTGTTTTATGTCACCAGCCAGCCCTCCAGAGGTTGTGTGGCTTCACAGACGGTCTCCAAGCTCCTGTCCCCACACTGCTGCCCTCCCCAGGCCTCTCTCCCTGAGGCCATCCCGTGTAGTCACCTCCCGGAGCTCTCTTCGCATGTCTGGAAGGCAGTTCAAAGATACGATACCAGGCGCAAAACCAAATGCCGCATCTCGGCCTTGGGGCCCCAGACGAGCCCCAGACCTGCCTTACTAAGCCACCCTTCCCAAGTCAGTTGACAGCGATGTCCCCCGGCACTTGTTCAGTGACAGCCGAGAACTCGGAGGTTTTCTCGATTTCTGTTTCTCACGTTTATCCTTGAGTCCACGATGGCTGCTGGGGCTGCGGCCTTCGCGGCCAGGAGGAGGGTAAGGGGGAATCAGTGCCGCCCTGCGTGGCCAGCTCCCTGCGTGGGGGCCTTAGTGGACATCCTCCCAAGCGTTTACACTTCAGCTCATTCCCCAGAGCACGGGGCTGGCCATTTCTAGCTTTGGAGGAGCCTGAAAAAGTACGTGCGTATGTGTGTGTGTATACATACATATAGAGAGAGAGCACGCGCTTGAGTGTGGGCTCATTGCTGCCCTAAATAAAATTAGGATGTGGTTCCTTTTGCCCTTTGTCCCTTGCCTGCCTGGTTTCCTTTGCAGCACTCGTCACAGTCTGACGCGGTCGCCTGCATCTCTCTGTGCTTTGGTTGGGCGTCTCCTTTAGAGCGTCTGCTCTGCGAGGGCACGGGCCGTCCTTTGTCGTCGTTCACGTCACACCCACGAGTGCCTGGCACAGGAGTCAGTCAATGGCTGTTGGCCGAACCAATTTCTCCCCCGTCTGTCTGGGAAATTCCTAAACTTCGCATCTCACTTTTGTCCACTTGCCGCATTCTAGAGTATGTCTTGGTCTCATGGCCTGTGCTCTCATCTGGCTGTGGTCAGCCTCTTGCGTTTCCTTTCTCCCTTGCCTCCACCCCTCGCGATGTAGCCCCATCCCCTGCCCTTCTCTGCTTCCCATTGTTCTAGAACATTCCAGCATGGAAACCCCGCTGTGCAAGGCCCCTGCACTGGCCACAGAAGCCGCACCTATCTGCTGAGGAACCCGGTTGCTGCCTGGAGTGGGTGTCGAGTACTGCCTGGCAGCATAGCCATGCTTCTTGAGGCATTTTAGCACCCTGTACCCCAGGTACTGTTCCATATGCCCCTCCTTCTCCATGAGCCCCCCATGCCTGCCCCGTCCTTGTGCTCTGCCCGCGGCTTGGCCCTGTCTGTCGCCTGCCTGCTTGTGCTCACTGTTTCCTTTCTTTTACTGGAGATATGTCATTTGTGCCCCGCCCAAGGCCAGCCTTTGTTCATGCACCAGACCCCCTGCCCCATCCCTGTGACCTGAAGAGGCATGTGCCGTCTTCTGGTTATCCACGAAGAGGCACACGCGCCGTCTTCTGGTTATCCACGAAGAGGCACACGCGCCGTCTTCTGGTTATCCACGAAGAGGCACACGCGCCGTCTTCTGGTTAACTGTGTGCGGGACCCACAGGTCCCCTCTGTCTGAGCCAGCCCTGCCTTGGGGTCTCTGGAATTGCTTCTCATCTGGTTTTACCCCCATCACAGTGCTATAGTCAGGGCACCAGGTAACCCCAAGACACTGCTGAGACCCATGATGGATTCTTGCTGCCCATCTCGACCTCTCACAGGGCTGGAACACAGCTCACCCCCTCGGGCTCCTAGAGCGCCATCCTCGCGTTTCCCCCCGGGCTCAGTCCTTGGCCCTGGGTGTTGCTGTGAGCACCGCTGCCTTGGTGCTCTCACAGGGTCTAGTGGACTGATAGGACCCTCTGTGTATACTGATGACTCCCAGGCAGGTATCTTCCCAACCCCAGAGCCCTGTATCCAGTAGCCTGTAAAACATACCCACTTGGCAAGGCACTTTGGCATTAAAATTATTATTATTAAAATTATTATTATTTTTAGAGATGGGATCTCACTCTGGCACCCAGGCGGGAGTGCAGTGGCATGATCACAGCTCACTTCAGCCTTGACCTCCTGGGCTCAGGTGATCTTCCTGCCTCAGCCTCCCGGGTAACTGGGACCACGGGCGCCTGCTTCCGTGTCTGGCTAATTTTTTTATTTGTAGAGATAGGTTCTAGCTCCGTTGTCTAGGCTGGTCTCCATCTCTTGGGCTCAAGCATTCCTCCCTCCTGGGCGTCCAAAAGTGTTGGAATAACAGGTGTGAGCCACCATGCCCAGCTCCTTGGCATATTTAGATCTGAGCTTATCATCTTAACACCTGCTGCCCAAACCAATTCTACCAGTCTCCCTTCTCTTCGGGAAGGGCAGCCCCTCCATCTCCCTTGGTCAGGCCAGAACCTTCAGGTTGGCCTTGATGCCTCTGTTGTCACAGCTCATGCCCAGCCCGTCTGCCCCTCCACCCTGGCGTCAGGACATGCCCAGGCCCAGCTGCTGCTGCTCTTCCCACCTCTGCCCCTGCGGCTCAAGTCGCATCTCTCTCTGGAATATTGAATAGCCTTCTGGCTGCTCCTGCTCTGCTCATGCCCACCCCGGCTGCCCCAGCGCCAGATCCTGTCGTCTTTTTGTTCTAGGAGTTTCCTGACCTGGGGATGAAGGCCAGGGTCGTTACAGTGGCTCCCAGGCCCTTTGCCCTGTAGGGTGCTGGGCCCAGTGGCCTTTCTGCCGCCATTCAGCCAGGCCAGCATGCCGAGCCCAGGGTTTTACTGCCACCTTCCTCTGTCTGGAGCGCTCCTTCCACAGATGTCCATGGTCCCATGTCCTCACCTTCAATCTTTGCCAACGTCCGTGGTCCCATGTCCTCACCTCCTTCAATCTTCGCTGAGCTGTCAGCTTGTGAAGCTTCTCTGACTCCACTGTTGAAACTGCAGCCCCAGCATCTCCCACTTCTGCCCTTTTCCCTCGTGAGTCGTGACCGCTGTCTCACATAACGGTATTTTGCTTGTTTCTGACCACTGGGATTATAAGCTCTTTTGAAGGATAGAGAAGAAATAAATTCTCCAATTAACAAATGAACAAAATAATATTAAATATTATTTTGGCAATTCTGTCTAAAGCAGTAAGAATTGAAATAGAAGTAAATGTAACCATTGAGAAAGTCAGCACAATAACGGGGCATACAGTAAGTGCACGAAACCCAGTCGCCACCCTCTATATCACCGCCAGCCAGTTAGAACACATCCCATTCACCATAACCCAAAGCAGCAGAGACAGACGATCCAACAGCATCCTTAGCAGGCAGCCTGACTGCCACGGAGCTGTTTCAGGAAAGGCCCGAAGGAAGATTGGCACTAGCAGAGGATGCCGTGTTTCTGCATGAAAACCGTAATGATATCATATTGTTCTTTTTGTGTTTGATAAATATTTCTTATTTATAATGAAAGGGACACCAAGAAGGGCTGGGCCTTGCCAGACACCACAGCCAGGTATGTAACTGCCAAAGTTGTGACCTTGTGGCAGAACAGCTGGCTCCCTTTGAAATACTTTATGGAAAGGTGAGAGAGGAAGCTCTGCTGATGTTGTGATTATGAACTGACACTCCTGCCCGCTTGCAGTCTCTGTTGTTTGGTCAGGGAGTGACCTGGGGATGAGGGCACTGGACCGCGTGGGGCACGGCCCCGGCTCTTCCGTGCTGCCGGCTTCCGAGGCTGGGGCTGCGTGGCGTGCGTGTGTGCCGCTGCCGCAGGTCGCATACCCTTTCCAAGACGGACCAGTGGCTTTAAAAGGTTCCTGCAAGGAAGTGGCTGGCTAAGGCTGGGCCTAACTGGGCGTGCACACAACAGGGAGCGCAGAGCTCAGGGCCGACAGCACTCTTGCCACTGCGAGCTTTGTAGGGCGCAACATCAATCTGGTTACATCCCCTCAGAAGTTGACTGGAAGTGTCATTTTTTCAAGAAGCCTCTTAGGGGATTCGAAGCGTTTTTCCTTGGTGAGCCTCCCTCAGGGTATGTGCTGTGCTTGGGGAGATTAGCTCAGGATGGCAGGAAGCCACCGTGATTACATGCCCCGCACCAGAACATGAGACTGGCCCCTCCAGGACGGAGAGGGATGTAAACTGCCACCCAGGGCTTAATCCAGCACTTCTGGCCCTGTGATGAGCTTCGTGATCAATATTTAGAAACCTCTTCTGGTTAATTGCAAAAGACAAAGAGCCTCATGCATTGGGGAAATTCTTCCTTCCCGTGCTGGTGAAAACATGATGATGACACACTGAAATGCGTTGCGTTTTGTCAGCAAATTCTGTCAGAAGCACGGCAAACGCTGGAGAAGGTTTGAGGAAGCGCATCCTGAAGCTGATGGCACCGTGTGGGGGCAGCGGGCGGGCAGGTGCAGACGTTTCACGCATGTCTCCACTCACACTGCTTGCCACATTCTGTTTCAGTGACGAAATCAGGGAGGATTACTGCTGTGAGTCACCAAAGGGGAAGATGTACTGGAGGAGATGTAATTTAACATTCGCTAAGTAGAGAAATCCCGTGAACATAAAAAGCTGTAATGCAACAAATTACTTAGGAAAAATTGGGGAGATGTGATAAATAAAAGTTTAATTCTTTGGTATAACCAGAAAAGATAGAACCAGAATTTAAAAGCAAATACCAAGCCAGGCACAGCGGCTCATGCCTGTAATCCCAGCACTTTGGGAGGCTGAGGCAGGAGTATCACTTGAGCCAGGAGCTCAAGGCTGCAGTGAGCCATGATTGTGTCCCTGCACTCCAGCCTGAGCAGCAGAGTGACGCCCTATATGAATGAATGAATAAGTAAGTGAATAAGTAAAAATAAATAAGCACTGGACAAGGGACACAGACAAAATGTGTAGAAGGAAAAAAGTGTTAGGTTGAATCATATACAGTTGTTATTTTTGTAAGTTAAAAGTGATGACCGAATAGACCTATAACAGGTGAAGTTACTACAAAAAACCTCACAAAGAAAAGCCTGAGACCAGATGGTTTCACTGATGAATTCTGTTAAACATTTAAAGAAGGATTTATACCAACTCTTCTAAAAACAGTTAAGGAGGGATTACATCCCACCTCCTTCTATGAGGCCAGTATAACTTTGATATAACCTTGAACCAGACAAAGACATCACAAGAAAACCATAGACCATTGTTCCAGATGAGAGAAAATAGATGCCAAAATATTCAACAAAATCTTAGAAAACTAAGAAAATCTAAGAAAACAAAATATAGAAAGGATTATGTGTCAGGACTAAGTAGGATTTCCCCCAGAAATGCAAAGTTGGTTCAACGTGTGAAAATCAATGTCGTGTATCATATTAATAGAATGAAGGACAACAACCACATAATCATCTCAATAGATGCAACAAAAGTACTTTACACTGTGAGAAATCAGTGTTTGCTGTTTAAGTTGCCCAGTCTGTGATATTTTTGTTACAGCAGCCTGAGCTGACTAAGACAGCTGCTCAGAACAGGGAGAAAATGTTTGCCAGTCATATATCTGTTAAGGGTTTAGTATTCAGAATAGGTTAGGAACTCTTCTAGTTCATTAATACAAAGGCAAAAGAAAACTTGTTTTTTTGAGTTGGATTCTCACTCTGTCACCAGGCTGGAGTGCAGTACAGTGGCGCCATCTCGGCTCACTGCAAGCTCCGCTTCCCGGGTTCACGCCATTCTTTTGCTTCAGCCTCCCAAGTAGCTGGGACTACAGGCACCTGCCACCATGCCCGGCTAATTTTTTTGTATTTTTAGTAGAGACGGGGTTTCACTGTGTTAGCCAGGTTGGTCTCGATCTCCTGACCTCGTGATCCGCCCGCCTCAGCCTCCCAAAGTGCTGGGATTATAGGCGTGAGCCACCGCGCCCAGCCAAGAAAACATTTTTTAAATGAGCACACAATTTTAGCAAACTTCTGCAAAGATATACAAATGGCCACTAAGCACATCATTAATCCTTAGGGAAATACAAACCAAAACCACAGTGAGGTGCTGCTTCCTACCCCACCAGAAGGGCTGTAGCAAAAACAATGGCGAGTTGTTGGGTGTGAATGTGGGGAATTGAAATCCTCATACGCAGCCACCTCGGAAAACAACCTGGCCGTTCTTCAGGTGACACACGGAGTTACCATAGGACCTGGCAGCTCCCCTCCTCAGCTTATCCCCAAGACCAGTAGAAACTCTTAAGAATGTCATCCTCGGGCCGGGTGTGGTGGCTCATGCCTGTAATCCCAGCACTTTGGGAGGCTGGGGCGGGTGGATCATGAGCTCAGGAGATTGAGACCGTCCTGGCCAACATGGTGAAACCCCGTCTCTACTAAAAATACAAAAAAAAAAAAAAAAAAAAAAAGCCGGTCATGGTGGCGTGCACCTGTAGTCCCAGCTACTTGGGAGGCTGAGGCAGGAGGATCACTTAAACCGGGGAGGCAGAGGTTACAGTGAGCTGAGATCGCACTACTGCACTCCAGCCTGGGCGACAGTGAGACTCTGTCTCAAAAAAAAAAAAGAATGTCATGTCCTTCTCGATAGCAGCCAAAGGTCCATCAGTTGTGAATTCCTAAACAAATAGGTATACGAATACCACGGAAGACCATTCAGCCATGAAGAGGAGTGGAGCGTCGCTGTATGCCACATCACAGGTGAACCTGGTAAACATGCTAAGTGAGAAAAGCCAGATACAAAAGTCCACATCACGTGTGATTCCATTTATATGGAATTGGTTGGTGGTTGATTGCCTGGGTCTGAGGGGACTACAGCGGGTTCCTTTTTTGGAGTGATGAAAATCTAGAAGTAGAGTGGTTTGTACAACCTTGTGCTTATTCTAAAAACTACTAAATTGTACATATTAAAGGGGTGAATTTTACGGCCTGTGAATTGTATCAGTAAAAATTGGTAAAATTAAAAATGACATTGGGATTTTTTGTATGATTCAGCTTAATAGACAACTGAAGAGCATGCTTGCACAGTGCCGGCAGGGCAGGGGGGTCCGGCAGGGCAGGGTGGGGGTCGGGCAGGGCAGGGGGGTCCGGCAGGGCAGGGTGGGGGTCGGGCAGGGCAGGGGGCGTCCGTGGTGTGTAGCTCTGCACACAGGAGTCGGGAGTTTTTAGTCCAGGTCCATAGAAGTAGAATACCTGGGTTGAAGGGTGAGGCCCAGGTTCTGTAGCTCCCGTCAAACCCCACGCACCCTCCTCCCCCTGTCAGTCGTGTGGCTCCAGTTTCCTTCACCTCACCAGTGTGTTTTCTGTGAGCCGCATGTGGCTGTTGAGCACTTGAGATGTTGCTGGTCCAAATCGTCGTGTGCTGTCAATGTAAAGTATGCCCTAGCTTTCAAAGGTTTAGTACAAAGAGGGTAAAGAATGTAAAATATCTAATGATTATTTATTGTTTGTTTATTTTGTATTTTTTTTTGTAGAGACGGGGGTGTCTCTATGTTGCCCAGGCTGGTCTCCAACTCCTGGCCTCAAGCAGTCCTCCCACCTTAGCCTCCCAAAGCACGGGGATTCCAGATAGGAGTCACCATGCTTGGCCCTGAAAATTACTTATTTATTTATTTGAGACGGAGTCTCGCACTGTCGCCCAGGCTGGAGTGCAGTGGCGTGGTCTCTGCTCACTGCAAGCTCCGCCTCTTGGGTTTACACCATTCTCCTGCCTCAGCCTCCCGAGTAGTTGGGACTACAGGCACCCGCCACCACGCCTGGCTAATTTTTTTGTATTTTTAGTACAGACGGGGGCATCGTGTTGGCCAGGATGGTCTCCATCTCCTGACCTCATGATCCACCCACCTCGGCCTCCCAAAGTGCTGGGATTACAGGCATGAACCACCACGCCCGGCCCCTGGTAATTTATGTTAAGTGTTTAAATGAACATATTCGGGATAAATTGGGTTAAATAAAATATATTAAAACACATTTCATGTGTTTCTTTGTACTATGGCTACTAGAAAATTTGAAACTCTACAAATGTGTCTCACGCTATACTCTATTGAATTTGAAACTATACAAATGTGTCTCACGCTATACTCTACTGAATGGTACTGCTTTGTGGCTTTATCCTTTTTTTATCTGCTTCGGTTTCTCAGAGATGTTTTAAAAACAAAAAAGTTGTACTGATGTTTCTGTCTTTCCATAGCCATCCAGATTTATGATGATTATTAATACCGTGGACTTCTCTTCACCATCTTATTTTGCTTTCTATTTCCCATGCTTTTGTCTTCATTTTTTCATTTTTTTTTTGGTGGATCGTTAAGGTTTTCTTTGTTCCAGTTAATTTCCTCTTGCGGTTTGCCCAGTTCACAGCCATGCTCCACTTGTGGCAAATCAAAAAGGTCTCCACACATTGCCAGGTGTCCCCTGGGGAGCAAGTGGTCCCTGTGGAAAGCCGCTGCACTAGGTGAGCCCGGCCCTGGTGAGGGTGCCTTGTGAGTGGAGCCTGCTTGTGCTGCTGTGCCCCGCTGCTTCCAGGCGGCGCGGCCCTCCGTCTGATTGCTGGAGGACTCTTCGGTGTGGACACACCGTGGTTTGTTTACCCATCCTGGTCAATGGACAATTGGAACTGTGGTGAACAAGCATTCCTGCACCTGTATGTGGATATTGTATGTCCATTTTTCTTGGGAGTGGAATGGCTGAGTCATCTGGTAGGTGTCTTTACCTTTTAAAGAACTAAGCGCTTTTTCCAGAAGGATCATCAGAACTGCTGCCAGCAAGAGTCCAGGTATCCCGGCTCCACCAGCATGTGGTGGCGGCCTCTTGACTTGGAACTGTTCTTCTGGGTGCCGGGGTTCTCCAGAGAAACAGAGCCAGTGGCACCCACATGTGTGTGTGCGCACGCGTGTGTGGGAGTGTGCGTGCGTGCACGTGCGCACGCGTGCGTGTAAGGAGCTGTGTCACAAAGAATTGGCTGGTGCAGTTATCAAAGCTAAGTCCCGAGCCGGAGACCCAGGAGAGCTGAAATGTAGTTCCAGTCTCAGTCTCAAGGCCTGAGAACCAAGAGGGCTGACAGTAGCAGTTTTAACCCGGAAGCTGTCGGGCGGGCGGGAGATCCAAGAAGAGCCAGGGTTTTAGTCCAAGTGCAAAGGCCAGAAAAGACCATGCCCCGCCCACAGGAGGAATTCCTTCTTACCCAGCCTTGCCTTTCCCTTCAGGTCCTCAGCAGATTGGGCAGGGCCCCTCCCCAACGGGGAAGGCTGTGGGCTTTCCTCAGTTTACCCATTCAGATATTAATCCCATCCCAGAATGCTCTCACAGTCACACCCAGAATAATACTTGGCCAAATGTTTGTTGGGGAACCTGGCAGCGTCAAATGGACCCATAAAATTCACCATCGCGCTTTCCGCTGTGGTCTAATTTGCATTTCCCTGATGACTCATGATGTTGCACGTCTTCCTGGAGATTACCTGCCCTTCATAGAACTTCTCTGTGATGTTCCTGTTCAAACCTTTTCCCCATTAAAAAAATGGGATTGCTAACCGGGCGAGGTGGCAGGCACCTGTAGTCCTAGCTACTCAGGAGGCTGAGGCAGGACAATCACTTGATCCCGGGAGGCGGAGGTTGCAGTGAGCCGAGATCACGCTATTGCACTCCAGCCTGGGTGATGGAGTGAGACTGTGTCTCAAGAAAAAAGAAAAGAAAAGTGGGTTGGGGGGCTTGCTTGTCGTAATACTGAGGCTGCAGGAGTTGGCTGTATTCCAGATGGAAGCCCTTTGTCAGCTGTGCTGTGAAGGCCTTCTCCCAGTCCATGGCTCGTGTTCTTAACTTTCTTACATTGTTTTCTGAAGAGCAGAAGTTTTAATTTTGATAAGGTTCAGAGGATGGATTTTTCTTTTACAGTTGGTACATTTTGTATCCTTCTAAGAAATTGTTGCCTGTCTCAAGGATGCAAAGATTTTCTCCCTTGTTTCCTTCTAAGGAGTTTCACAGTTTGAGCTTTTGTGTTTAGGTCCGTGATCCATTCGGAGGCACTTTTCATGGGATGTGAGGTTTGGGTTGAGGGCCATCCCTTCCCTGTCCTGGCTGTTGCAGAGACTGTCCTTCGCCTCAGTTGCCTTGGCCCCTTGGCTGTATGTAAATGGACCCTGCCTGTGGGTCTTTTTCTGGGTTCCCCACCCTGTATTGACCCCTGCATCCATTCCTAGACCAGTGCTGTACTGGCTTCAGCACTCTAGCTTTATGAGAAGTCTGGCAGTCAGGTGCCATTTATCAAAATTCATTAGAATTTTTGTTAACATTTTTTAATTTAAAAAGATACTGTTATATATGTATACAATTTGCCATCAACCATTTTATACAGCAACCACTTTATCCATTTATAGCGTAGACACCGTTCCGTAAGCACACAGTACAGTCATACCATCTATATCACCATGACCCTCTCATCTTGCAAACCGGAAACTCCATAGCCATTGAACAAAACTGCCTCCTCCCCACCCCAGCCCCTGGGATCCACCATTCTGCTTTATGTGTCTAAGAGTTGGACTGTGTGAGATACCTCATACAAGCAGAGTTAGCAGATTTGTCTTTTCATGGTTGACTTATTTCACTTAGCATAATGTCTTCAAGGTTCACCCATGTTACAGTGAGTGAGAGGATTGCCTTCTTTTAAAAGGCTGAATACTGTTCCACTGTGTATTGTGTTACTTGTCCCCAGGGGGACGGAACTCATAATATATAGAGGTAGATGAGGGGATTTATTGGGGAACTGGCTTGTGTGATTACAGAGGCTGAGTCCCGCAGCAGACCTGCACCCCAGAGACCCTGGGAAGCTGGTGCGTGGCTCAGTCCAAAGCCAAAGGCCTGAGAACCCTGGGGGGATGCTGGTGTAAGTCCCAACATCCAAAGGCCAGAGACCCTGGAGTTCTGATGCCAAAGGGCAGGATCCCAGCTCCAGGAGGGACAGGAAATTGCTTATCCTCTGACTTTCTTGTTCTGTCTGGGCCCCAGCGGACTGGATGGCACCACCTACCTGGAGGACATCTTCCCACTCACCCACCAGTCTCCTCTGGAAACACCCGCACAGGCACACCCAGAAGTAATGCTTCACAGGTTCTCTAGGTATCCCAAATCCCATCAAGTTGATGCCTGAAATGAACCATTACCTGTGCAGATACGGTCATGTGTCACTTACATGGAAAAACTCTCAGAAATGCATCGTTAGGCGACTTTGCGGTGTGAACATCGTGGAATGAACTAACAGGAGCCAGATGGTGTGGCTGCTGCACGCCCGCACCGTGGTACAGCCTGTGGCTCCTGGGCTGCAAACCTGTACAGCATGTCACTGCACTGAATACTGCAGGCAGCTGTTCCACGGTGGTGTTTTGCATGGAACACATCGAAACATAGAAAAGGTGCAGTGAGAATGCAGTATCCTAATCTTAATGGGACCACTATCACCTGCACGGTCTGTTGTTGACCAAAATGTCGTTATGTGGTGTGTGACTGCCACGTTTTCTTTCTTCATTCCCCTGGTGATGGACATGTGGGTGGCTTCTGCCTCGTGGCTGCCATGAACACAGGTGTGCAGATACCTCCTGGGACCCTGCCTTCAGTTCTCGTGGCCTACTGGGGACTCAGGAGCCTTGTGCCTAACGTTCTGAGGAATTGCCTCGCTGCTCTACACGCTGCGCCGGGCACGTTCCCTGGCACTGCACGCGTGTCCCGCTGCTCCGCTTCCTGCCGTGGCATAGCTTTCGGTGTTGAGTGATCGCCGTCCTAACGGGCACGAGGTGATGCCTCACGTCTGCACTTGTGTCTCCTGAGCAGTGGTTGGTCGTGTGGAGCATCTTGTCATGTGCCGCTTGGCCATTGGTTTATCTTCTCTGTACAAGTGTCTAAGTCCTTCACCCATTTTAAAATTGGATATTTCCTTTGGTTGTGGAGTTGTAGGCGTTTTTAAAAGTGCATTCTGGATAGTAGCTCCATATGCAGATCCCTGGGTTGCAGCTATTTTTTCCCATTTTTTACTCTGTTGGTTTTTCCTGCTCTGCAGTTTTTAAGTTTGATGTAGTCCCATTTGTCTCTTTCTGTTGCCTGTGCTATTAGGAATCTATTTTTAATGCTTTGCCCCTTTTCACTGTTCTTCCTATGATACGGTCTGTGAGGTTGCCTGTCCTCATTTGGGCGAGCTGTATCTTCTGCGGGCTCATCTCTGCAGTGCTGTTTCTTGTGTCTTAGAATCTGCTGGCCCCTCTCTGCATTGCTGTTTCTTGTGTCTTACATTGTCTTTGTCCACGGATTTATTGTGTTTGATCACTAAGCAATATTTCTGAGTAGTTTTTCTGCCAGGAAGGTTTGTGTGTGCTCAGCTTTCAGCCCTTGCGTATCTGAAAGTAACTTCAGTTTGTCCTCATTCTTGAGTGATAATTTGGCTCGAGTTAGAGTCTTTAGCATTTCTGAAATTCCACTCACTCGGTCACCAAATGCCCTTTAAGGAGCCTGTGAAGGGGCTCTTGCTAACCAGCCAGCCCAGGCCAGTGGAGGGGAGCTTTTAGGGCCCGGAGTCACGTGCTGAGTCCCCCGGAAGAGGAGGCGGTGCTTTCCGGGGCTGGCCTGGCTCCTCTGGGGGGCGTGGATGTGGGGAGGAGCTGCTGTCTGGGTCAGCAGCTGCCCTGCTGGAGGGAGAGGGGGTGCTGCGCTCATCCCCTGAACTCAGATTGGATAGCCCCGGGCCAGCGCTGGAGGAGGAGCAGAGGCAGGGAGGTGGGAGGAGCGTGCGCAGAGGCGTGGGAGGCCTGAGGAGTAAGCGGCTGGATGTGGACCCTGAGAGCCACTGGCAGGGAGGTGGGGTCTTCCAGTTGTGAAGACACCGTGGCCCCGGTGAGCCCCTCCCCGGCCTCCTTCATGCCTGCGTTCTGCGTAACCGTGGCGCGTTCTGGGCAGGGCCTTTTCCCTTGCACTGGGAGCAAAGGGTTCCTGTCTGCAGCACACCAGCTGCCCGGAGCTCTGCCCTGTGCCTGAGCAGCGTCAGCACCGCGGTGAGGCGGACGGCCCGGCAGGGGTTGGAAAGTCCAGAAAGGCCCCGTTCCCGCGTAGAACTTGAATGCAGCTAAGGGACGTCCAGAGAGGCCTTTCCTTTTCTGGTGGCGGTCTGGAATGTGCTGGTGTGCGGATGCTGTGTGGGTTCCTCCGCGCGAGCGAGGGTGGTTGTGCCGCTTTGTCTAATGGTCTAATGGCGAAGACTTTCTGTCCTGCTCTTGTGAGGCGCCTGCACAGGCAGAGCAAAGACTGAGTATATGCCTTGCGTCCTTTAGAAATTCCACCTCGTGGCAGGACACACTCAGATAGGGTCTCCAGTGGGAGAGTCCTGCAGGCCGGTGTCGGGCTGTGGTGTCAGGGCCTCGGGGGGGCCTTCCCCAGTGGGTCTCGTTGAGCTCGCTTGCACTGGTCAGGTATTTATGGAGAGCTGAAGTGCTGTCTGCTGTGACTTCCCATCCACTAGATGTAGAGCAGACGAAAAGAATCTTTCCCGTCTTTCCTAAGCAGTGCCGAATCCTTGGGAGAAATCTTGAAGGCAGGCAGTGTGGATGATGGGACCCCAGGCTGCGTGGCACCAGCAAGCTTGGTTCCAGATGCCACACACGGTGCCTGGCTTCGAGTCCGTCTCCTGTTGTCACTGCTTTGTGAGTTGGTTAAGCGTGTTGTGTCTTGATAGCTTCCCTGCCCTCCTTCTCAACATCCTGACTCATTTGCTCACCAGCAAGGGTGAGTCCTGCTCGGTAGCAGACGGTGATGCTGGCTGCCATTTGCAAAGCCTCCTGTGTGGCTGTCTGGTGTGGACGAGAGCGTGTGCACCCTGTCACCCGCGGTGGGTCCACGTCGGCGCTGGGGGATGTCTGAGTGGAGGGCAGCTGGGGCCAGGCCGAGTGGGGAGTGGCAGCCGGGGGAACGGGCTCAGGGCCGGCCTTGCCACCCGCCTCCTGCCCCTGCTTTCGGGGGGAAAGTGAGTCTAGGGAAGAGCCCTGCTGTGTGGCTCCTTCCTCGGCTGAGGCCAGTCCTGTCTCTGTTGCCCTGGCTGTCCCTACTTCTGGGAAGCCCAAGCGCTGAGCTGCGTCCAGGTCTCCCTCACTGCAGCCCTGCCTTCCTCACGTGGCCTCACGGCTAAGCACAGTGGCTGACACGAGGTCGAGGCGTGCCCAGGGCCGGGGGAGCAGGCGGTACCCGAGAGTCTGTCCTCCCATGGTTGGGCACGGCTGGAGAGGAGGCGAGGTGGAGCGCTTGTTCTGGCACAGCTGCGACGGCAGAGTTGGGCCCACTGCTCTTGGGCGGCAGCACGGCCGTGTTGCTGATGCGCTGTGTGGTGAGCTGCCGGCCACCAGTGCAGCCAGGACCGCAGGTGGTGTTTCCTGCGGGAGCCCGGCCACGGAGGCCGGGGAGCGCTGGGGCGTGATTCTGTCGTGCCGCTTTCAAACCGTAGAGCACAGGAAACGGGCGGAGAAGAACTCAGCAGCGCTTCTCTCAGAGGGACAGAAAACTAACAACGACTTTAAGATTCTCCTTGATTGGCTTATTTCCACAGGGAATGGATGGTTCTTACGACTGGGGAAGGCAAACGCTGTCACACAGGAGAGGTGTGGGTCGTGCACTTGTGGCTTCCCGTGCGTGTGTGAGGCTTGCTGTGCCCAACCCCAGCCCGTGTGGAGCCCACGCCCCATGCACCCTTGTCCCTGCCCGGCCTGGCCTCGTGTGGTGGCGCCTGCAGCCGCAGCAGCCTGGCTGATCACCGGCCAGGCCTGTGTTTTACCGTCTGATAGCCTCACACCCCGGTCACTCCTCTCCTGTTTGGAAATTTCTTTAACTGTTCGTTATTCTGGATGAACTTTGGGATTATTTTGTCAACATACACGTACAATGTTTTTGGCAAAAATTGGGGTTGCTTCTCATCCAGGGATGTGGAGTGGCTCTCCGTTCAGCAGGGCTTTTGTGGGTCTTGGTTGAGGTTTAGAGTAGATACTTTTGAGACCATGAACCTTCTGAGACTTCTGCCTCTACAAGTGCCATGAGGAGACCTGGTGTGTCCTGGGTGTGGGGCTGGTGGGGCTCACACCAGGGGAGCAGATCCCTCACCATCCTCCTTCCTCTCCAGGTGCCCTACGAGACGCTGAACAAACGCTTTCGCGCCGCTCAGAAGAACATTGACCGGGAGACCAGCCACGTCACCATGGTGGTGGCCGAGCTGGAGAAGACGTTGAGCGGCTGCCCCGCCGTGGACTCCGTGGTCAGCCTGCTGGACGGCGTGGTGGAGAAGCTCAGCGTCCTCAAGAGGAAGGTTGGTCCCGCCTGGCGGTCCCTCTTCAGTCTGGGGCATGGACACCCCTTTTGTCTCGAAAATGAGTCCTAAGACAGGCAAGCTGCAATGATGGGAACGCGGGAGGTGCGGTTGGGGGCCCCCTTCCCTGCTGTCTGCCTTCTGGGGCCACTGTCGGCTGAGCAGGCCAGCTTCCTGTTCCTGTAGGGACCGTGTTGTCTTGCTCCAGGAGTGTCCAGAGTCCAGGCCACAGGGAGACCAGGATGTATAGCAGGTTGATTGATTTTTTTTTTTTTTTTTTTTTTTTGAGACAGAGTCCCACTGTGTCATTCAGGCTGGAGTTCAGTGGTGCGATCTCAGCTCACTGCAGCCTCCACCTCCGGGGTTCAGGCGATTCTCCTGCCTCAGCCTCACGAGTAGCTGGGACTACAGGCGCCCACCACCACGCCCGTCTAATTTTTGTATTGTTAGTAGAGACAGGGTTTCACCATGTTAGCCAGGCTGGTCTCGAACTCCTGACCTCAGGTGATTCACCTGCCTTGGCCTCCCAAAGCTGAAATTACAGGTGTAAGCCACTGCACGCGGCCTGATCGATTATTTTTAGATGGAATTTCACCTCCAAGGAGCATGTGGAGTTCCTTGTCACTGGGATTGGTGGACAGGGGCCTTGGGACTAATCTGGCCCACTGAAGACACCCAGAAAGTGGGATGAGATATCTTGAAACGTCGCACTGAAAATACCCAATAAACCATGAAACCGAAAGGAATCGCCAGGCCAGAACCGGAGGGCAGGGGTCAGAGGTGAGCAGCAAGAGACTGCTGTTGTCCCCTGGAGTGTTGGCCAGGCCAGATGGAGGTGAGGACCGATGACCCAAGCCTTGGAAAGTGGGGCCCAGTGGAGAGAAGGTGGGACCCCACGGTACTACAGCTCAGCGTGGGGTGTACCAGAAGTGGACTGGCGTTGACACAGCATTGCAGCCTACGTTCAGAGGACTGGGATGATTGGAGACCCTCAGCCTTCACTCCGGTGAGGTGGTCCCGGCTGGTGGTGCCTTCCAGCTCCGGGCAGAGTCAATTCAGATTCTTTCTTGGGGAGGATACCTTCAATATGGGCATAAGATGATTCTTAGATTCTCAGTTTTCAAGTACAACGTCCAGCACAGAGACAGCCTGGGCAACAGTGAGACCCTGTCTCAAGACACCACGATGGACTGGAGACCCAGCAGGCAGTAGACAGAGGGCTGCACGGACTGCAGGTGCAGGGGCTGCCAGGTGCCACACCTTACTGTGCTTAAAGAACAGAAGCAGGCTGGGCGCGGTGGCTCACACCTGGAAAGCACTGTGGAAAGCTGAGGCAGCAGAATCACTTGAGCGCAGGAGTTTGAGACCAGCCTGGGCAGCACAGGGAGACCCCATCTCCACAAAACATTAAAAATAGCCAAGCGTACTGGTGCCCTCCTGTAGCCCCAGCAGATACTCAGGAGGCTGAGGCAGAAGGATTGCTTGAGCCCAGGAGGTCAAGGCTGCAGTGAGCCACGATCATGCCACTGCACTCTAGCTGGGCGACAGCGAGACCCTATCTCAAAAAAAAGTTTGAAAGTCTCTGCAGGGAACAGACAGTATAAAAAGTGATTTAAGGCTGGACACTGTGGCTCACTTTGGAAGGGCGAGGCAGGTAGATTGCTTGAGCCCAGGAGTTTGAGATCAGCCTGGGCAACATGGCAAAACCCCATCTCTACAAAAAATAGCCAGGCGTGGTGACACACACCTGTAGTCTCAGCTAATTGGGAGGCTGAGGCAGGAGAATCGCTTGAGCCCAGGAGGTCGAGGTTGTAGTGAGCAGAGATTGTGTCACTGTACTCCAGACTGGGCAACAGAGTGAGACACTGTCTTAAAAAAGTGATTGGGCAGGCACAGTGGCTCACGCCTGCAATCCCAGCACTTTGGGAGGCCAAGGCAGGCGGATCACCTGAGGTCAGGAATTCAAGACCAGCCTGGCCAACATGGCGAAACCCCGTCTCTATTAAAAATACAAAAAAATTAGCCGGGCATGGTGTACGCCTGTGGTCCCAGCTACTCGGGAGGCTGAGGCAGGAGAATCACTTGAACCCAGGAGCTGGAGGTTGCAGTGAGCTGAGATCGCACCACTGCACTTCAGCCTGCACAGAGACTCTGTCTCCAAAAAAAAAAAAAAATTCAGAATTTAAAAGGGACTAAAATTTCAAGAAATGGGAAATATAATAACCAAAAATGAAAAACTCAACATTTGCCTATAACAGTTTAACAGTTAACAGACAAAGCTAAAGACAGAATTAGTGAACTGGAGGGTGATCGAGAATGGAGCACAGAGACTGAAAAATCAAAGTGGCTGCGAGAGTAAAGCATGGAATAGAGCAGAAACCTGTGGCATGTTTCACCAGAGCCCACCAGTGGGTGGGGACAGAGATGGTGCGGGGAGAGTGACCAAGGTTTCAGAACTGATGAGTACCACCAGGTCAGAATCCGACACAGAGTAAGTGAAAATAAACCGACATGGGATTTTCCCGTGGTGGAACTGAAGAAAACAGAGACAAAGAAATATTTGAAAAGCTCCTGAGGGCAAAAGATGACTTCCAAAGGGGCAACAGACAGCCGGACAGCTGATTTCTGCACAGCAGTTGGAAGCCAAAATTGGTAGAATGTGCTGAAAGAAGCCAGCCCGGATCCTGGATCTGTCCAGTAGTCAGTCGCCGTGTGTGCTGTCAAATTTTTAGCGAAGAATTCAGTTCCTCAGTTGCACCACTGCCCTTAAGTGTGTGGCAGCCACGTGGGCTGGTGGCAGCTGTGTTGGGCAGCACAGGCCTGGAACGTTTCTATCTAGCCCGATTCATTTTTAACAAAATTGACTTTAAGAAAAAAAGTATTGCAAAAGATTTTTTTAAAGTCACCTTATAATGATAAACAGTTTAACCAGAAAGGCATAGCAAATTTGAAATTGTATGCATCTGGCAACATGGCTTCAGGGTATATTAATATAAAGCCAGAAATAGCAGAGAGAAGCTGCAGATCCAGGGTGGTGGATTTTCACTGCCTCCGTCTGCAGCTCTTGGGCCAGGCACACCTGCCTAGCGGACTCGGTAGAGCACGGTTTTTTTTCTGTCCCGTAATCCCTGCTTTTCTCCTTGTGAGTGTTGTGGATTGGGGCAGCCTGGCCTCCCTTGGTGCAGGGCTGCGGGGCATCCCTGTCCTGAACGTGCCTCTGTTGTGTGTGGCTCAGGCGGTGGAATCCATCCAGGCCGAGGACGAGAGCGCCAAGCTGTGCAAGCGCCGGATCGAGCACCTCAAAGAGCATAGCAGCGACCAGCCCGCGGCGGCCAGCGTGTGGAAGAGGAAGCGCATGGATCGCATGATGGTGGAGCACCTGCTGCGTTGCGGCTACTACAACACGGCTGTCAAGCTGGCGCGCCAGAGCGGCATCGAGGTGGGTGCCCGCCAGACGCAGGCACAGCGCCCCAGCTGGCCCCAGGCCTATGGCCAGCCGCCCTGTGGCATGTCCCCCGGCATGCCTGTGTCCCTACATGCTTGTGTTCCCCTCCCCCCACCCCCGTATGCTTGTGTTCCCCTCCCCCCACCCCCGTGTGCGTGTGTCCCCCCTCCAGTGTGTGTGTGTGTCCCCCTCCCCGTGTGCGTGTCCCCCTCCCCCCATGTGCATGTCCCCACCCCTGTGTGCGTGTGTCCCCTTCCCGTGTGTGTGCCCCCCCCCCCCCAATGTGCGTGTTTCTCCCCCACCCCGTGTGTGTGTCTGCGCTGTGGTGAGGGCCTCCTCCCCAGCTGAGAGGCCCTGACCCTTTGTGGAAACGCACCTGGGACTTAGCCTTCTGAAGGCAGGAAGTCAGTGTCTAAGCGGCTCTCCAGGTTCTTCTCATTTCCCTGTGGTGTCTGCACACATCCTGCTTAGGATTTTCCCGCCCGATACCTGTACCCCGGGTTTTGCGCTGACACATGCTCCATTGCTTCCTCGTGAGAGCTTTGCCTTTATCTCAGGCGGGGTGCGTTTTCCGTGTTTTCTGTGGCACCCTGTAGAAACACGTGGCACCCTTGCCCTCTGTGGCTACAGCTGAGCAGACGCTGGGCGGTGCTGCCCTCTGGCACCTTTGGGCCAGGTTAGCTGGGGCGGCCTCTCTGCCATCGGGCAGTTGTCCACTGCTGTGGGGGCCCATGGCAGTTGGAGCCTCCCAGACCAGCACTTGGGCCCGTCGCCCTTGCCCCTGTCCAGATCCTGCTGTGGGAGCACAGCCTCACCTGACTCGGGTTAAGGTGGCGTCCGTGTTCCATTTGACTGAGATGACAACACTTGAGAACCTCTCAGGCAGGACTTGTGCGAGAGGATTGTGCCCCATGGCCCTGTCCCGGGCCCAGCCTCCCCATGCCCAGCCATGCGCCTGGCCCCACAGGCCTCCCTCCCATGCTGCTCCCTGCCACGGCTCCTCAGCCCACCTCCTCCCTGCTTCTGTCTAACCAGGGGTCTTCTCTCTTTCCACGGCTTAAATCCCACCCACATGTGTGTGGCTCCCACCTGGGGCATCATGGGCCTCAGCCCTGGCTGAATTCAACCCCAGCACAAGGCTCCCTTCCCAGCCTTGGAGGCGGCCTCACATTGTGCAGTCCAAGGCCTCGGGTGCCCATGGGGCCACACTCACGCCCCCATGCAGCCATCTGCACGCCCTGCTGGCTTGCAGCCTCCCCCACACTCCTGTCACGCTCCTGCCCAGCTCCCCAGCCTTGCGGCACTCCAGACTCACCCCCAGGCCCACCCGGCCCCACACTCCAGACTCACCTGCAGGCCCACCACGGCCCCACACTCTAGACTCACCCCCAGGCCCACCCCGGCCCCCACACTCCAGACTCACCTGCAGGCCCACCCGGTCCCACACTCCAGACTCACCCCCAGGCCCACCCCGGCCCCCACACTCCACACTCACCTGCAGGCCCACCCGGTCCCACACTCCAGACTCACCCGCAGGCCCACCCCAGCCCCCACACTCCAGACTCACCTGCAGGCCCACCCCAGCCCCCACACTCCAGACTCACCCGCAGGCTCACCCCAGCCCCCACACTCCAGACTCACCCGCAGGCCCACCCCAGCCCCCACACTCCAGACTCACCTGCAGGCCCACCCGGCCCCACACTCCAGACTCACCCGCAGGCCCCACACTCTGGACTCATCTGCAGGCCCCACACTCCGGACTCATCTGCAGGCCCCACACTCCGGACTCACCCGCAGACCCACCTGGCCCCACCCTCTTGCTGGCTCTTGTCCTCGGCATTTGTCCCGCACCTCGTTCACCTTCTCTCAGATGCTGCCCTGGGTGGAGCGGCACCCTCCCACCCATGCCTTCTCCCCACTGCTGCACAGCCTCCCTGCTTGTGTGTGTGTGTGGTGTCCGTCCTGCCCTCCAGGAGGGGAGTGGCGAGCAGCTGCCCAGTGGGCAGGGTGAGCGAGTGAGTCCTCGTGTCCTGGAGGCCCTCATCTGCCCAGACCTGCACAGCACTGTTGCTCTCGGCACCGCTGGGGTATGGCGTCTCGGTTCACAAGCGTGAATGTGATGTGTCACAGCTGTGCCATGAGTTGATCTGCCAGATGGCAAAGTGCACTGATCCTCTGCGGTGACCGGGGCTGGTGCCCCTGGGTGCCCTGCAGTCTTGTTGAGTTTCCGAAGTCTCCAGGTCATGACTCGCAGCCACTCCAGTGTGCACCCAACATTCTCATCGCTGGACGGGGTCGTCTGTGATGCCTCTGCCGTGCTGCCCACTGGGCTGCTGTGGCCCCCATCTGGTGCCATTTTTCCTCCACCTGGGTGTCAGGGAAGGGCATTCTCACCTGCACCTGCCCAGGCTCATGTGACGGACAGTGGGCCAGCACATGTCCGCTCCGGTGCCCTGTCCCACATGCCTTTCCCACCCACCCGCCTCCCTGGCCCCGTGTGCCCGGCTTCCCCCAATGCACAGGCCCTCGCTCCGTGCTGCCCACATGTCCTGGCTGCCTGGGGCGGCCCCCCGTGTGTTCATAGATGACCTAGCCATCCTCTCCTAAACGCCCAGCACACTGTCCTTGGGACCCATGGGGTGTGACCAAGCAACCTGGCGGTGGCTGCTGAAGCATGAGCTGTGGGTGCCCCTGGCCCCAGGGAATGTGCGCTGTGTTGGGGGAGAGAGACGTGAAGTGAAAGAAGGGGGTCCTGTGGTGGGCACAGGCCACGCGTTCCACAGAAGTGCGTAGAGCAGGGTGGATATGGGAGTGCTGATGATTCTAAGGCCAGTTGGAGTAGGCCTCAGCAGGGTGAGACGGGCTACACTCAAGGTGTTGGGGTGCCCTGAGCATGTCTGTCCAAAAGAGGGCCTGGAGCTGCTGTGTGGAAGAAGGCGGGCGTGTGGAGCCCATGAGGACTGGGTTGCGGGGGAGGGGTTCTTTCTGCTGAGATGCTCCGGAGGGCGTTGAGCTGAGGAATCGCTTTTGACCACAGGTGACCATGGCACTAGGAAGCCCTGGGGAAGGTGCTGCTGTGGCCGAGGGGGAGCTGCCAGGTTGTGGAAATGTAAACCCCGGCTGCGCTGGTCAGACCTGGACTTCCTGTAGGGGGCGCCATGGAATTCCCACGTGGGACCCCAGTTTCCTACCTGTGCACCAAAATTCCTGTGCACCAAAATTGGAGACGTGACAAACTTAGGAAAATAACCTCATGCTCTGGATTGGAGCAAGGTCCCAGACAATACAGGACAGGAAGCTGCTGCCAAGGGAAGGCCACCCAGGAACAGGACAGGAAGCTGCTGCCCAGGGAAGGCCACACAGGAACAGGACAGGAAGCCTGCTGCCGAGGGAAGGCTGCCCAGGAGGGGCAGAACAGAGTCCTCAGTGTGGCTGGTGCTGTGCGCCTGCCTGTGCTGCCTTAGGCTGGACGCAGGGCTCTCAACCCGTAATCCTAGCACTCTGGGAGGCTGAGGCGAGCGGATCTGTTGAGCCCAGGAGTTTGAGACCAGCCTGGGCAGCAAAGTGAGAACCCTTCTCTACAAATTTTTTTTCAAATTAGCTGGGAGTGTTGGTGGGTGCCTGGGGTCCCAGCTACTCTGGAGGCTGCAGTGGGAGGATCACTTGAGCCCAGGAGGTGGAGGCTGCAGTGAGCCAAGATTGCACCACTGCACTCCAGCCTGGGCAACAGGACAACACCCTGTCTCAAAACAAACAAAAGTCAGCATGAGCATTTCGTGTGAGACAGAAAACCAGTTCACTTAGATGGTTTCTAGTTTCAGTTGACGTACGAGCCTGCTGCCAGCTGGCCTCACATCTTTCATGTGACTCTCACAACCGGAGACCCGGACATTGGAGAAACCCTCAGTAAGAGAGATCCAACTGGGTTCAGACCCCGAGGCTGTGTTGACGGGACATGAGGCAGGATATAGACCAGGAGCCACCTCCTGAAATTTAGAGCAAAACTACAAAACAAGGCCTTTGGGAGACCAGGGTGGGAGCATCACTTGAGCCCAGGAATTTGAGGCAACAGTGAGCCATGATCTCACCACTGTATTCCATCCAGTCTGGACAAGAGAGCGAGACCCTGTCTCAAAAAAAAAAAAATGGTTTTTCAAGTTGCAAAACAAAGTAAGACTTTGTGGGAGACCCAACATTCGCCTGCCCTGAAGGGGCTTCAGAAAAGAAATCATCAAAGCAAACATGCAAGAAAACACTATGAAGGGGCTCCAGAAAAGAATCATCAAAGCAAACATGCAAGAAAACGCTATGAAGGGGCTTCAGAAAAGAATCATCAAAGCAAACATTCAAGAAAACGCTATGAAGGGGCTTCAGAAAAGAATCATCAAAGCAAACATGCAAGAAAACGCTATGAAGGGGCTCCAGAAAAGAAATCATCAAAGCAAACATGCAAGGAAACGCTATGAAGGGGCTTCAGAAAAGAAATCATCAAAGCAAACATGCAAGAAAACGCTATGAAGGGGCTTCAGAAAAGAATCATCAAAGCAAACATGCAAGAAAACACTATGAAGGGGCTTCAGAAATCATCAGAACAAACGTGCAAGAAAACACTATGAAGGGGCTTCAGAAAAGAAATCAAAGCAAACGTGCAAGAAAACTCTATGACGGGGCTTCAGAAAAGAAATCAAAGCAAACGTGCAAGAAAATGCTATGAAGGGGCTTCAGAAAAGAAATCATCAAAGCAAACATGCAAGAAAATGCTATGAAGGGGCTTCAGAAAAGAATCATCAACATGCAGGAAAACGCTGTGAAGGGGCTTTAGAAAGAAATTATCAAAGCAAATATGCAAGAAAACGCTATGAAGGGGCTTCAGAAAAGAAATCATCAAAGCAAACATGCAAGAAAACGCTATGAAGGGGCTTCAGAAAAGAAATCATCAAAGCAAACCTGCAAGAAAATGCTATGAAGGGGCTTCAGAAAAGAAATCAAAGCAAACGTGCAAGAAAACGCTATGGAGGGGCATCAGAAAAGAAATAATCAAAGCAAACGTGCAAGAAGACACTATGAAGGGGTTTCAGAAAAGAAATCATCAACATGAACATGCAAGAAGACGCTATGAAGGGGCTTCAGAAAAGAAATCATCAAAGCGAACATGCAAGAAAACGCTATGAAGGGGCTTCAGAAAAGAAATCATCAAAGCAAACATGCAAGAGGCCGGGCACGGTGGCTCACGCCTGTAATCCCAGCACTCTGGGAGGCCAAGGTGGGCAGATCACGAGTTCAGGAGATCGAGACCATCCTGGCTAACACGGTGAAACCCTGTCTCTACTAAAAATACAAAAATTTAGCCGGGCGTGGTGGCAGGCGCCTGTAGTCCCAGCTACCCGGGAGGCCAAGGCAGGAGAATGGTGTGAACCCAGGAGGCGGAGCTTGCAGTGAGTGGAGATTGCGCCACTGCACTCCAGCCTGGGCGGCAGAGCGAGACTCCGTCTCAAAAAAACAAACAAAAGCACACATGCAAGAAAATGCTTTGAAGGGGCTTCAGAAAAGAATAATCAACATGCAAGAAAACGCTATGAAGGGGCTTCAGAAAAGAAATCATCAAAGCAAATGTGCAAGAAAACGCTATGAAGGGGCTTCAGAAAAGAAATCATCAAAGCAAACGTGCAAGAAAACGCTATGAAGGGGCTTTAAAAAAGATATCATCAAAGCAAACATGCAAGAAAACGCTATGAAGGGGTTTCAGAAACGAGAAACCGTTAAAGAAAAGATGCAAGGAAACAACACTGTGAGGGGTTTCAGAAAAGAGAAATCATCAAAGCAAACATGCAAGAAAATGCTATGAAGGGGTTTCAGAAACAAGAAATCATGAAAGAAAAGGTGCAAGAAAACAACGTTATGAGGGGTTTCAGAAAAGAGTAATCATCAAAGAAAACAGCGCATCTGTGAGGCCGGTGGTCCAGACGTGGGGCTGTGGGACCCAAGTGGTGAACTGTGGCCTCATCCTGGGCCGTTGGGTCCTGGGCTATGTGCAGGCGGAGGTGCCGTCCTTGGTCCCACTGGGGAAGGTCGGGAGTCATTGCTGCTGAGGACCACCTGAGCGCTTGCCCCAAGCCTTGCCGTGCCTGGTGGAGTCCCGTACCAGCTGCTGTCCTGCCCCTGCCAGAGACCATGGGTTCCACTGCTAGGCACTGAGCACCCACCCCCTGTGCCCGGCCACTAGCGGAGACTTGATGCTAAGCCTGGGTTACTCTGTTTTTTTTGTTGTTTTTTTTTTTTTTCTTTGCTTTCATATAAATCATTGGTTGTAACTACCGCGATATTAGCCATAATGTGTTTATGTATTATTTAGCATGTTATTATTTGCTTACTGTTGATTTTGAAATGAGGGGGCTGCCCAGGGAGGGCCTGTAGATGTGCTGGGGGGCTGTGGGGAGTGGAGACAGGGCCGCCTGGCATGTGGCCTGGCCCTGCCTGCATGTGTGTCTCAGCAGCTCCTCTCCATGGACAGGTGGGGCCAGCCTGGCTCCCTTGCCCGGCTATGGCTGCTGTCTACGTGAGCGTCCGACCTTTTGGTCCTTGGGGGCTGTTCTGTTCCTAGGATCTCAGAGCGGCCCTGAGTAGTCCACGAGTGCAGACCCACAGTGTGGACTGGAGATGCATCTCGAGTGGTGGCCGGTGCTGGGCCTGCCTCATGGAGGCTGGGGTGTGGGAGGGTGGCATGGGGGCCTTGAGCCAGCACATTCTGATCAGGTGCTGCTTCCTTCCTCTAAGGACCTAGTGAATATTGAGATGTTCCTGACGGCCAAAGAGGTGGAGGAGTCCCTGGAGAGGCGTGAGACGGCCACCTGCCTGGCCTGGTGCCATGACAACAAGTCCCGGCTCCGGAAGATGAAGGTGCACGGACTCCCAGGTTGGGGTGGGAGTGGGTCGGGGCCGAGGCTGCGCCACCTGCCCTGGAGCCAGCACCCCCTTGCCTGGTGGTTCACAGTAGTTTGGTTTTGGTTTGTAAGGTGGGGGTTGGGTTTGGGAGTTTTTTTGGTGGCTGTGTTACACTTTTAGGCTAAAATCTGGAAAAGTGCACCTCATTTGGCATTACAGTTTGTGTACAGCTGGCATGAGGCTCAGAAGGAGTGGGTTACAGGAGGCTGACCATGTGCACACAGAGTGTTGGGGCTGCTGGGCTTAGAGCCTGGAGACAGGTCAGTCCTGCTCCATGGGGGTACTCCATGGGCTCCCTGTGCTCAGTCATAGACACAGAAAAGCTGGTTGGGAAGTCATTCTCCATCTGCGAGGCTGCAGAGCTCTGGGCTGTGATATTGTTAATGAATACCCACTTTTTTTTTTTTTTTTTTTTTTTTTTTTTTGAGACGGAGTCTCGCTTTGTCGCCAGGGTGGAGTGCAGTGGCACGATCTTGGCTCACTTGCCTCCGGTGTTCAAGCGATTCTCTTGCCTTGGCCTCCTGAGTAGCTGGGATTATAGGCATGCGCCACCATGCCCGGCTAATTTTTGTATTTTTAGTAGACATGGGATTTCACCACGTTGGCCAGGATGGTCTTGATCTCCTGACCTTGTGATCCACCTGCCTCAACCTCCCAAAGTGCTGGGATTACAGGCGTGAGCCACCGTGCCCGGCCGAGTACCGACTTTTGTAGAGACCAAAAGAAGCTTAAGAAATGGACTCCTAAAGGACAAAATTTAAACCTGCTTATTAAAAGGCATTGTCACCCTAGGGGCTTGCAGAAATGTTTTAACTTATGTTAACACTTCTGCCTCCATTAGCAAAACTTTTCTGTCTTCTAAACTGAGCGCTGCTTTAACCTCACCCTGGCTGAGTTTGGCAGGGTGCACGCAGTTACCAGCCAGGAGTGACACACTGCCACTCAGGGCCGCCAAAACAAGCACGAAGCAAAGACGGGACGAAAAAGTAGAGCGGCTAGTAGCTCCCCTAAAGAGAGTTTGGACCTTGGTATGGAAACCCTAAAAGGAAAGCCAGAATTGGTATGTAACCTGCGGCCCCACTACACAGTGCCAGCCCCACACTCCCTCCCAGAGAGCCGGCACACACCTCACAGTGGGAACTCTGCCAGGGCTGTTTCCTGTGGATGTCAGAGGGAAGATAGGTTCTTGGTGCTGCCAGGATATTCCTGCAAGCCCTAATTACCTGCCGGACAGTGTTGCTGGAGGGTGTTGGAGGCTTGCCACGAGCACACGACCTGTCTGAAGCTGCTGTGGGGACAGGCAGGGCCAGGACTCGGGGCCCTGAATGCATGCCTGGGGGACGAGTGTGCCTGGTGTTGGATGAAGTTGAGATTGGATGCCTGGTGGATGAGCGTGCCTGGTGTTGGATAAGTTGAGATTGGGTGAGCATGCCTTGTGTTGGATGAGTTGAGATTGGATGAGCGTGCTTGGTGTTGGATGAAGTTGAGATTGGATGCCTGGTGGATCAGTGTGTCTGGTGTTGGATGGAGTTGAGATTGGATGCCTGGTGGATGAGTGTGCCTGGTATTGGATGAAGTTGAGATTGGATGCCTGGTGGATGAGTATGTCTGGTGTTGGATGAAGTTGAGATTGGATGCCTGGTCAATGAGTGTGCCTGGCGTTGGATGAGTTGAGATTGGATGCCTGGTGGATGAGCGTGTCTGGTGTTGGATGAGTTGAGATTGGATGCCTGGTGGATGAGTGTGTCTGGTGTTGGATGAAGTTGAGATTGGTTTGGATGAAGTTGAGATTGGATGCCTGGTGGACGAGTGTGTCTGGTGTTGGATGAAGTTGAGGTTGGATGCCTGGTGGATGAGTGTGTCTGGTGTTGGATGAAGTTGAGATTGGTGTTGGATGAAGTTGAGATTGGATGCCTGGTGGATGACCGTGCCTGGTGTTGGATAAAGTTGAGATTGGATGCTTGGTGGATGAGCGTGCCTGGTGTTGGATGAGTTGAGATTGGATGAGCGTGCCTGGTGTTGGATGAGTTGAGGTTGGATGAGTGTGCCTGGTGTTGGATGAGTTGAGATTGGATGAGCGTGCCTGGTGTTGGATGAGTTGAGATTGGATGCCTGGTGGATGAGTGTGTCTGGTGTTGGATGAAGTTGAGATTGGATGCCTGGTGGATGAGTGTGTCTGGTGTTGGATGAAGTTGAGATTGGATGCCTGGTGGATGAGTGTGTCTGGTGTTGGATAAAGTTGAGATTGGTGTTGGATGATTTGAGATTGGATGCCTGGTGGA
This sequence comes from Homo sapiens, assembly GCF_000001405.40. Lineage (NCBI taxonomy): Eukaryota > Metazoa > Chordata > Mammalia > Primates > Hominidae > Homo > Homo sapiens. Next base: position 1,324,831 of record NC_000004.12, read on the forward strand.
TGAGCGTGCCTGGTGTTGGATGAGTTGAGATTGGATGAGCGTGCCTGGTGTTGGATGAGTTGAGATTGGATGAGCGTGCCTGGTGTTGGATGAGTTGAGATTGGATGAGCGTGCCTGGTGTTGGATGAAGTCGAGACTGGACGGGGCCTGAATCCATATTTAGATGCTGTCCAGAAATGCGCCCTGAAGACTCCAAATGACACGAAAACATGCCCGGTACGAGATGCGGCCGAGCCAGTTGGGGTACACGGCTGTCTGTGCAGTCTGCTCACATGTGCACGCACGCCAGGGGGTGTGTGGGGAGGCAAGGAGGAGCCAGACTGTGCTCTAACGGGTCCCTGGGACCAGCTGTGAGAACCTAGATGGGAAAAGAAACTTGAGACCCAAGTTTGACCTGGCTGAGAGATGGATTTCACAGGCATGGGTGGGTGAGTGGCCCTGAAGGCCCCTGAAGCAGTGATTTGTTTGCTGCACGTCTGTGCGAAAGCCACACGGAGCCATCAGTGTGGGCGCCTGTCGCAGGGCGGGCACAGCCTTGTTGGCGCTCCACGCCGTATGGGACAGTGTAGACTCGGTGTTTTAGATTTGGGTCTGAATACCTAAGTTTCACGACATAGACACACTTACATATTAGTGGACCAATTGAAAGTAACCTACTAGAGCAAAAGGTGTTATTGAAAAGCAGGTTTGAGGTGTCTATTGTGTGAAGCGGTAACCTAGAGTGGGCCCAGAGTCCTGCTCTTCTAGAGCACCCCCTCGGCAGCTGCGTCCTGCCTTTAGACAGAGCCCCGGCACTCGCCTGCTCTAGACACGGCAGCCATCAGGCAGCCCCTGGGAGGCAGGTGGGGCCCTGGTGGGGAGCCTCTATCTCTTCCCGCTGGCCCTTCCCTTCCTCTCCTGCCAGGCTGGCTCTGAAGGGAGCGGAGTGCTGACCGAAGTCTGCCTGCTGATTAGTGGGGTGGGGACTCGGGACCCTGGGATGACTTTGTGCCTCTCGGCTGATTTGTACCAAGCCTGGCACTCCCCACCCAGAGCCTGTGCCACTGCTGGGGTCAGAGACAGTCCTCCTGCCCCAGCTTGGAGCAAGCCTGTGAGTTCTGCGTCCAGCCTGTTGACCCGTCTGTCTAGGGACACAGGGTGATGAGGGGCTGAGGGTACAGGGCAGAGGCAGCAGGGCAGGGACCTGAGCCCCTCTGAGCCCCTGGAAGGCAGGTGGCCCCCGGGGGTCTGGGCAGCCCAGTCCTCCCCACACCCACGCGGAGCCACTGCTGTGGGTGCTATGCGTGTCGGGGCAGCAAGGCTGGCAGGCGGGGTGGGCTGGAGCACAGGTGGCTCCTCAGAAAGCTCAGTGGGGAAAGCTCTGGGAAGCGGAAGTGATGAGCTTCAACTTAAATGCAGTGGTCCGGGGTGGATTCATCTGCCACGTGGAGTTTCTGTTCATGCCGTCCTGAGAGCCAGGCCATGTGAACCCAGAGTGACACGCGGCCCCAGCCCAAGACTCGCTCCGTGGTGCCCACGCCTATATCCTGTTTCCGGGGTGAAGCCCTGAGAATGTCCTGAAACCACACGGAAGATCTTACGGTTTAGACGGACATGTCACTTCCGTAGAATCCGCGTCTCATCTTGGATGACTGCGGTCAATGTTGCCGCTGCCCCCACCCCAGCCACAAGTCTCGGCCCACGTTGGACTGAGGTTGCTGAGATTTCAGATTGAGGGTTGGGCTTCCCTTAGGTGCACGTGAGAGGCTCATAGGCAGACACATGTGGGACTTGGTCCTGCAGGAGCTTCCCCCACCCCCGCCCCTGCCTCAGGCATAGTGCCTTCAGCCAGCAGCCCCAACTCGGCCTCTCTCCGTCTTCTACACATCCTGGAAGCGCCCTCCCTTCACGCGAGCCGCCCCTTGGCCTCACAGCCACCTAGGACCTCAGTGTCCCCTGGGCCAGGCCTCCATTCCATGTGCCACCCGCCTGGGGCCTCGGCACCGGCCCCGGCTTCTGCCCGCCATGTTCTCGCCAGGTGTCTGTGCGGTCCCCCGTCCATAACCTCGGTGCAGGCGCTCCCCGCCCTACCGACCTGGGTCCTGCCTGCTGCAAGCTTGCTTCTCTGCCTCATGCCCCTGTGAGGCACCAGCCAGCAACCCCACATGTGGTCCCTGTCTCCTCCCCGCCCTGCCGACCTGGGTCCTGCCTGCTCCAAGCTTGCTTCTCTGCCTCATGCCCCTGTGAGGCACCAGCCAGCAGCCCCACATGTGGTCCCTGTCTCCTCCCCACCCGGGGCATCAGCGCCTCGGGACAGGACTTGCCCACGTTCTCCCAGAACAGCCCCGGGTTCAAGCCAGCACCCAGTCTACATTCGGGATAGTTGGGTCCAGAGGCCCGGTGGGAGTGTAGAGGAAGCAGTGGCCTCAGGGCGGGACCCAGGAAGCTGCTTTGTCCTTGCAGAGGGGTTGGTGCCTTTGCTCCAGCAGCTGCACCTGCTGCTCTGCCCTCCCAGCTGTGCTCCTGGAAGCGCCCTGAGCGCCCTGGCCTTCGGGTTGAAATGCTGGGCGGCTGCACGCCCCACCGCAGCTGCAGGAGCAGGGGGCGGGACTCACATTCAGAACCCAGTGTTCCCTGGAAAGTCTGCTGCAGGTTAAAGTGGCAGCTTCAGCCTCAGCCCTGCCTTCCCCGTGCCTGTGAGAGAGGGGTTCAGAGCTTTGGTTGTGGGGTCTGCTGGTGGACATGCGGGTGCGGCACCCGGGCACCTGGGCTCTGTGGGATGTGCTGTCTAAGCCCTCGTCTTGTCTTTGCCCTCAGAGCTGCCTGGAGTTCAGCCTCAGAATCCAGGAGTTCATTGAACTCATCCGGCAGAATAAGAGACTGGACGCTGTGAGGTAGGCATTGCGGACGTGCGTCTCCTCGAGGGAGGGCAGGATGTTCGGCTGCGGCCCCTGCCAGCCCTCCCTGTCGTGGTCTGGGTCCTGGGACGTCCCCTGGGTCGTCCCCTGGGTCTTGAGTCTGACCCCTGCCTGCTCAGGTGGCTGCTTCTCCCACTGTTCCTGAATGGGACTTGGGGAGTGAGGCCTGGAGCCTGGCAGGGCCCCCGCCAAGGTGTGGCCCCAGGTGGGCATCCAGACCCCCGTGGCTGCCAGGGGAACCAGCTTTGAGGTCCCGACCGTCCACGTAAAACACGTGGATCAGGCTCCCGGCACCCCCTTTCCACATTGGAAAGTGCCGCCAGCCTCAGTAGATGGGAGTGTCTCTGACGTGTGGTCCTCAGGTAGCTCCAAGCGTCCTGAGCTTGGGAATGTCCCTCACAGTCATCGGGGAATGTTGACAGCGTGTGATGAGGGCACTTCTGGGTTCTCCGGCCTGTCTCCGACCCAAGGGCGGCGTGCAGTGAGCTGAGGCCAGCGGCGCCCTGGTGGTCAGGCCTGAGAAGGGGATGCTGGCTGTCACTGTGGCTCAGCCCAGTTGGGGTGCACGGCGTCTGCAAAGGAAGAGAGGCTGTCCGCTGGCTTCCCGCTGGCTCCCCAGAGTGGGCATCGTCAGGCAGCAGTGGTCCCTGGCCTGGGCAGTGTCGGCCAGTTCATGCTCACCCCGTCTCGGGGCAGGGCTGCTCCTTGAGTGCTAGGTCGTCTCACTCACTTTCATGGAGGTTCCTGAGCGGCCAAGCCTTGCGGTGACGCTTGAGTTGCTGTGTGGGGTGTGTGGGCCTGGCTGGCCCTCAGCTCCCGGGCGAGTGCCCAGCAGGTGTGTTTGCCAGGAGGGGGCACCTGTCCATGCCCACAGAAACCCGACCGCGACTCCATATCCACCTGCAGTGGGCCGGGTGGCCGAGTGTTCCACAGAAGGCCCATTTGGAGAAGTGGGCGTCTCACGATGAGGTGCTGAGGGTGGTCCCCAAGACGCACGGCAGAACCGCGGCAAGTCCCTGCCCTTGCGTGGACCCTGGAGAGGCCCGGGGTCCTGCTCCGGCTCCTGATGCTGACCTGGGCGCATGGTGGCAGGTCAGGCCTCGTCTTCACGCACGAGGGAGCCAGGCCTGCAACGAGGTCCCTTCTGTGCCTGAGAGGGCTAAAGCGGGGATCTCGGGACCCGGGCCAGTGGAGAGTGGCGTGTGAGCATTGCGGGGACACGGCCAGGGGCCCCCTGTCAAGAGGAGGGGCTCCCGCTCTGCTCTGGCCTCCGTGTGGCCTCGGTGCCTGTGTCGCTGGCCTCTGTCCGGCGGCAGTCTGCTTCCATCCCGAGTCAGCCTCCGTCTCCTTGAGGGCCCCGGCCACTGTCAGCCCTGGAGTCTGAAAACAAAACGTGTCCATCCCGGAGTCCCTCCGTCACAGATGTCTTCATCTAGGTGGCAGCTGGTTCCGCATAGGGTCTGTTGACCTGTTACCCCCACTCCGCATAGGGTCTATTTGCCTGTGTTACCCTGGCTCCGTGTAGGGTCTGTTTACCTGTGTTCCCCCCGCTCCGCGTAGGGTCTCTTTGCCTGTGTTCCCCCCGCTCCGTGTAGGGTCTCTTTGCCTTGTTCCCCCTGCTCTGGGTAGAATCTGCCCTAGAGACTCGCGGGGCCTCCACCTCATAATGTCTGAGCCGAGCTCAGAGCTGTGCCCTCTGCGGCCTCGTCTGTTGCAGGGGAGCAGGCAGGTCCCAGGAAGTGCGTGTCCTTCCTCCCGCAAGCAGACACGTGCTGCCTCGAAGCCTCAGCAGCCAGCCGGGCAGGCATGGCAAACAACACCCCAGTGTCTCGGGGGCAGGCGCAGTGTGAGCTACATCCTCTGCTGGGGCCGTCTTGGGAGTGGTTCTCCAGGTGCCAGGGCCTGGTCAGGGAAGTCCGGCCTCAGCTCAGCGTGGCCCTGGAGCCACCCACAAGGCACACGGGAGCTGGGCTGGGGTGGCAGGTGGGGCATCGGCAGGACGTTTGTGGGGTGAGGGAGTGCGGGTGTTTGGCTGGGAGCCCAGAGGGTGTTGTGTATCACTCACTGAGGCTGGACAAGAGGGAAGGCGGAGAAGCCTGGCCACATGTCTCCTGAGGGCTCCAGGCAGGGCCCTCTCACCTGCTGCCAGGGTCCCAGCCCGCAGGAGCTTCCCGTCCACCTCTGAACTCACGGTCCACATGGCGCTGGAGCGTCGGGCACCATCTACAGGGCTTGAGGCCAGCAGCCTAGCCTCTGGGTCCACTGGGGCAGGCAAGGTGAGTCCTGCTGTCTGTGGAGCCAGCGTGCTGGGCCGGGCAGGGGGCCTCGTTGGCTGGGGTGGCTGCAGCTCCGCCCTGCCTGGGGCATTTGTGGGTTTTTGCGAAATGCAAAAGTATGAGCTGCTAGTGATTAACTTTTAACGCCTTTAATTTTTAGTAAATGAGTAAGTGAATCCCTGACCCCAGGCGGCTGGGACCTGGCCTGTACTTCATGGGCTTTGTGTGAGCAGCTCCGTGCCGTCTGTCGCACACCCACACCTCAGCCTGGCCAGGCACAGTTTAGGAATTTTGTCTTCTGGGTGTTTCTCTCTCTCTCTCTTTCCGTGTGTGTGTGTGTGTGTTTTGAGGTTGAGTTTTGCTCTGTTGCCTGGCACAATCTCAGCTCACCGCAACCTCCGCCTCCCGGGTTCAAGTGATTGTCCTGCCTCAGCCTCTGAGTAGCTGGGATTACAGGCGCCCACCACCACGCCCGGCTAATTTTTGTATTTTTAGTAGAGATGGGGTTTCACCATGTTGGCCAGGCTGGTCTCAAACTCCTGACCTTGTGATCCGCCCACCTTGGCCTCCCAAAGTGCTGGGATTACAGGCGTGAGCCACCGTGCCTGGCCCGTGTGTTTATATTTTTAAAGAAAAATGGAAGTTTTTGTGTTTCTTATGTTAGCTGCATTTAGTTTGTTAAAAGTCACGGTTTTGTTTCCCCTGTGTCCTGTGGATGCATACCGTGCTGTTCTCCCCGGACCTGCTCTGAGGGCCCCACATCTCGGCTGCAGTTCTCTGTGTGTTGGGGCTGAATGCTGGCATCAAACGATCTGAAAAGAGTCAGCCGCCACTGTTAGGTTTTCTGTTTCTGTCTTGGGGTCAGGATTTGTGGATCAGGGACCTGGGGTGCGAGGTGAGGCAGCTTGTTAGGCGGATGATGTCTGTCTGGGGTTTGATTGATGGTGAGATAAGACGCGTAAACCAGGTCATGCAAATGAGATCTTGTAGATGTCAACCACGGAGATTAAATTTCCTCTCTTCAGCAGCTCTGGGAGGAGGTGAGATGCCCGTTGGCCGTGTTCTGTGCACGTCTTGGCGTGTGACGAAGGGTGACTTGTCTCCAGAGATGGAATGAGGGGGTTGGGTGGGGCTCCTCCTGGACTCAGACCCACGCCCACCCACACGCTCCAAGGAGGGGGATGCATGGGCACTGGAATCTCGGATGGCCGTCCCCAGCCCCTGCACACGCACCCTGCGGGGTCAGCCGTGTGGACTCACCCCCGACTCCCAGTCCCTGTATGCACCCTGCGGGGTCGGCCGTGTGGATTCACCCCCGACTCCCAGGCCCTGCACAGGCCCTGGGGCGTCAGCCATGTGGACTCCCCAGGCTGGGTCCCAAGCGTGGACGCCCCCCACTCCCTGCTGCCCCGGGCTCTCCTGGTGGTGCTTCCAACACGTGGTCCCCGTGCTATCCATCAAGGGGCTGCTGGGCCACCTCCTACACTAACTCCAGTCTCTGCGAGACACTGCATCTTCTCCAAGGCCACCGTGAGCGCCTGGCACCTCCTCAGCCCTGTGTTCCTTGGTACATGCCTTGTTCTGGACAGCACAGGGCTGACTCACACATGGGACTTGAGGCCCCTGGTTCTGTGCATTGGGGTCGCTTTGGCAGAGGGGCCCTGAGGGCTGAGAACGTGGGGTGCACAGGGGCCCGTGTGAGGGTCAGGACATGGGGGTGCAGGCCCTCAGGACAGCCAGAGGGACAGTGACCCTGTGTGTGGGGGGGGGCATGAGAATGGGGGCCCTGGGGGTGAGCAGGTGCCCGCTGGTCAGCTTGAAAGGGATCTGTTATGTTCTGCTTTGGTTTCTTGGTTGCCCAGCCTTAGACTGGAGTGGGGTTCTGGCCTGGAGTAGGCCTGTGTGCATCCCGCAGAGTTGGCTCAGGAAAGATCGTGGCTGCATGTGGTGTGTGGCACGCTCAGGGCTGAGAGGGCTGGGCCGGATCTGCAGGGAGTCCAGCCTGTGGGCTGAGGGAGGCTGTTCTTCGGAAGGTTGTGCTGGGCGTCACTGCCAAACAGCAAGGACTGCAGTTGAGAAGACTACACGTTCTTGGTCCGCTGGGGCCACGGGGTCCGTGGGGGCGAGCATCTGGGGAGAGTGGGAATCCTCAGGGTTTGGGTTCCTTGTAAACCAGAATCGCTTTGGAGAGCCCTCGGGGGCAGGTGCCATTTGCAGTTCTGGTGTTTTCCGTGGGTTGTCTGTGTGGCTTGGGTGCCCTGGTCCCCTGGAGGAAGGAGTGTCTGGTAGCTGCTCCTCCAGCCTCTGGTGAGCCGCACCTCCCGCCATCCCAGCCCCACCCAGCAGGTCGGCTTGGAGTGAGGCGATTACTTTGTACCTAGACTCTGACATAAAAGCTGTTAGCTCAGATTTTTCAACTTAAAAATGCAGGCCGGGTGCAGCGGCTCATGCCTATAATCCCAGCACTTTGGGAGGCCGGGGCAGGAAGATGGCTTGAGCCCAGGAGTTGGAGACCAGCCTGGGCAACACAGCGAGAATCTGTCTCTAACAAGATGTTTTTTACATTAGCTAGGTGTGGTGCTGCACATCTGCGGTCTCAGCTTCTCGGGAAGATCGCCTGAGCCTGAGAGTTCGAGGCTACAGTGAGCTGTGACTGTGCCACTGCACTGCAGCCTGGGTGACAGAGTGAAACCCTGTCTCTAAAAGTTAAAATTAAAACGCAAACTTAAATGTGCCAAAATGTTGTTTTTTAGACATGCAAGAAAGCACTTCAGCCAAGCAGAAGGGAGCCAGCTGGACGAGGTGCGCCAGGCCATGGGCATGCTGGCCTTCCCGCCCGACACGCACATCTCCCCGTACAAGGTAGGGCGTGCGTCCCTGGGGTCGGTGTCATGCTGGGGTGGGGATCCAGGGTGTGTCTCTGGTCTGTAGCTGCTTCCACACGTGGGGCGGGACGTGAGGGCCCCATCCCAGCCACACAGCCTGTCCAGCCTGCCAAGACAAGCTTTTCTTGTTTGACTCCCATTTTGCTCATAAGAAATTTGAATCAGGGCTGTGTGTGGTGGCTCACCCCTGGAATCCCAGCACTTTGGGAGGCTGAGGTGGGAGGACTGCTTGAGCCCAGGGGTTTGAGAACAGCCTGGGGAACATAGTGAGACCCCACCTCTACAAAAAAAATTTTTTTGAAAATTAGCTGGGCATAGTAGCACCTGCCTATAGTCCAGCTACCCAGGAGGCTGAGGTGGGAGGATCACTTGAGCCCATAAGGTTGAGGCTGCAGTGAGCCAAGATTGTGCCACTGCACTCCAGCTGGGGTGACAGAGCAGGACCTTGTCTCCAAAAAAAAAAAAAGCAGTTGAGAAAGGTTCAGGAAGCCTTTCAGCCTGGAGCGTTCAGCCGGGGCCCAGCTTCCTTGCCTGTCCCCCTGGTTCTCCTTTCTCTACAGCCCCTGAGTCAGGAGTTAGGCTGCACCGTCTTCCGTGGTTCTTTCTCTTGCTGACGCTTTGTATTTTATCTGTAAATATTGGAGCCTCCGACTCTCCGCGGTCACTGGGGTAGGGTTGGGGGTTCTGCCATCACTAACCAGGCACCCTGTGCTCAGACCTGGCCCCAACCCAGCAGCTGGCTGCTCCTGGGTGAGTGGCTCCACTCTGCACCCGTGCCCACCCCTGCACCCACCCCATGCCCACCGTGTGCTCACCCCCTTGCCCACCCCCATGCCCGTGCTCACCTCTGCACCCACCCCATGCCCACCCCCATGCCCACCTGTGCTCACCCCCATGCCCACTCCCGTGCCCATGTGCCCACCCCTGCACCCACCCCATGCCCACCGTGTGCTCACCCCCCTGCCCACCCCCATGCCCGTGCTCACCTCTGCACCCACCCCATGCCCACCCCCATGCCCACCTGTGCTCACCCCCATGCCCACTCCCGTGCCCATGTGCCCACCCCTGCACCCACCCCCATGCCCGTGTGCTCACCCCTGCACCCATCCCATGCCTACCGTGCTCACCCCCATGCCCACCCCATGCCCACCATGTGCTCACCCCTGCACCCACCCCCATGCCCGTGTGCTCACCCCTGCACCCATCCCATGCCTACCGTGCTCACCCCCATGCCCACCCCATGCCCACCATGTGCTCACCCCTGCATCCACCCCCATGCCCACCCCTGTGCTCATCACACTGGGAACAGTTTCAGTTCCTGGAAAAGGGGGAAGCAGATAAAACCTCCTGGAGTTGACAGTTTGTTCTCTGAGCCTGGCACCAGTCTCTGTCAGAGGCCGGGGTGTTTCCCGGCAGCCCCCACCTGCCACCCTGTAGGGACTGCAAAGCCCTGGGCAGTCCCAGACCTGCTGCCTTCTGAAAGCTGCTGGAAGCTCAGCCTGAATTCTCCTGGTTCTCAGGCGTTTGGGGCATCTCATAATAAATCATCATTAGGTCACGAGGATCTTCAGGGGTGGGGTCTGAGCTTCCCAGACTGTGAGTTGGCACCTTGTTTCTCTCGCTTGCTCTGGAGAGGATTTTGTTAGAAATGCAGGAAAGGCTGACCCATACAGGGGGCTGAGACTTCGGGCCTAGGCCGGGTGGAGCATGCACCTCTCACCGGACGCAGCCCTGCAGTGTGGTAAAGAGGGAGGCAGGCAGTGCCAGCCCCAAGGCTCATCTGTTGCCAGATTCAGGGGGCACAACCGTGTCTCGTGGCAGGAAAATGGGCCCCGTTGCCATGGGTCAGGCAAGAAACAGAAGGAAGCATTTTGTTCAGAGAATGGCAGAAGCCACCAGAAGCCCAGAGGCAACCAGTCCTGGGGAGTGAGGATGCCAGGAGCTGTTCTTCTCAGTGAGGACCTTCTGGACTGTGGGCTTCCTCCCTTGTAGACTTTGATTTTTAGACAAAAATGAGATTTAAAACAGCCTTTAAAAATGTTGGAGTTAAGTGTGGTGTTTACCCTAAACTGAGACTGAGAAGCTTACAGAGACTGATGGGTGACGTCCCCTGATGACCACCTCCCCTCCCTCCAGGTGTGGCCGTCTCCCCCCAAGCTAGAGACTGAGCGGCCTTTCTGGGTTGATGTGAAGGTTTTTCTCTCCTGTGCTCACACACGCTCTCTCTCTTAAGTCTAAACCTGAGGTTATTTAGGGACAGACATTCATCAGGTTTAATTTTCTGTTCTGTGATGCTTTAACCTAACATGGACCGGTTGTTTTCCATTTCATACATGATTTCTCTGAAGTAAGAGTTTTTACACCTAATGCTCTGAGGTGCACTCTGCACTGAGCTGTCCTTCCAGCTGTGTGAGTCTATTTTTTGTCACAGTGCACAGGTTGCACACATTCCAGATCATTCAAGTTGATTCACAAGTGAGTGTAGCAGAGTTAAGTCAGCACCAGCCCTGTGGCATGTTGAAATCAGAGTTAAGTCAGCACTGGCCCCACAGTGTGTTGAAATCAGAGTTAAGTCAGCACTGGCCCCACAGTGTGTTGAAATCACAGAGTTAAGTCAGCACTGGCCCCATGGCGTGTTGAAACCACAGAGTTAAGTCAGCACTGGCCCCACAGTGTGTTGAAATCACAGAGTTAAGTCAGCACTGGCCCCATGGCGTGTTGAAACCACAGAGTTAAGTCAGCTCTGGCCCCCACAGTGTGTTGAAATCACAGAGTTAAGTCAGCACTGGCCCCATGGCGTGTTGAAACCACAGAGTTAAGTCAGCACTGGCCCCACAGTGTGTTGAAATCACAGAGTTAAGTCAACACCTGCCCTGCAGTGTGTTGAAATCACAGAGTTAAGTCAGCACCTGCCCTGCAGTGTGTTGAAATCACAGAGTTAAGTCAGCACCTGCCCTGCAGTGTGTTGAAATCAGAGTTAAGTCAGCACCTGCCCTGCAGTGTGTTGAAATCACAGAGTTAAGTCAGCACCTGCCCTGCAGTGTGTTGAAATCACAGAGTTAAGTCAGCACCTGCCCTGCAGTGTGTTGAAATCAGAGTTAAGTCAGCACCTGCCCTGCAGTGTGTTGAAATCACAGAGTTAAGTCAGCACCTGCCCTGCAGTGTGTTGAAATCACAGAGTTAAGTCAGCACCTGCCCTGCAGTGTGTTGAAATCAGAGTTAAGTCAGCACTCATCCCGCAGCATGTTGAAATCAGGGAGTTAGATCAGCACTGGCCTTGCAGCATGTTGAAATCAGAGAGTTCCAGCACTCGTCCCGCAGAGTGTTGAAATCAGAGTTAAGTCAGCCCTTGTCCTGCAGGTGTTGAAATCAGAGCGTTAAGTCAGCACTGGCCTCACAGCGTGTTGAAATCAGAGACTTAAGTCAGAACTGGCCCCACAGTATTTTGAAATCAGAGAAGTCAGCACTCCCCCGACAGTGTGTTGAAATCAGAGTTAAGTCAGCACTCACCCCACAGCATGTTGAAATCGGAGTTAAGTCAGCACTCACCCCACAGCATGTTAAAATCAGAGTTAAGTCAGCACTCATCCCACAGTGTGTTGAAATCAGAGTTAAGTCAGCACTTGTCCCGCAGCATGTTGAAATCAGAGTTAAGTTCATACTGGCCTCGCAGTGTGTTGAAATCAGAGAGTTAAGTCAGCACTGACCCTGTAGCATGTTGAAATCAGAGTTAAGTCAGCACTCATCCCGCAGCATGTTGAAATCATAGTTAAGTCAGCACTCATCCCACTGTGTGTATCAGTCAACACTTGAGGGAGTTATGCTTTGTGCTGACCCTTAGTGCAAAGTGTGTGGGTCACTGGGGGATGGCTGTGGGCCGATGGCACCTGCTTCACCATGGTCCACGTTTTTAAGCTGTCCCAGGAGCTTCCCTGGGAGCATCCCCAGGACCCTCTGCTCTCTGTCTTCCAGGACCTTCTGGACCCTGCACGGTGGCGGATGCTGATCCAGCAGTTCCGGTACGACAACTACCGACTACACCAGCTGGGAAACAATTCTGTGTTCACCCTCACCCTGCAGGCTGGCCTCTCAGCCATCAAGACACCGTATCCTACCTCCCGTGCGCAGTGCGGTTTGGCCTGGGGTTGGCATCTTTGGTCATATTTTAACACGCTGACCCTGCACCTTGCCACTCTTGTCCTCCCACCACAGACAGCCCCGAGCTCCCGTGTGCTGCACTTGCGTGGTGTCTGGATGGTCGGGGTGGGGCCGTGTTGAGGGGCCTCGGATGCGTCGTGCAGCCTTCACTCTGGGAAGTGGCGCGCTTCCTCTCTCATCATCTCAGAGGCCGCCATGGGCATTGATCTAAAAGCCCGATTTTGATGTGTTCTGGCAGCCGGCAGATTACCATTCAGAATAGTTTTCCCGTGTGATTACCAAGAACCTTGCCTGTGACTGACTCTGTCCCGCCTGTGACTGACTCTGTCCCACCTGTGACCGACTCTGTCTGCCTGTGACTCTGTCCCTGCCTGTGACTGACTCCATCCTGCCTGTGACTCTGTCCCACCTGCGACTCACTGAGTTCCTGCCTGTGACTCACTCGGCTCCCGCCTGCAACGGACTTGGTCCCTGCCTGCGACTCACTGTGGCCCTGCCTGTGACTGAGTCTGTCCCGTTTGTGACTGATTCCTTCCTGTGACTGACTCTGTCCCACCTGCAACTGACTTCTTCCTGCCTGTGACAGACTCTGCCCCTGCCTGCGACTGAGTCTGTCCCTTCCTGCAACTGAGTCCATCCCGCCTGTGACTCTGTCCTCGCCTGTGACTGACTCTGCCCCTGCCCTGTGACTGTCTCACCTGTGACTGACTCCGTCCTGCCTGTGACTCAGCCTCTTACTGACTCTACCCCTGCCTGTGACTGACTCTGCCCTCTCCTGTGACTGACTCTGTCCCCACCTGTGACTGACTCTGTCCCCACCTGTGACTGACTGTCCTCCTGCAACTGACTCTGTCCCCGCCTATGAATGTCTTTCATGTGACCTGCCTCAGGCCCAGAGGGCAGTGAGTGTTTCGCGATTGCTGCTGGTACCTGGCTGTGCCGGGGTATGAATGAGACTCAGGCCCCCTCCCTTGTCCCCTCTTTGTGGAACTCTGGGCGAGAGGGCTGGCGTGCTTGCCCACTGCCTGTTCCTAGGTGCCAGCAGAACGTCCCTGCTGGGTGGCTCTTGTCCTGCCTGGAGAGGTTGCGTGGCCGGGGAGAGGGCGGCGGGCGACGGAGCCACTCTGTGCCTGTGGTCCTGGTGCTGGAGGCCGGGGTGAGAAGGCGCAGGCTTCTTGTCTCCACCGAGGCCTCAGTGGGGCTGTTTAGCTGTCGAGTGCAGCACTTCCTGTGCCTCGAAAGACAGCCCCGTGTAGTCAGCATGGCGCCCACATAGCCAGAAGGGCACGCAGCCCAGGGCAGAGTGGCCACAGGGGGCTGGGCTCACCCCGGCTGCCCTGAGTGGCCCCCAACCCTTCCTTGACCCGATGCTCAGACAGTGCTACAAGGAGGACGGCAGCTCCAAGAGCCCTGACTGCCCTGTGTGCAGCCGCTCCCTGAACAAGCTGGCGCAGCCCCTGCCCATGGCCCACTGTGCCAACTCCCGCCTGGTCTGCAAGATTTCTGGCGACGTGATGAACGAGAACAATCCGCCCATGATGCTGCCCAACGGCTACGTCTACGGCTACAATGTGAGGGGGGCAGGGCAGGGGGGCCAGGCTGGCACGCATCGCCATCGGGACAGGGCTGTGTGGGACGGGCAGGGCAGGGGGGCCAGGCTGGCACGCATCGCCATCGGGACAGGGCTGTGTGGGACGGGCAGGGCGGGGGGCCAGGCTGGCACGCGTCGCCATCGGGACAGGGCTGTGTGGGGCGGGCAGGGCAGCGGGGCCAGGCTGGCACACGTCGCCATTGGGACAGGGCTGTCCTCTCGCCCCACCCTGCCTTAGCTTCGTTCGAAATGGATGAAGGGGTGGGAAGGACAGGCGAGGTGGCCCCGGGATTTCTTTGGCAGGTGTGCCTTCGGGAAGGAACTTTGCCTGAGAGGATGAGTCATTCCCTGGTGGTTCATTGTGGGGATTTTCCATGGAAATCCGTGTGTACGTTGTAGTCGCTTGCCTTAATGCATTCCCGGTTTTATTTTTCAGTCTCTGCTTTCTATCCGTCAAGATGATAAAGTCGTGTGCCCGAGAACCAAAGAAGTCTTCCACTTCTCACAAGCCGAGAAGGTGTACATCATGTAGGCCCCACGTCGTGAAGCGCACGCCTCGGGGACGGGCTGCAGTGGGCGGGGAGGCCACGCCTTCCTCCTGTCCCACGCTCCAGCCTGCCGCGGCGTTTCTGTTTCTTGCGACCAAAGATCCGTGAGCAACGATAAATACTCTTAGGAAGAGAGAAAATAAGGTTTCATAAGTTTGTACTTGAAAACATTTGGATTGGTAGGATTTTGTAACACGTCAACCATTTGATGCTTCTGAAAAGTACTTTCAACTTGCGAAGGAAACTCTTCTTTAAAGACTGACCTAAACACCGAGGGAAACTTAAGAACGTTTAAAATATAGGAGTCCGTGATTTCCCTGTGTTTTCAGTTTCTTTCCTTCTGTGAACGATGAGACTTGGAGAACGGGCTGGTCCTTCACCACTTCCTGTTGGCCCTGGCCTGGCCGGGGAAGGTGGCAGCGGCACCGGACTGACCTGCAGTGACCCGCGATGCCGCGCCACGAGGGACACTTATGGCTTCATTCGAGAGCTGCTGCCAAAACGCCTGGCGCCGCCACCGTCGGGGGCTGGCTTCGAGGACGCCCGCCTGCCTCGCGGGTCGTGTCCGCGGGACTGTGTTCGTACGTGCATAGTTTCGATATCACATCGCGGGGCTGTGTTCGTAGCTGCGTCGTTTCGATATCACACCCTCTGTGTGCCGCCTTACTTCCTGCTTCGAGAATGTATAACGTGGAAATCCACGGGACCAAATTTCTGCAGAGGCCTTGCCGGATGGTTCCATAACTGTAGAGTCTAATTGCTATCCATTACAGAAATTAATCGTTCAGTTGAAAGAAGTACTGATGACTTTTCAAAACAAATGAACCACCGTAGCTGACAGAGAACCGTATCGTAGAGGTTTGTAGTTAGTGCTTATTTTTGCATGTTGATGTTGACTAGCTAATAAACTGTAAATGTAAACCATGCGAATAAAATGGTTTTCTATTTCTCATTTCCGTGTGAGCCGAGGCTGCCGTGCGTTTCTAACACCGAGGTTGTGTTCTGCTCCTCCCCGGGGCCCGGGCAGCATGGCGGGCATATGCGTAGCTTCTGGCACCACGGCCACCGGGAGTTGAGAAGCCGGCTGGAGGCCACTCCTGCCCGGACCGCAGTCCTCCTCTCGGGCGCTGCCCTGAGGCGTGATGGCCCCAGCGTCTTGAGGCCCCGGCTTGCAGCTGGGTGAATCAGACACTGGTTCCTGGGACCCACGGGCCATTGTCTGTTGGGGGTGGGGGCTCAGGCTGCAGCCACCAGCAAGCCTGGGCCTGCGGCTTGGGCTGAGTCTAGGGTTGGGCTAAGGAGGCCTGCGGGCTGTGGCCACTGGCCCTTCCCCCCACCGCCCACCCCTGTTCTCTCCAGTGCCCCGTCGCAGCTCCTGTGGCCAGCCTGGTGCCCCTTAGCCCATCTCTTACCCCATGGTGGCTGCCCTGGCCCCTCCACAGCACCCAGCTGGAACCCACCACATTCCCACGTGCTCTTCTTTGGAGCGCCCGTCCCCAGGTCCCCTCGGCCGAAGCAGACCCTGTGGCCCCACTGCCACGCAGCCGCCCCGGCCTCCACCGTCCTCACGTGCAGGGGCTTTCCTTGTCTTGCGTCCTGTTCTTTCCTTTTTAACTCGAGTAGAACATACTGGAGCACACACATTCTAAGTTCACATAACGAATTTCTGTGTAACATGCATGTAACCACCAAACAGACTGTTCCCAGCCCCTGGCCTTGCCCGGTCAATATCCTGGTCAGTCATCATTGGAGTGGCGCACCCCGGCCCTGAGCTCCTCGAACACAGAGCCACATGGCGTGGGTCCGTGGCTCAGCGTTACTCGGCGGCTCAGCCCTGGCACGGCAAAGTCTTGCCTGGTTACAGGCCTGTGCTCTCCAGGCAGAACAAGCGCAGCGGCCTGGCCCCTCTCCCGCCGGTGGACATCAGGCGGTGTCCAGGTAAAGCTGCTGTGAGCACTCCGGGAGGTGACCCTTGCTGGACGCATCATTCTTTTGTGGGGAGATGCCGAGGAGTTGCCATTGCTGGGCCACGTGTCCACTCAGCAGACACTGACGGTTTGTTAAAGGGGTTGCACCCACTTCTGCCCATCTGCTCCACATCCACACCAGCGAGTGGCACTGGGAGTCTTGAATGTGAGATGTTTTGTTGGTTGTGTTATCTCGCTGTACTCTTTCTCAATTGAGGTAAAAATTACATACACCAAAATGCACATACAAGTAAAAGCTACTCAATGAGTCTTAATAAATGTACCTCCATGTGACCACCACTGAAGCCCAGGCATGGAACGTCCCCATGGCCCCAGAAAGGGACCCCTTGTACCTTCTGAGTTATCCACAACCCCTACACAAAATCATTGCTCTAATTTTTGTCACCGTAGGTGAGCTGTGCCTCCATAGGTGTCAGATGGTGGAATGTGGACACTGGTGGATCTGGCTTGTTTCCACAGACGCTTGTGAGGTTCATGCCTGTTGCACATGTCAGCAGTTCCGTCCTTAGGTGTTGCTGAGTGGAGTGATAGTAATCCATGTATGCACAGACCACAGTGTACACCAGGCTGGAGTGCAGTGGCGCAATCTTGGCTCACAGCAATCTCTGCCTCTCGGGTTCAAGCGATTCTCCTGCCTCAGCCTCCCGAGTAGCTGGGATTACAAGTGCACACCACCACACCCAGCTAATTTTTGTATTTTTAGTAGAGACGGGGTTTCACCATGTTGGCCAGGATGGTCTCAATCTCCTGACCTCATGATCTGCCTGCCTTAGCCTCCCAAAGTGCTGGGGTTACAGGTGTGAGCCACTGCGCCCGGCCTGTATCCATTCTCTTGATAGACATCTGGGTTGTTCCCTATTTGGGGCTATAATAAGTAAACCTCTTATGAACATTTGTGTGCCAGTCTTCTTGCAGACATTATTTTCATTTCTTTGGGAAGTAATTCTCTGGAAGTAGAAGGAACTGAGTCATGGTGTGTTTATGTTTAACTGTACCACAACTGCCAAAGATTTATCCAAAGTTGGTGGTAGTGTTTTACACTCCAGCAGCAGTGTGAGGATTCCAGTGGCCCCACATTGTTGTCAACACTTGGTAGTGTCAGGTTAGTCATTCAGGTGGGTGTGCACTGGGGCCACAGTGTGATTTTCCCTTGCTTTTCTTTGATGTCTGATTTTGACCTGATGCGCTGATTGTAATTTACATATTTGTCTATTGCTCATTTTAAATTGCATTATCTTACTGATTTGTAGGGATTCCTCACATACAAATCCTTTGAGGGATATGTGTATTTATACTTTATTGACTGTCATTTGATCAGCAGATTTTTTAAGTTTTAGTGCAGTTCAATTTATTCTTTCTTTTGTGGCTAATGCTTTTCTATGTTCTAAAAAAAAAATCTGCCTATTCCAGGGTTGCAATAATATATCTTCCAGAAGATTCAGTTTCGGCTTTTAAGTCTGTAACACATCTCTTAACTTGTGTGTGTTGTGTGAGGAAGAGCCTGAGGATGATTCCCCACCATCCCATATGTTTACTCTATTGTTCTAACACCATTTGTTAAAAAGACCTTTCTTATCCCGTTGAATAACGTTGGCTCCATTAGAAAAAATTCCTGGCTGTGTTAAGTTGGGGTTTATTTCTGGACACTACCTTCTGTTAGACTGGCCTTTAGGTCTATCCTTGTCCTAACACCACATTATCTTAACTATTGCCGTTTTAAGGCAAATCTTGAAACCAGGGGGTATGATGAGTCCTCCAGTTCTGCTTTTTCAGAATGGTCTTGGTGGTCCTAGGTCTGTTGCATTTCCACGCACGTTGTAAAATCAACTCATCAGTGTCTGCTGAACACTGTAAAAAGTGTGCTGGGATTGTCACTGGAACTGCAGTGAACCTATCATCCCTATTTGGGGACGGTATTAGTTTGCTCGGCTGCCGTAACAGAAGACCACGGACTAGCGGGTTTAAACAATGGACATTTATTTCTTCACGGTTCTAGAGGAGATGCTGGCAGGGTTGGCTCCCGGTGAGGCCTCTCTTCCCGGCTTGCAGACGGCCCCCTTCTCACTGTGTACCTCTCGTGGTGGACTTCCTCCTGTGCACACACATCTCAGGAGTCTCTTCATCTTACGAGGACATCAGTCCTATCAGATGAGGGCTCTATCCCTAGAATCTCATTTAACGTTCCCCTCTTTAAAGGCCTCATCTCCAAATAAAGTCACATTGGAGGTTAGGGCTTCGACATAGGAATTTGGTAGGCAGGGGCCACAATTCAGTCCATAACAAGGACTTATAAATCATAACAATATTGAGTCCTCAACCCATGAATATGGTATATCTTCCTGCAGATTTAGATCCTTCTCGCATCTAAGGTATTGCCACCTCCAGGAGGCAGATCATGAGGTCAGGAATTCGAGACCAGCCTGACCAACATGGTGAAACCCTGTCTCCACTAAAAATACACAAATTAGCCAGGCGTGGTGGCACGTGCCTGTAATCCCAGCTACTCGGGAGGCTGAGGCAGGAAAATCGCTTGAACCCAGAGGGCAGAGGTTGCAGTGAGCCAAGATCGCACCATTGCACTCCAGCCTGGGTGACAAGAGTGAAACTCCGTCTCAAAAAAAAAAAGTATTTATAGAACTTTTCATTCCTTTTATAAAGTTTGCCTCTGGTATCATTTTCCTTTCATCTGAAGAGCATCCTATAACAGTTCCTGGACTGCAAATCTGCTGGTCATAATTCATGCAGCTTTTGTCTGAAAATGCTTTTACATCACCTCAGTTTTTAAAGGCTATATTGCTGCATATACAGTTCTAGATTGACAGTATTTTTTCTTTTACCACCTTAAAGATGTTCCATTTTCTTCTGGCTTTTTTTTTTGGGTGGAGGGGGAGGAGGGGACAAGAAATCCTTGGCTTCTTTGTGCCTGTATGTCATACGCCTTGTTTAATCTGACTGCTTCTAAGATTTGTCACTAGTTTTCTGCAATTTAAGATGTGCCTTGGGTGGTTTTCTTTGTTTATCCTGCTTGGGTTTTATCATCTCTAAGTTTCCATTGGTTCTTTTAAAATATCTTTTAGAAGTATCTTCTAATTCTTGGCTTGGTGCAGTGGCTCATGCCTGTAATCCCAACACTTTCGGAGGCTGAGGTGGGCAGATCACTTGAGGCCAGGAGTTCGAGACCAGCCTGGCCAATATGGTGAAACCCTGTTTCTACTAAAAATACAAAAATTAGCTGGGCGTGGTGGTGGGCGCCTGTAATCCCAGCTATTTGGGAGGCCAAGACACGAGAATCATTTGAACCTGGGAGGCAGAGGTTGCAGTGAGCCGAGATCACACCACTGCACTCCAGCCTGGGCGACAGAGCAAGACTCTGTCTCAAACAAAAACAAACAAGAATATCGTCTAACTCTCATCATGATTTATCTTGGCTTTCTAATCTTATCCAGCATTCAACAAATATTGAGCACCTGCTTTTTGTCTGGCTTCATGAAACAAAGATCCCTATTTTCAGGGACTGTATGTTTTAGGAGTGAAGAGAAAAAAGCGAATCACCTAGTAAGACAGTAAGTCTGTGTGACACAAGGGCCAGAAGTGCCCTGGGAACAAGCACGGCAGGTTTAGAAAACGGATGGGGGGTGTTGAGCCAGGGAGGTGAGCGGGTGCAGAAGTATTTGCTCAGGGTGAGACATGAGCAGTGGCTGGAAGGAGGCAAGGAACTCTGTGGATACTGGCAGAAGCTTCCCGGCAGAGGGATCCGCTCCCCAGAGGCCGTGTGGCAGCAAGAGCAGGCTGGAGAAGTCAACCGGTGGGATGCAGGGGGCAGCAAACACAGGCCACGACAGGTTTTGCCTTGCCCTGGGATGGGAGCCGTCGGAGGATTTTGTGTAGAGGAATCCTGTGATCCGACCTTAGACTTTCAAAGGTCCCTCTGGTTGCTGCATGATGGTCTAGGGGTACCAGGGTGCAAGGGAAAGACAAGGTGACGGCAGTGACCTGCTGCAGGGGTGGCCAGGAATTGGCAGTGGCAATGAGGCAGTGGGACGTGCTCAGATCTGGATGTGTTCTGAAGGTAGGGCTGTCAGGATTTGCAAACCAAATGGGCATGGAGTGAGAGGAAGAGAGAAGCCCAAGTGAGTCAGATAATTGGTCCAAGCGAACAGAAGGATGCAGGGCAGGCCCAGGCACGGTGGCCCAGGCACGGTGGCTCACGCCTGTAATCCCAGCACTTTGGGAGGCCGAGGCGGGCGGATCACCTGAAGTCAGGAGTTCGAGACCAGCCTGACCAACATGGTGAAACCCCGTCTCTACTAAAAATTCAAAAATGAGCTGGGCGTGGTGGCGGGTGACTGTCATCCCAGCTACTCGGGAGGCTGAGGCAGGAGAATCGTTTGAACCCGGGAGGCGGAGGCTGCAGTGAACCGCGATCGTGCCACTGCACTCCAGCCTGGGTGACAAAGCGAGACTTTGTCTCAAAAAAAAAAAAAAAAAAAAAAAAAAAAAAGGCTGCAGGGCCATCAGCGGATACAGAGGGCAGTGGACGGGCAGCTTGGCTGTGCTGTTGAGCCTGAGGGCTGAGAGGACACCCCGGGGCAGTGTAAAGGAGACTGGACTTAGCAATTGGTAAGAAAAGTTGGATAAAGAGAGGGTTTTGTTAGTATGGGAGAAACGGCACCCTTTTATACTAATGAGAACTAGTAACAACAAAAAAAACCACGCTGTAGAAGACAGAGGGAAACTGCTGGATGGGTGCCTTGGAGGAAGCCACAGGCCGGGGATTGGATGCACAGGGCAAGGGGCGCTGAGGGAGGGTCTGGCTGCAGCTTGCTCAGTGAAGCAAGAGGCAGGGTGAGGAAGGGGTGAGGCGGAGGAGCGGCTCGGGGCTGGCTGCAAGCTAGGAGCTGGGAGCCACTGACGCCCAGGGACAGAAGCTGGTGCTGCAGAGAGGGGCGGCGCAGGGAGTCCCTCTTCTTTTCCTTTTTAAAATAATTGCTTTACTGAGATATAACTCACACATCCTGAAACCCACCCTGTAAAAACACGATTAACAGAGTTGTGAGCTACCACCACCGTAATGCAAGGGCACGCCCATCCCCCCGAAAAAGAAACCCCGGCCCGCCGCCGGCGGCCCCCGCCCTGCACCCAGCCCCGGGAGCCCAGTCGGGCGTCTGCTCTGCGTGGCCTGTGCCGGGCGCCCCGCGAGTGGGGTCCACACCACGCTCCTCCGAAGCCACGGTTTCCCAAGCGCGGTCTCCAGGTCCGTCCGTCCGCAGCCGACCTCGCACTCCCCTGCGTTCGAGGCTGCGGACTTCGGCGGCAGGACGGACGGCGCCTCTGCTTCTCATTCCGCCCAGGGCCAGCCCGGGCCCAGGGGTACCTGCTGTGCGTCTGGCGCCGAGGTGGGCCCCGAAGACCCCCAAGCCCGCCCAGGGATTCCCTTCCCGAGGCCGGAGCGGGGAGGCGCCGCGGGGTTCAGGGCGCCCTGCGCGGGGCGAGCTCGGGGGCGGGGGCCCGCGCCCGCCCGTCTGGGCGGTCCTCACCGGCCCTCTGCAGGTGAAGGGACCTGGCTGCGAGCCCGCGGGCGGGCGTGGCGTTGAGGCCCAGACCGGAACTTCCTTTCGGCCTCAGTTTCCCGGCCGGCCCCGCCCCCGGCGCCCGTACATGCGGCCCCTTTAAGGACTTTCTGCGCCCTCCCGCCTCTTTTTTCTCGTGCGTCCCCCTCCCCACCCCCGGCAGCCTGCCTCGCCCTCGCCGGGAGCGCGCCTACGTCACCGCGCAGACCTCGGCCGCGTCTTTGCGCCTGCGCCTCCTGGGCTGGGGTGAGCCATTGGCTGTCGAGCTCAGGGCACGTGCTAGGGGGCGGGGCCTTGACCGGAAAGGGTGGGGCAACGGCGAGAAAGGCCGCGTCGAGCGGTAGGTGCAGTCGTCGCTGTGGTGACCCCAGGTCCTGATGCGTCCGGCCCAGGGCCAGCCAATGGCGGTAGAGGTCTTGGGCACCTGACAAGAGGGGCGGTCCCCCCGCCGGAAGGGGCGGGGCGAGGCGAGCGGCCGCGTCAGCGGTAGGTGGGGCTGTGGTTACGCTGCCGGGCGGGGGTCGCGCCGGTTCGGTCCCCGGGGCTCTGCGGGCGCCGGGCAGAGACCTGCGGCCAGGGCGTGTCCCGTGTGCCCGAGAGCGCCGGCGGCGGGGCCGGAGGGCGGGCCCTGGGCCGAGTGACAGGCCGCAGCCCCCCGAGCACCGTCGAAGCCGGCGCGCCCGCCCGGTGCAGCCGCTGTGCGAGAGCGACCCCGCGGTCCAAGCCTCGCGTGGCCCTGCCGGGCCCCTTCTTTCCCCGAGTAGGGCGCAGCTTCCCAGCCTCCGCCCCGGCCTCGCCTGGCGCTTCCTTCCGGGTCCTTCGGCCTTTCCCTGGCGGTGCGGCAGGCCCTCGCCTCATCCCACCAGGCACGCCGCGGTGCTCGGCCCTGGGTATCCGGGCAGGCTGCCTCCGTTAGGGCCGCCCCTGCTCTCCGGACGCGACTTTTCATTGGTCTCAGAATTTCTTGGCTCCTCTTGGCCTCTGCAGCCTTGCTGGAGGCTGCCCTGCGGAATCTGAGTGAATAAGGGAAACAGCAACAGTCACGTTGGGGAAAAGCTGATTCGGACAGCGCCACTGGTTCCTTTAACGCACGACCCTCAATGCAGCGTCCCACACACGGGATTGTAGAGGTCCCGAGTTTAAGGTTCACTTTTAAAACTGCAATCACCGCCGTAAAGGCCTTGCTGGACACACATATTTCCCAGAGAGGCACCCACAGATGGACCCCAGCCTCAGGGTCCTCCCGGAGCTTTCGGTTTATAGTGGAACCCAGTAAACACGTTAATAACACCGAGAGCTATAAAATACAGATGGTGATATAGCATCTCTGCCTTACTTATTTCTAGATATGGATCAGAAACTTTCGAAGTTGGTAGAAGAGCTCACAACTTCAGGAGAACCCCGACTAAATCCTGAGAAAATGAAGGAACTGAAGAAAATTTGCAAGTATGTCTTAGGGTTCAGTAACAGTAACTGACTGGCCCACTGAGCCCAGGACACACACAGGGCCCTGCCCTCCTGCCCCCACCTGGGAGAGAACCACCCGAGGGACACACCCAGGACATTTTCTCGGGGCCCTGCAGTACCCGGCTCTGACGGGTGGTCATGTTCTGGGGTCGGGGCGTGTGGCGTTGGGGACCCCACTGCTCTGTGGTTGGTGCTT
Source organism: Homo sapiens (assembly GCF_000001405.40). NCBI lineage: Eukaryota > Metazoa > Chordata > Mammalia > Primates > Hominidae > Homo > Homo sapiens. The sequence goes on from NC_000004.12 coordinate 1,348,407, forward strand.
CTCTTCATTCCCATTTGTGTGGTCTGGAGCACATCCTGTAGGAGTTCTTGAGTGCACAAATGTGATTCAGAGAGAAACGTGCATCTTTTTCTTTGCTGCTGGACTTTTCGAAGGGAAAGAATAGAGCTTGCTGATGGGCGAGTTGGTCCATCGCCTTTAGGGTATGTCCACCTCTGTTCACTTCCTCCAAGGAAAACGCCGGAGGGGATCTCTGCCGTCACCCTCAGGCAGCCAGAGATTCATGGGGGAAGCAAAACTTCCCCTCGGAGGGTGGAGCATAAGTCGAGGACACTGATTATTCTGTATCCTGTGTTTGTAAAATGGCAGTTTATAGATTGTTTATACAGTGATGGAGTGTTGACATTTTGATAGAAAATTTCAGGTCAGGTTTTGTGGCCTGCGCCAGGAAATCGAATTCGCAATGGTTTATGTGGGGTCAGGAGCTGGGAATAGGAGCATTCAGGAGGGGCTGGGAGATGTCCCGAGCTCTAGGCCTTCCTTCCTTCCTGCAGCAGGAGGCACCCAGCTGAAACAGTGTGCGTGCTGGGCGGTGTGCGTTGTGCCAGGCGGTGTGTGTTTGTGCCGGGCGGTGTGCGTTGTGCCGGGCGGTGTGCGGTTTGTGCCAGGCGGTGTGTGTTTGTGCCGGGCGGTTGGCGTTTGTGCCGGGCGGTGGGCGTTTGTGCCGGGCGGTGTGTGTTGCGCTAGGTAACGTGTGTTTAAAGAGCCAGATGGTTTGTGTTTCAGGCTTTGCTGTAATGCCTCAGTTGTGAACACAGCTGTAGATGATGTAGGTGGATAGATGGGCGACGTTCCAATGACACTTTGTGAATGAACACCGACATTTGAAGTGTATATGATTTTCACATTTCACCAAGTATTTTTTGTTTGTATTGACATTCTTGGCTTGTGGGCCACACAGAAACAGGCAGGGGCTGGGGAGGTAGATGTGGCCCTTGGGCAGTAGTTTGCAGACCCTGCTCTAGAAAAGGGGAGAATGAAGATGGGAAGGCAGTGGTGGTCCCTGCCACACGTGCGTGCGGCATCCATGCACGGAGAGTCTCCCCCCGCCCATCCTCTGCGTGTGGGGCAGTTGGGTCAGGCCAGCTCGCATCCCCAGGTCTTCAGAGGAGCAGCTGAGCCGCGCCTACCGCCTGCTGATAGCACAGCTGACCCAGGAGCACGCCGAGATCCGTCTCTCAGCCTTCCAGATTGTGGAGGAACTCTTCGTCAGGTCTCACCAGTTCCGGATGCTGGTTGTTTCCAACTTCCAGGAGTTCCTGGAGCTCACGCTGGGCACAGACCCCGCACAGCCTCTGCCGCCCCCCAGGGAGGCGGCACAGAGGCTGAGGCAGGCGACCACCCGGGCCGTGGAAGGGTGGAATGAGAAGTTTGGGGAGGCCTACAAGAAGCTTGCCTTGGGCTACCACTTCTTAAGACACAACAAAAAGGTAGGTGGGCCTGGCCCATTTTTTCAGAGACTGGTTACCTGACGTGAGGAGGGCAGACGATACCAGGGTGAAGATGCGCCTCCTGTTGAACCTAGCACAGCAGGGGCCTGCTTGGCCTTGCCTGAACACCCAGGCTGCCAGACCATCTGTGGGGTGTGGGAAAGAGGGCAGCATCTAGGGTCACGGCCTCCCTGAGAGGGGCGGCGCAGCTCTGAGAGGAAGAGCATAAGCTTTATGTGTGGGTGGAGCTGAGGCTGCATGTGTCATTTTTTATGTGCGTGTAGGAGACAAAGGAAAAGCCAAATCCAACTTTTCAGATGCAACGTTTTCTGTGACAGTGGCCCCTGGACTCTGGGACCTGTCCCAACCTTGCACTTTAAGGCTCCACCCGCACCCTACTATGGGCTCGGGCTGGTGCCTGGCATGATGAAACCCACCAGGATCTGCCACTGTGGCCTGAACCCAGCCTCATTGCCCAGACCCTACCGTGCCCCTTACCCCACCTGCCACGAAGGCTCAGTCCTCCCCAGTGCAATGACCCAGCCCTGCTGGCTTCCCTGTGTGCCCTTGGAGTGCCCTGTCTCCCAGGGTTCATGCTCAGGGTTTGTTTCAGACTCCTGGGTCCAGTCAGCAGCCTCTGCCTGCTAATGGAACAAGCACACTGCTCTCCTACCTGTGAGGTACTTGGGGTGAGAAGTCTCGTCACCTCTTTTAAGTTAGCAGACGTGCTGGCTTTCCCGGGCTCAGACAGCAGAGAGACGTGCATTGTGTTTTGTTGTAATGCACTGTGAACACCTGGGTGTGAGGGTGCACACCCACAGTCCCACTGACTCTGGAAGCCGAGGCTGGTGGATCACCTGGTCCTGGGAGTTTGAGTCCAGCCTTGGTAACACAGCAAGACCGTTGTCTCTTAAAAAAAAAAAAAAAAACTACTGTGAACTTACAGACGCATAGGGCTCTTGGCCACGCATGGGTGCTGTCTTTTGTTAGGCCTACTTGAGCTTTATCTTCCTCACATTCTGTATAGATAGCTCTAGTTTTTGTTGTTGTTGTTGATGATGTTGTTTTTGAGACAGGGTCTTGGTTTGTCACCCAGGCTAGAGTGCAGTGGCGCGATCTCGGCTCACTGCAACCTCCGCCTCCCTGGTCCAAGTGATCCTCCTGCCTCAGCCTCCCAAGTAGCTGGGACTACAGGCACACGCCACCACACCTGGCTATTTTTTGTTTTTAAGATGGAGTATTGCTTTGTTGCCCAGGTTGGAGTGCAGTGGTGCGATCTCAGCTCACTGCAAGCTCCACCTCCCGGGTTCACGCCATTCTCCTGCCTCAGCCTCCCAAGTAGCTGGGACTACAAGCACCCCCCACCACGCCCGGCTAATTTTTGTATTTTTAGTAGAGATGGGATTTCACCGTGTTAGCCAGGATGGTCTCAATCTCCTGACCTTGTGACCCACCTGCTTCGGCCTCCCAAAGTGCTGGGGTGACAGGCATGAGCCACTGTGCTGGGCCAGCCCTAGTCTTTATTTTCTTTCTTTTTTTTTTTTTCTTTGAGACAGAGTCTCGCTCTGTCGCCCAGGCTGGAGTGCAGTGGTGCGATCTTGGCTCACTGCAAGCTCCGCCTCCCGGGTTCACACCATTCTCCTGCCTCAATCTCCCAAGTAGCTGGGACTACAGGCGCCCGCCACCTCGCCTGGCTAATTTTTTTTTTGTATTTTTAGTAGAGATGGGGTTTCACCGTGTTAGCCAGGATGGTCTCGATCTCCTGACCTCGTGATCTGCCTGCCTCAGCCTCCCAAAGTGCTGGGATTACAGGCGTGAGCCACCGCGCCTGTCCCCTAGTCTTTATTTTCAATTGCTCAGGTGGATTTTCAAGACACGAATGCTCGGAGTCTGGCAGAAAGGAAGAGAGAAGAGGAGAAGCAGAAGCACTTGGATAAAATTTATCAAGAAAGAGCCAGCCAGGCGGAGAGGGAGATGCAAGGCAAGTGTCCAGGACGGAGGGAGGGGCCCACGCCTCTGAGGGTTGCCCGTGGTCCAGCAGTTCATCCTCCTGGTCCCAGGGCCCCAGCCGCAAGGAACCCAGGTTTTGAGACAGGCTAGGTGGAGAGGATTCAGGTCGGGCCGGAAGGCGTTCTTAGCCGTAGGCCTCCCAGGCTGTCCATGCCTCTCCCGCGCCCTCTGGTGGTCACATTCATCCACGCCCGTTCGCTGCGCGGACCTCTGGGCAGAGATGCCAGGCACAGGTGTGCCTGTGGGCAGTGGTCTGAGCCCCAGCCTGGCTGAAGGCCCTGCCACCTGTTTATTTTGTGGCTGTCTTGCCCTTGCCAGCCCCTTCCCCAAAACTTCACTGTTTGCTTCTCGGCAGTCAGCCTTTCTTGTGAGGGGCACCACGAGAGTGTGAGGAGGGGGTGCCACGGCCCTCCTGAGACACCTCCTGATGTGGGCGGAGGCACGGCCCTGTGTCTTCAGACTACATGTACCCCAGATCCTTCTCCTGACAGACTGTGGTCCCAGGTGTGGGACCTGCCACAGGCCACTGGAAACGCAGGCCTCAGGGCAGCTCACAAGGCAGGCAGCTGGGTGCCCAGACAATGAGGAGGCTGCCAGGAGGAAAGCTGCTCCGGCCCGGGAGGTGTGGCATGAACGAGGCTGTTTTGTTGCCCTAGGGAAGAGGTGCAGCCGTGTCCTGGGAAGTGCAGGTGGGCTGACCTCCCCTGCGCACTCGTGCTTGCTACCCAGAGGTACACAGAGATTGCCTTGCAGGCCCAGCTGCTGAGCTGGGTGCTCTAGTAAGCGGTTAAAAAGTGCAGCACACGACTGGGCGCGGTGACTCATGCCTGTCATCCCGGCACTTTGGGAGGCCAGGGCAGGCGGATCGCCTGAGTCCAGGAGTTTAAAGCCAGCCTGGGCAACATAGCAGGACCCTGTTTCTACAGAAAAGTTAGTTGAGCATGGCATCACGTGTCTGTAGTCCCAGCTAATCAGGAGGCTGAGGCGGCTGCACTACCTGAGCCTGGAAGGTCGAGGCTGGGGTGAGCTGTGATTGCACCACTGCATTCCACCTGGTGCTGAAAAGTGACACCCTGCGGGGAGTGGGCCTCTGAGTGTGGTTTTGAGTGGGCTGGTGCTTTTGCTCCACATAGCGCAGCAAACAGGTGTCTTGATCTTCCGGCAGAAATGTCTGGAGAAATTGAATCCTGCTTGACGGAGGTAGAGAGCTGCTTTAGGCTGCTGGTGCCTTTTGACTTTGACCCGAACCCGGAGACGGAATCCCTTGGCATGGCTTCTGGCATGTCCGATGCCCTTCGCTCCTCCTGCGCGGGCCAGGTGGGCCCCTGCCGGTCTGGCACCCCTGACCCCCGGGACGGGGAGCAGCCCTGCTGCAGTAGAGACCTGCCTGCCTCTGCAGGCCACCCCAGAGCGGGCGGCGGGGCACAGCCATCCCAGACAGCCACAGGTGACCCCTCAGATGAGGACGAGGACAGCGACCTCGAGGAGTTTGTGCGGAGCCACGGGCTGGGCTCGCACAAGTACACGCTGGATGTGGAGCTCTGCTCAGGTAACTGCCTTCGCGGGGTCTCTGTGGCGCCACCCTGCCCCGGCTCCCGGGTAGGCTCCTCCCTCACTGGCACCCGGCCCAGGAGCCTGGGGATGCAGGGGCCTCCCCTGGGGAGCTAGGTCAGGGGTCACCACCAGGTTTTTCCTTTCTGTGTGGCCTCTGCACTGGGCTCCCCCCACCCATGCCAGGCCTCTGTGGCCACAGGGACACTTCTAAGAGCTCATGGCAGCCCCCACCTCAGTGAGGCTGTGGGCAGAGTAAGGACCCACAGGATTGGGGTGAGGTGGGGTCGTGAGGCTGTTGCGGTCCTCAAAGGATGAGGGAGCACAGGCCTGACCTCCAAGTGACTGGATCCCTGGGCAGGCTGTGTGGGCATCCCGTCAGCTCACAGGCCTGTCAGGGTCCCGTGTCGCCATGAGGGGTCAGGTAGCACCGGCCCTTGCTGGGAGGAAAATGTGTTCCAGAAATGGCCACGGGCAGCCTTGGCACTGCAGCCTGGGTGGGTGAGGATTGCAGAGACATAGCCGCCCCCGCCCCCCAGCCCCAGCTTCCTCCCAAGCCCCCTGCTGCCCCCCTGGGGTGTGAGTGGAGGCTGGGGCCCTTTGCGTATGTGTGTGGCTTCAAATCGCTCTCTTTGAGGAACCTTCTTCTTTGGAAGCAGGCACAGCAGGTGTCCCTTCACCAGGGCCAGGAGGCAGCCGGGCTGGGAAGCTGCTGGGAGAACTGATCCTCGGGTCTCAGCTGCCCAGAGGTGCCTCAGCAGTGAGGCTGCAGGCCTGTGCGGGGTGGACACCGCTGCTGCAAGCCTGGGCTGTCCTCGCCTGTATAGAGCTCTGCCCTGCGCCGGACACTGAGGGTGCCACAGCGGGGGAAGCCACGGCAGGGCAGAACTGGAGTTGGGGTGTCCAGCGGAGGAGAGGCCGGGGGGGTGGGGGCTGGTGAGGCTGGGCTGGAGGGGCGCCATCCTGTGGCGTGGGCTGTGGAGGGGAAGGTTCTGTGCCCGGCGTGTGGGGGCGGTGAGTAGAAGAGGCTGTGGGTGGTCTCGCCCTCCAGATGGGATGGCTGCAGCCAAGGAGACTGAGACACAGGCAGTGGAGCTGCGTGTGAGGGGAGGCTTTGGTGTTAAGCCACAGTGTTCTTTTCTAAGATAATAAAACACTTCCTTCTCACAGCATCAGGTTTGGGATTCCCGGGGGCAGGCATGGGCGTCTGGCAGGTTCCCCTCAGGCTAGAGCAGCCTTCCTTGCATGGTCTGCCTCTCCGGGGCCTGTGGGAGACGCCAGTCGGCGCCCTCTTGTGACCTCTGTGTGCTTCTCCCCAGAGGGCCTGAAGGTGCAGGAGAACGAGGACAACCTTGCTCTCATCCACGCCGCCCGCGACACACTCAAGCTCATCCGGAACAAGTTCCTGCCGGCTGTGTGCTCGTGGATCCAGGTGAGCCTCGAACCTGGGACCTGTGGGTGGAGGGACGTGTGCAGAGTGCCATGCATGGGGGGGGTCCCTTTCTTGGGGGGACTGTGGCCCGGTGACTGAATGGCCCTTAACCCGCGAGGGCTCTGTCCCTCACCCGCAGCTTTGTCCTCTGCATCCCAGGTGTGCCAGGGACCCCCCGGGCCAGTGGACCTGGCATGTGCCTCCCAGCAGGACAGCTTCCCAGGTCCTGCCCGGCCGGCCCCTGAGCTGTTCGCACCCCCGTTTCGCAGCGCTTCACCCGCGTCGGGACCCACGGTGGATGTTTAAAGCGTGCCATTGACCTGAAGGCTGAATTGGAGCTCGTACTGAGAAAATACAAGGAGCTGGACATCGAGCCTGAGGGAGGGGAAAGGCGCAGGGTGAGTGGGCAGGCGGCGAGCGGGAAGGGGTCCCAGAGGCCTCAGTGGGGGAGGAGAAGCTGTGGGGGGGTTGTGCCCTGGGCCTGTGGGCCCGGCGGACCCCAGCCACACCCCAAGCCCACTCAGCCTCAGCAGGACCTGCCTCCCCAGCGAGGGCTTCCTGTGAGCCCAGGGTCATCACCATGGCAGAGGGGACAGTGCAGCTGTCGGGTGTTGCCCGGCTGCCGTGTATGGTAGCTGAGCAGAAGTGCTGAGTGCTGTGCGCGCCTCCAGGAAGCCACCAGTCAGGCTGTCCCCCCCGTGACTCCTTCTAGGGAGTCATCAGCAGTGCGGCACCTGTCCTGGCAGGCACTGTATCCACCAGAGGAGAGACCCTCGGCAAACCCTCAGACGGCCAGGAGGGTCAGCGCGGGCACTGGTGCCCACTTGGGGTGAAGACTTGGGTTACTGTCTGCTGGGCCTTGCGAGGGGCTTGGGAGGGTCATGGGGGCACTGCACTTCCCTGAGCAGGGAGCACGGGGTTAGAAGGGGCAGGGCTGCCGCGAGGGGCTGGAGGCTGGAGGGAGGTTTGGGGTGCCTCTGGTGGGTGAAGCTGGGAGCAGAGACCGTCGCATTGGGTGTGTCGGAGCCGTTCGAGGGTGGGGGTGCCCAGCACACTGCTGTGCCAGGGACCTTGAACTGGCTGAGCATGGAATGGAAATCTGGGCCTCGGTGCCTGGAGGGGCCTGAGAGCTGGGGTCCTCTGCAGACGTCCTCGGCAGCACCCAGCACAGTCGGGCCTTAGGACTGGAGGTACACAGCGGCCACCCTGAGCTCCCACAGCAGTGCTGTCTCTCAGGCACCTCTCCCTTCAGGAACCCAAGCCCTGAACCCCAACACCCCTGAGCTCGGACCCCAAATCCAGCCCTGGCCTAGGAGATGGTGGCCTTTTGGCTCTCCCCACTTTAAGGAAAGCTTTGGGGTGGAAGTGACACTGTGCTCCTTGCTGAGGAAGAGGTTGGGTTCCACAGCAGCAGACGTGCGGGGCCTTGGAAGTTGGGGGGTGGGGAAGCTCCTCTCGATTAAATGCTGAGCCTGTCGTTTTCCCCAGGTCAGTGGCCCCGCGTCCCCAACGTGGTGGTGTGCAGCCCCCCCAGGGGCCAGCAGAGGGCGAGCTTGCTTTTCTCCTTTAAGTCCGAAACTGACTCCCGGAGAATTTATAGACATGTGGGAGCCCACTGGCCTCGCCGCTGGTGTGTGGCCGCGTTTGTGGGTGCTGGTCAACACCTTGCTCCACAAGGAAATACTTCTGTGAGTTGTGACGAAAATATACTTTTTGCAATGCGAAAGGATGCTGGTCTAGGCTTGGGAGGAAGATGGTGAGTGCCGTCAGCATGTCAAGATCAGGGTGAGCCCACTGCCCATGCCCAGCACACTTGGGCCCACAGGATGGCAGCCGCAGGACCGGGCCCCTATGCCAGCCCCTGTCACTGTTGCCTAGTGGGCTGCGTGGGGGCTGCCGGCTGGGGTCACGGGCACTTCCCTGTGGCTCACATTGAGGCCCTTTCAAGGTCACTGCCCGGTCTCCACGGCATGGGCAAGGCTTGCTGGAGCCTCACGCTGAGACCCTGCACCAGGCACTGCACCGGTGCACCTGCTGCCCTGGACTCACCTGGCACGGCTTCTGCAGTCTGCAGACAGTTTTGTCTGAAGGTGGCCGGTGGGCCTTTGCCTGGCAGTGGCAACCCCTGGGTCAGCTGGCTTATTGGTGAGGGTCCACAGAGCAGAGCGGGGCTGATGGGTGGCATGGTCTGGTCTCATCAGGCCTGGGCCCCTCCAGCTGGTTATTGGTGAGGGTCCATAGAGCAGAGCGGGGCTGATGGGTGGCATGGTCTGGTCTCATCAGGCCTGGGCCCCTCCAGCTGGTTATTGGTGAGGGTCCATAGAGCAGAGCGGGGCTGATGGGTGGCATGGTCTGGTCTCATCAGGCCTGGGCCCCTCCAGCTGGTTATTGGTGAGGGTCCACAGAGCAGAGGGGGGCTGATGGGTGGCATGGTCTGGTCTCATCAGGCCTGGGCCCCTCCAGCTGGCACAGTCCTTTAGTACCAGCAGCAGTGCTGGGGCTGGGGCAGCCAGGTGGCTCTTCTTGGCCTGAGATTCTGGCAGTGGAACCTTCTGGAATGCCTGGTGCTACCCCTGCCTGCATCTCACAGCTCTACAGCATCTGGGATGCCCTCCAAGTGGGGTTGGCTGGTGGAAGTGAATCTGGGCAGCCTCCGGGACTGCTGGCAGCTCGGCCTGCTTGGGTGAGGATGAGGAGCTGCCGTTCCCCGAGTCAGGACTCTAATTCAGCGCGGCCACGGTACCAGCGAGGCCTGCAGGCTCCCAGCCATGGCTGACTTGCACCCACATCTCCACCTCACCCTGGTGGATGCAGACTCCCCCTGTGTGCCAGGGACCCTGCGTGCTCTTCATGAGTGTTCAGCTCAGCCTGGCTCCTGCCGTGTGTGGGCTCAGGAGTGCTGGCCTCCCAGACCTCTGCAGGCTGCAGGCTCCTGCTGGCCGTGCCCTTCTGGAGGCAGCACTAGCCCCTCCTGCCTCAGGGATGCTATATTCAGGGCCTGGTCTGTGGGGGCCAGGGCCCATAACACGGGTGTGGGCCAGGCCATGCAGGAGGGTACTGGGCAGGGCACGGCCGCCTGAAGGACCCCAGCAGCTGCTGCTCCCACCCACCAGGTCCCGGGGACCCCGCCGACACTGTTAGCTGTCTCTGAGCTTCTGAGTGACTCTCACATGAGCATCTCACGCCCCACGTGGTGGAGCCGCCAGCACTGTCCCTCCGTGGCGCGTGACCCCAGCCCTTGGCACACAGGCAGCCACCCTGACCCAGCGCCCAGGGCCTGCTGCCATCCCACTGTCCTTCCTCACTCCTGCTGGCCGGGGCCCACTCCTGACCCATCTGTGTGCATCCTCTTGAGATCTGAGTGGTGGCACTGGGCGGGGGGTGTCTGCGGCCAGGACTGACAGTGCTTGGAGGGCCCCTCGTCCCCTTCGACCACATGGTCTGGCCAGCAGATGTGCCCCAGCTGTGCTTCAGAGCTGGTGAGTGTGCAAGGGCAGCAGGGCCTGTGAGGCTGGATTGAGGATGTCACAGCTCCGGTGGGAAGGGAGGCGCCACGCTGCCCATTTGTCAGTTGAATGGACACTTTCTAGACTCTTCTCCGCAAACTGGTTTCTTTTTAAAGCACCGTTCTGAAGTCCTTGGAGATTTTGCTCCCGGCAGCTGGAGTGCAAGGAGCTGCCTGGAGATGAAGTGATTGGCGGGCTCGCCTAGCTCAGGTGAGCGATGCTTCCCAGAATAGATGCCGTGGCACCACTGCAGTATCTGCCCATCTCCCTCCTGGCTCCGCGCGGCCGCTGCGTCCGAGTGGCGTGTGTGCGGCAGGTGGGGCTGGCTGACAAACGTGGACGTTAATTAGAGCCATTTTAATTAGAAATTATGGACGAGGTGCTCCTCGTTAATTTTCAAATAAAATTTACAGAGGGTTTAAATCACTTCCCTCCGTGTCTCCCCATTTAGCACGGGGATTGGCGTCGTTAACTCCGTGTGTAGAACAGGGCACGCTAATTCAGTCATGCCTGATTTAAATATGTTTAGAACTTCCAACTAACATGTAGGAGATGGGAACATGGAACGCTGCTAGCTGCAGGCAGGAGGCAGGAGCCTAGCCCCGGAAGGCCCAGCCCGTCCTCGTGCTGTCTCCGGCCGGTGCTCGTGCTGAGGCTCTCCTCGGGCAGCCACCCGGGAGCAGACACCGTGTCTTTCCTTTTTAACATTTCCCACTTGGTTTCTACGTAATACTGTTTTCCTTTTGACGCAGATGTTCTGTCTTCAGAAAATACTTAGGCGGGTTTGAATATGTGTGCTGTGCATTTGGAGTGCCTCTGAGTGGCTTCCGTCTGGGGACAGATGTTCCGTCTTCAGAAAATACTCAACGCTGGTTTGAATATGTGTGCTGTGCGTTTGGAGTGCCTCTGTGTGGCTTCCGTCTGGGAGCAGGCCGAGGGTGAATCTCCTGGATCAATGTGCAGCGTCATTTGGTAGATTGCGTGTCCAGCCTTGCCGCGCTGTAGGGTGGGTGTGATCATCCGTGGCTGCGTCATTCGCTGAGCTGATAAAAATCCTCTGGAAACTTTCACGTTGCCTGCTGCCAAATTACATAGCTCAAATCACCAATTACTTTGTATTGTGTAATTAACAAAATATTAATTTCCTATCAGCCAGTGAGTCAGAAACGCATCTTAAGCATCGTTCTCTTTAGTACCGTCAGCGTGGCTCTGTCTTTCCTTCTGCTAGTTACCGGGTTACTTGTTTCCGTGGCTGAAAGATACGGGTTTGTTTTTGTTCTCGCCGATGTTGAGTCTGATGTGGCAGCCACATGGGTTTGGCCGTGGATGCATCCTCCATTGCCCACAGAACCAGAGTCGTCCCCCCGACTCTGTGGTTTTCTTTCTCTGTCGGCCGCCTGCCTGCCTCCTCCACCGGCCTCACCACCAAAGCTCTGATCTTTGGAGTTAGATGCCAGAAGCATTCTGCCCTCTGATGTTCAGTGGGCTCCAGGATGCAGCTGACAGCCTCCCGGGGACCCTGTCAGCCCCTGGGATCGAGGCCCCACCTCCTTTTCCTGCTGTGCGTGAGGGAAAGTTTTCTGTGATGCTCTGGAGCCATGGGAGTGTCTGACTTCCAGGAGGTGAAAGGGACAGAAACTGAAAACCCAGGAATGAAACGTGGACCCACCAGGCACAGGCAGGGGAGGAGGGACCTAAATCAGCGCTGCTGGGAAACCTTGTACCGCCCTAGGGCTGGGAAACAACCTTCCTGGGTGATGGGGCCCCTCCATCACGCCGAAGGCCAAGCCGCTGTGTGCGCCACCGCATCCCAAGGGCTGCCCACGGGGGGCGGGGTGCAGATACACAGGTTCTCTGGAGTCAGCACAGGGAACACGGGGAGAACATCTTAGGCCCAGCCAGGGCCTTGTGCCAGCCCTCCCTCCCACACCGGTGGCACAGACCCGTCTTTTGGGCTTTCACCGTCCCTCAGTACCTGTCTGCAAAACACAGGGCGCTTGCCAGACAAGCCCAGCGCTCCTTGAAACACCGCCCCATGCTGTTACCCCTTTCGTTTGGAAAGCAGCCCCGTGGGGTCGATCGGTTTTCCACCCCATTTTACAGACAGGGAAGCTGAGCCCGGGAGAAGCTGTGTAGGCCCCGGCCTCCTTGTCCAGGCCTGGCCTCCTGATGAATGTAAGTGCGCCTGACAAACCCGTGCTATGGCCGCGCCCAGAGGCTGGCGCCTGCTTCCCAGAGGCTGGCGTTCTGGCCCCTGTGGGCCCTGGCTGCACTCTCCTTCCCTGAGAAGGTCAGGCTGAAGCAGGGTCCTTTCCCGCCCCCGTGAGCCGAGTGTGTGTGTGACTCACCAGAGCCCGGGAGCAAGGACACAGGCAGCTTTCATTTTCCCGAGCCCAGAGTTAGCTTTCTCCGCAGAGCTCGGGGGCAGGAGCTACTAGGTTTGGAGGCCCCAGATGTTCTAAGAAGTCATTCCGCTCTCCACTGAAGGGGGCGTTTACATAAAGTCTGCGTGACCCCTGGTGCCTCAACCAGCTTCCTGAGCACTGCACCCAGTGCTCCTGCTCAGTAAGAACCAGGCCCACAACCTCTGCTCAGAACGTCCTATGTGGGACCCAGGGGCAAACACCAGTTTGGCTGCCCCAGGAGAAGAGGCCGCCCTGGCCCAGCTCCATCCATCTGGAGAGCAACACAGACCCAGGACCCCCGGCCCGCATCTGGTCGACAGATGTGTGTCTCTATCTGGCAGGCAGCCCCGGGGACCCAGCAGAAATTTTGCCCCTAGCCTAGCTCTGGAATCGACCTCCAGGTATCTTGTGAACCTGAGGCCTCCTCCTCTCACACCCAAGAAGGCCCCCAGGCCTGTGGTGCTGTGGTCCTGGCCCCTGCAGCTGGGACTCCAGGAAGCGGCCCGAGGCCCACCATGCTGGCTGGCAGCTCCCAAGGGCAGGTCTGTCTGAGCCTCATTACTGGGAGTGACCTGGGTTAGACGAGAATGGGAAGAGGCCCACAGCACTGTGTTTTGTGATATTCTTGTAAGAGCGTGTTGATGAGTGTAGATTTTATAGTAAAGAACCAGTCATTCTAGAAAGCAACGACTTGCTTCAGCAGAACCTCCAGGCTCTCGTTTCAGAGGTGAGGACACGCCTATGGTGCTGTGTCTGTGTCCAGCAGGTTCTGCTCGGCCCCGACAGTGCTGCCCGCCAGGTGCCCTTCCCGCACGCTTGCTGCAGTCAGCCCTGCACCGCTCCGCCCTCCGTCCTCTCAAGGTGCGTCCCTGGCAGCCGGAGATGCACATGAGATATTGGCCTGGCCGGGCAATTTGCACGGCCTTCCAGGGAGGGCATTAGCATATAAATAGCAGATGCAATGACGACCATCACAGCTGAGCACGTTTAATTTTTGGTTTATAAGATAGAATGGGTTTTTAAACACATAGCCATCAAGGCGCTGAAAGACAAATGCAATTTGGAACTCACTTGTCTGACGAGGCCTTACATCATTTTTTTTTTTTTTTTTATAAAAAGGGAAACAGACACACATAAAACTGAACAAAAGTGATTTCTTGGGTGAAAAGTAATTGAGACCGCGTACCAAGTTAATTAGATCGTACAAAATTTATTTAATGGCCCCAGCTGTATCTCCCAGCCTGTGTGTGGCGGACAGACCTGCCCCTTCACACGGCCTCTCCTCTTCCTTTCCTTCTCAAATAATTAGTAACCTCGCCACCCTACTTCTGTGAACTGATTGCATTGTATATTTTAGCCATTTTATTGCTTGTTTAATTATGATCGTGGAGGCTCATTTTTCTAAATCCTTTTAAGTGTGGGTGAGAATCCATTTGTATGAAGCCAGCAGAGGCCGGAGTGCTCCTGCCCGCCTCCCCGCGGTGGCTGGGGTTCCTTTGGAGGTGCCCTGTGCACGGGTGGTCTTGGCTCTCCATGTCGAGGGGTCTATAGCTCCTGTAGCTCCTGCACTGTGGACCAGCCTTGGGAGGCTTCCAATGCCCCGCAGGGGACTTGGCCCATTAGGGAAGGTGTGGGCACGGGTCACAGCCCCCTTGGGAGGGGACAGCCTGCAGGTGACCTGTGCCTCCCATGCCCCTGCTTTATCACAGGAAACTCGGCTGCCAGGTCGGGGTAAAAGCAGACTGCTCTTGAGAACCTTTTCCAAACCTAACCTCATTTTGTAGACATCTCCAGCCCCAGCACCACATAGGGTGTATGATCTCCTTTCCTGGATTCTTGCTCGTCCAGAGCCCCCCCGCACCGGTGCCCAGCCCCTCAGCAGGGCTTGCAGACCCGTGGTGCTGGCCCCTGGCTCATCTGTCCCTCACCTTGAGGGCGGGTGGCTCTTGCCTGTCACCACTTGATGATTTGACTTCTTAGAGGTGAACTGGAGGCGTGTGGGACCACGTGGAAGGGGGGCTTCGTGCGGGGCCTCACCCTCCCTTTGGGCTCCGTGCGCTTCGAGGCCTCGGGGAGCTCTGTCCCTGGTGACCACGCCGTTCCTGTCCTCCGAACAGGCCTGTGAACAGCCACACAGCTTCCTAGGCTCACGGCTTCCCCATCTTCAGCATCCCTGCCTGTCCCTGGCGTTCAGTGTGCCCAGCAGCAGATGTTGGAGGTGACCGCACTGTGCGTCTGTGGGTTTCAGACATGAGAGTTTATCCCGTGTGACTTGAACCCTGAAAACAGCAGCTTTCAGCCTTGCATTTAGTATCCGCAGTGAAGCCCCTCAATGCTGAGTTGCTGTGGTTTGAGGGGTACCACGGCCTCAGTAGTTGCAAGCTGAAGTATGGAAACGGTGGCTGTGGTGGGACCTTGCCAGGGAGGAAGCCCTGCGGCTGCCTCAGAGGTGAAGGGAGAGCCACCCACGGACCTGGCCGCTGTTACGGAGGGAGATGCTCACCGGGACCAGGGTGCCCTCATCAGCGCTGATTTAAGAACAAAGGGGAACCCAGGGCTCCAAATTTAGTCACAGAAATGAACCATTATTTGGGGAGAAAGAAGGTGTAATTCCTAATAGTTACCTGAGCAGTTGAATATTTTTTAGGAAATGAAAATTTGATAAAAGTCCCCGATGAAATTCAAGGGTGCGAACAGGAAGCATAATATTTTTTGAAAACGACGCCCATATTTAAAATCTGGCACTATATGTTATGCATTGTAGCACCCGGTCCACATCTACCTTTTAGAAAATTAAAACACATAAATTCTGTTTAGTGTGTGATAACGCGCTGCACTGGCTGAGAACCGTAATGCCCTGAAACCTTGGGCTGCTCTCCACCTTTCATAAATTCCTGGCAGATTCTGTACAGAAATAATTTTCAGGTCCGTGGCTTGTTGTTATTCAGACGTGATGGATCGCCATCATTTGCTCAGCGCGGGAGTTAAGTGCCCCTGTCATTTCCAAAGAGTATAATTGGGACGTTTCACAGGTCAGCGGTGGAGACAGGCTTCCCTTTTGATCAGTGTTAGACTGATAACAAAAATTACAGTTTCCAGTGATTAATGTCTCCTGTGCTTCCCAGATGCTCAGCAGTGGGATGCTCCTAAACAAAGTGCACTTGGTCTGATGATTGGTGTGGGGGCCACCTCCCGGCAGGGTGCTGGTGCCCGGGCCCCGTGGCCTTGTGTGGCCTGGCTCCGTGGGGGCCACCTCCCGGCAGGGTGCTGGTGCCCGGGCCCCGTGGCCTTGTGTGGCCTGGCTCCGTGGGGGCCACCTCCCGGCAGGGTGCTGGTGCCCGGGCCCCGTGGCCTTGTGTGGCCTGGCTCCGTGGGGGCCACCTCCCGGCAGGGTGCTGGTGCCCGGGCCCCGTGGCCTTGTGTGGCCTGGCTCCGTGGGGGCCACCTCCCGGCAGGGTGCTGGTGCCCGGGCCCCGTGGCCTTGTGTGGCCTGGCTCTGTGGGGGCCACCTCCCGGCAGGGTGCTGGTGCCCGGGCCCCGTGGCATTGTGTGGCCTGGCTCCGTGGGGGCCACCTCCCCGCACGGTGCTGGTGCGCGGGCCCCGTGGCCTTGTGTGGCCTGGCTCCGTGGGGGCTGGGCTTGGAGCCGCAGTCCCCTGCACACCTGGGCTTTGTCTCTGGTGAACATGTGGGCTCCCGCCCTAGGGGTCAGGGGTCAGGCCCCTCTTCAGTTGTCCTTCCTCCCTTCAGGAAACAGCTGCGATCGCAGGCGCCTTTGAGGTGTTGCTGCTGGGAATGCTTTTTAGAGATGCAGGTGTGTGTCAGAGTGATTCTGTTTTTCGGTTTTTCTCTTATAAACCCATTAAGGGTCCCCTTGCTTGGTATTCCTCCAACAGGGATCTCTCTCCCGGGAAGTTTCCCTCAGCTGTGCTGTGGGAACAGGAATGCAGGCGCCTCCATCCCGGGGGTACCTCAACCCTGGGGGCATCTCCACCCTGGGGCACCTCCACCCCAGCCACCCCAGGGCACCACCACCCTGGCCACCCTGGGGGCATGACCTTCAGCTGCCCTAGCAGCCCTGCCAGCCCCTCTCCTGGCCTGAGGGAGCTGAAGGTGAGGAATGACCGCCCTGCTGTGCTGAGCCCACACCAGGTTTGCGGTGGGTGAGCTGCAGAGGCGGGGCTCTCAGGGAAGGATGGTGCGCCCTGGGGGCTGCGTGCGAGCTCCCACACCCTGTCCTGGGCCGTGGTGGGGCTGTTGGAAGGATGCAGGCCAGAGGGAAGGTGAGGCGGAGAAGAGCTTGCCCACAGCCGCTTCTGAGCGCGTGGATGGAGCAGTTGATGCCCACCGTGTGGCCATGTTACTGAGCAGTGGGCTCGCTACCCAGTGCACACAGAAGCCAGTACTGCAGCAGCAGCTTTTGGGAAGAGAAAGGCTTTACCAGGGCAGGCAGCAGGGAGGCAGGTGCCTCCCCAGTTCTTCTTGGCCCTGTTATGCCCGCAAGACAGCTTGGCGTTCTGTTAGCAACAGAGCAGGCCTGCCTGGGCTGGTCTTATGGTCACAGCTGCAGCCATGGTGTCTTGTGCCACAGCCGTGCTGTGTGCAGGAGCCACCGTCTTTCTCTGGCCTGATGAGATGAGTCACCACACAGGTCCCTGCCTCTGCCCACTAAGTCGGGCGCAGGAAGGGGCAGGGTGGGCTCAAGGAACTGGCTTTTCTCAGGGGAAAAAGAAAGCAAGCCTTCCTGCCATTCTCCAGCTCCTCAATGGGAGGAGGGAGGCGGGGGTGGCACGAGGGCTCTCCAGACTCAGTGAGGGATCCCCCCACACCTACCCTGGCAGAGAAGTGGCCTTGTCAAAAGGAAATGGAGGTGGTTTTCATACAAGTCCTCAAGGACAGAATGTTCCAGAAGTACTTGTCCCTTTCTGTCACCTGACATGCTGTGGTCACACCAGCACCACGGGAGAACCCTGTGTGGGGAGCTAGCCCTGGCCCGTTGCCTAAGAGCAGACGCACCTGCTCCACCTGGTGGGAAGATAACTCACCTAAGCCCCGGGGGCACCGCAGACGCACCTGCTCCACCTGGTGGGAAGATAACTGCCCTAAGCCTCAGGGGCACCGCAGACGCACCTGCTCCACCTGGTGAGAAGATAACTGCCCTAAGCCTCGGGGGCACCACAGACGCACCTGCTCCACCTGGTGGGAAGATAACTCCCCTAAGCCCCGGGGGCACCGCCGCCCTCGCACCGGTGTGACGCCATTCCACAGGAGGGCAGCACCTCCCACAGGGACCTGGGGAGTCAGCCAGGGTTACAGTTCGTGGTTTTAACATAGACTCTAAACAGCCCCCAGCACAGGGGCAGTGCAGAGGTGGTGTGATTTTGGGGAACAAGAACAGCCTTGGAGACGATCTTAAATGCAGTCCAACCGTGGCTGATGTTGGAGCCCTAAGCAGGGGAAAAAGCTCCACAAGAAATAGGAATTTCCAGGGCTCTGCCCACCGGGAGCTGTGTTCATACACAGGGTCTGGGGGTTGATTTGTATTGGGGTGTTTTTCCACAGACAGAAGCCCTGGGGGATGCGGAGGAAGATGAGGACGATGAGGACTTTGTGGAGGTCCCTGAGAAGGAGGGGTATGAGCCACACATCCCCGACCACTTGCGGCCTGAGTATGGTGAGCAGTGGGTCCCGTGGGGGGGGCACCTGGGTGGAGGGTCCCCCACTCAGGATGTGGCCCCTTGGGGTCATGACCTCAGGGGCAGGGCCTGGAGCCCATCTTGTGGTAACTGCTGCTTTGGTTTAAAATGCTGCTTTTCCTGCTCACGGTCGTAGCCACGAGGCCGAGAAGTCGTGTGTGTGCTTTTCCTCTACGTTCTGGCTCCGTCTCGGGTTCTCGGGCCTGGGGCCCTCCCTGCAGCCTGCCCCGCGGTGGGCTTCCTCTCTGGTGGTCCTGCTGGTCCTCCTCTGCCAGGCAGGCCCTCAGGTGCCCGGGTCTGGGACAGGGGCCACCATCCTACCCTTGGTTCTTGTGTGTGGAGGACACCGGCCTGCACACCCAGCACACCGGCCTGCTGTGAGGACGCAGCGGGGCAGGTCTCTCCCTCTGTGCCATCCGCAGCCCTGCTCAGGGACAGAAAGGTCTCACTCACGAGGGTGGGCTCTCGTGGGCTCCTTGAACTTGAGGGTTGTGGGTGTGATTCCCGCAGCTACAGGAGCTGTTGCTGGCAGGTGGGAGGGGCCACCACCCCGCGCCTTCCAGGCTCCCATCCCCGCTTACGGGGGTCACAAGCACAGGCATCGCTCCTCACCGCTGGTGATGCCACAGCCTCGGGTCTGGGCCCAGGGCTGCTGTGCACTCCACGGCAAGGGGCTCTTCTCACTGTCAGGGAGCACTCGGGAGGTGCCGAACCCTGCCACAGCCTGTGCCGTGGAGGGCTTAGGTTTTTCAAAAATACCTCCCAAAACTGCGTTCCAGTGACACACCCAGGATTGTGGCCCTGGGGGATGGGCGTGGACCCAGGTGGGTCTACTCTTAAAGTTCCCCAGAGTACCCACAGTGGTGTTTGCATGGAGGGGAGGCAAATGAAAACAAGACCCTCAGCTTTTGTGTGGAATGGACAAGTTGGTTTCAATCAGAGTCTGTAAGAAGAGATGTAGATTTGTTAAGAGAACTTAGATGATTAGACAACTCATGTGTGAAGATATGACCCATTAAGGGTGTCATGCCGAATTAGCACAGCCAGGCTTCTAACGACCTTCCATTTGTATGGTCCTGTTTACTGGGGCCTGCTGTCTTCTGCCCTGGGGCCGCCCAGGGAGGGCCCAGGCTGGGAAGGCTGAGCTCCTGGGGTCAGTGTGAGCTTGAGGGTCTGGAAGAAAGCCTCAGACACCTGGAGCCAGCCGGGACCTCGCTCTGGGAACCACTGTGGCCTGGCCCATTCCGGACCAGGGTCCTGCGCTGCTTCTCCAGGGGCAGGCAGGCAGAAGCCGAGGGACCTGCACGCCTCTCCCCACCACCGACCTCACTGCGTCAGACCCCTTCCCCCACCGAGACGCAGCCCCAGCTGTGCCCTCATCGGGCTTCCCCTGTCCCCACCCCACACACACTGTTCTTCCAACACCAGCATCCACCTGAAATGGTGTTTCTGCTGATTCCCCACCTCGGGCAGGCGTCCCCACGCCTGACATGAGGGCCCTGGGGGTGCCTGAGCACACCGTTGGCCGCTGCAATCTCCTTCATGGCTCTTGGCCGCCCTCAGGTGGACCAGGCCGTGGGTCCAGCCCCCGGAGCATGGTGGAAGCACAGAGGTGTCTCCTGGAGGTGCTGCAGCCGGGGCCTAGGCAGCCGTCTTGTCTGCGCAGGCCTGTCCTGACCTGGCCTGCTGGGCTGCCTCATCTCCCGGACCCCTCCTGGGCATCTTCAGAGTCTGGGAGCTGGCACTGACCCTTGGCCTGTAGTGTCACACATTTCCTGGCCTTGGGCCTCTGCACAGGCCTGTTATGATGGCTTCTGAACCTTTTCAGCAGAAGTTACACATCTTAGACGGGGTGACGTGTGGCGTCTCAAAAGCAGAAATCCACACTTTCCCTAAAACCTGACTTGTGGCTCTAAATTATCTGAAGCAAGGCCAGAAGCGAAACTCAAACGAGGTGACTTTCCCCAAAGAACAGAGCGGTCTCCTTTCATCAGAAGAGGTGAGGCTCCCCGGGCCTGTGGCCAAACACAACGGTGACAGCGCTCACTCGTCACCAGGCCTGGCCATCCCCTCCCCACTGAAGCCCAGGGGTCCTGAGCCCATCGACAATAGCGTCCAGCCAAGGGGGCCGAGCGGCCTCGCA
This sequence comes from Homo sapiens, assembly GCF_000001405.40. Taxonomy (NCBI): domain Eukaryota; kingdom Metazoa; phylum Chordata; class Mammalia; order Primates; family Hominidae; genus Homo; species Homo sapiens. The sequence goes on from NC_000004.12 coordinate 1,368,597, forward strand.
GCCCCTGCCGGGTGTGCTGGGACGCCTGCTCTGACACAGCCCTGCTGCAGGTACACCGAGCCTCACAGGGTCACAGGTAGGCACTGGGCTTGGCAGTCCCGGCTAAGCCTCACCCGTAGGCTGTCCCAGCCTGACCCTGGTTGTGAAGGCACCTCCAGATGTGTGTCTCCAGCTCAGGCCCCAGGCTCAGCAGATGATGAGCTGTCCCTGCTGGGTCCGTCCTGGTCCAGGGAAGTGTGCACAGCTGGTGCACTGGCGGCTGGTTCTTTCGCTGCAGCCGCAGGTCCCCACAGCGCCCTCCTCTGCTGGCTCCAAGCCTCCTCCACTGCATGGCGCCTGCCCCTTTCCTCTCAAGGCCCACGCCTGCCCCGGTGGAGGGGAGGGTGCCTTAGACCTGCCCCGGTGGAGGGGAGGGTGCCTTAGAAGCTGGGAGCTCCATCACAGCCTTGCCTGGGGCAGGCAGAGGCCCTGGTGGTTTTATTGCCACTGATTGACTTCTTGAGGTGAGAGGGCTAACCACGTTCTGCCGTTCTGCCGTTCTGCCGTCAGCCTTGAAGGTGCCGATGTGCCCTGTGGGCCTGGCCTGGGTACCCTTGGCGGCCTTGCTGGGAGTCGACCGGGTGCGAGCATGCAGCACCAGCTGTACCAGCCCCAGGCGAGGGCTGGAGGGCCCAAAGGAGGGGGCAGGCCCTGGTGACAGAGCTGCCCTCTGGGGTGCGCAGGGAGGACCCCTGGCCCCACTCAGCTTCACACCCCGGGGGCCCCAGGAGTGCCGGAGGCGGGGACCAGGCGGGAAGCGTGGGGGCAGGCGGAGGGGCCAGCTCAGTTCATAACACTAGTTTATATTCTGCCGCTGTTTTTTCAATTAAACGTGGGCGAATCTGAAGTAGTTAGATTTAGTCTAAATCCACACCACGGAGGAAACCGTGCTCTTTTTCTTTCTCATTTCTTCCTCTGAATTTTCACTGAGGGGCCTTTATCTTCCCCTTAATCCTACCATTTCTGTCAGGACATAATCTCTTTCTCCAATTTACATTTTAATTACAAGGCCAGCTGAACTAGGTAAAATCAATAATGTCAGCGCTGGGCAGGCCGCCTGGGCGCAGAGGCCCCCCTCTCCGTTTCCTACCATCGATTCCCTCCCTCACTGTCTGCTTTGGTGCTTCAGGCAAATAGGTGCCACTTGGCCAATGTAAACAGAAAAGGGGATTTGGACATTTTTATGATTCTTTCTCAAAACAACTGTGGGAGTGAATTTGAGCCAAGATACTGGACTCGAGTGAGACGCCGTGCGGGCAAGGCGGGCGCCGCGTTCGGCTGTGACGTGTGGCCTCTTGTTTTCCGGGAGTCGTTATTCTTCCTGAAAATGCCCTCAGTGCCTGAGGAATGCTGTCTGATTTTTGGGGTTTTGCTTTGAAAGTATGTCAGAGAGATTGATTTTCCACGCGATGCGCAAGTGGGAGTGTGTTTAGTGCCCTAAGTATTTACCCTGCTTTAACACGCTTACCCATCTTTTTAATGGTTTAAAACAACAAATCGATGAAAAATATATTTCATTCTTGTAACTCTTAGGAATTCTCAGATTGATCTTTTGGCTGCGATTGTATCTAAATGTCACATTGTTCACTTGTCAGTCTTGCCTCCGTCACTGTGAGCATGTGCGTGTGTGCGTGTGTGTGCATGCGTGTGCTGACAGCCCGTATCTGTGTCATGTGTATTGCCGGAATACTGAGGGGCACTTGGCAGGTTTGTGAGCAACACCCGGGACACGGCATTGAGTGCCAGCGCTGAGCAGGGGCTGCCCGGTGTCTCCCGGGTGCGCGCCTCGGGGCTGGAGGTCCGTCCCCATCACCTGCTCTGTGTGGCTCTGTCTCACACCCTCCGCTTTCAGCCCCTGGGAACCCAGGAAACGGGAGCAGCCTGGCAGGCGTGCAGCCGTGCACGGCTTAGAGGAGCTCCCGAGCGGGACAGGCACCTTCTGTGAAGGGCCAGAGCGCAGTCTCTCCAGCTTCGGGGGCCACATGAGGCCTTGTCTCCACGTGTAGATGGTGGGTGTGACTGGGTGCCAGTAACACCCTATTCACGAAAACAGGCGGTGGGCTGGACTTGGCTCATAGCCACAGGCTGGCGAGCCCTGCAGCTACTGAGCACAGGGTGCATGTGCCAGGCTGACCTCTGTCCAGAGAGTCAGTGGCCCAAGTCAGAGGTGGCTCCAGACAGCCCGAGTTCTGTGAGCCCTTTCAGACATGCAGCTTTTTCCTCCTCTGCAACTCAGGGACGGGGTCGGTGGCTCACTCCTTGATTCACGGGATGCTTGTCATGGGCCTGAGCAAGGCCCTTTGTCCTTACCCACTTCCCTCCCTGGAAGCCCCTGTGCCCGGCGGCCTTGCAGTACCCCCAGTTCTCATGCCTCCTCATTCTCCTCCCAGCTCTTCTCTCCAAACAGAGCATTCCCGGCTCTGCACATTGGTAAGTGGAGGCACTGTGGGTGTCCTCAGAAAGCCTGTGGTGAGCACATGTGTGTTCAGTGACAGCATGCCTGTAAGTACTTGTGTGTGGACGTGTATGTGTGTGTATGTACTCAGTAAGCCTGCACAAAAGAAGGCCTGCACGCTCTGCAGCTCACCCGTGTTCAGTGAGAGTACGTCTGTGGGTGGACCTGTGTGTGTGTGTGTGTGTGTGTGTGTGTGTGTGTAAAATCGATGACGTGTACATGACTTTCCGGGTGTCTGAGCTCTCTGGTGGCCTCTGTTTTTGACGCTCTGTTCTGTGGTCTCAGGACACAGTCTGGGCGGTGCTGATTCTTGGGAGGTGACTGAGGCCCCTGTTGACTTAGTACTTGGTTTTCTTTCGTCAGTTCCGCGTGTGTGTTGGAGAAGGGACTTCTTGCATAGTGTATTACTCCGTTTTCCTGCTGCTGATAAGGACATACCTGAGACTGGGCAATTTACAGAAGAAAGAGGTTTACTGGACTTAGCGTTCCACATGGCTGGGGAGGCCTCACAATCATGGTGGAAGGCAAGAAGGAGCAAGTCACATCTTAACGTGGATGGCAGCAGGCAGGGAGAGGGCTTGTGCGGAGAAACTCCCGCTTTTACAGCCGTCAGATCTCGTGAGACCCATTCACTCTCACGGGGACAGCACGGGGAAGACCCACCAGCTCCCTCCCACCACGTGTGGGAATTATGGGAACTATAAGATGAGATTTGAGTGGGGACACAGAGCCAGACCATATCAGATAGGAAATCTCACGGCATCTCTTAGTTTGGTGGTTTTGACTGTGCTGTACAAACCACCCGTGATACGGCTCATTCTTTCCCTAACAGCCACTTCCCAAGAGGGTTCGCCGAAGTCCCCACAGTCAGGGATACCTCTGCACCCGTAGCCCTCAGCATGGCTTCTTATGTTTTGAGACTGCATTTGTAAGTTACATATCTCTTCTTGTTTATTACACCTTCAAGCATTCCTTTTTTTACCCTCCTATTTTTTACTTAAAATCCAGCTTTTCTAGTACCCACATAGGACCTCCTCTGTCTTTTGGTCACTGTTTTCGTAGTAAATCTTTTTTCGTCCCTTTATTTTCAACTTTTCACTAACCGTTGTATCAAGTGGGTCTTCTTTAGACAGCATGTTGCTAAAGACATCCACTCCAGAGTCTGTCTTTCTGTTAATCTGAATCTGTTTAGTTAACGGTTGTTACGAAGTCTTCAAAAGACACATCTGGCGGCCTGTCACGCGTCCATCCATGGCACTTTCTCTCCGACTTCTGCTGCCGTCCTTGTCTCGTTTCCTTCTTTCTCCCACCATTTATGTGCCCCGTTGTTGTGCTGGTTTTTATTCTTCAGATGGTCACTCTTCATTGTAGAAAGGATTTACACACATATGTGTTTCTCAATTTCTGTACTATTTCCTGCATAAAACAAATAACCTAGCACCCTCTCCCCACGTGTGGCCTCCTTCCACCCCATCACATTGGATCATCCAGAACCAACTTAATTCAGGTTGATATGAACACGTGGGTTTGGGGTAGGGACAGGCGAGAGTCAACTTTACAAAGTCATGTGCTCAGTGTTCCTCCCGCGTCTCAGGGCACTCACGTCCCGCATCTCAGAGCACTCATCTCCTGCTACTCAGCACTCACCTCCCGCGTCCCTGCACTCACCTCCCGCGTCTCAGGGCACTCACCTCCCGCGTCCCTGCACTCACCTCCCGCGTCTCAGGGCACTCACCTCCCGCGTCTCAGGGCACTCACCTCCCGCGTCCCTGCACTCACCTCCCGCGTCTCAGGGCACTCACCTCCCGCGTCTCTACACACTCACTGCCCATGTTTTGCTCCACCCCCTGCCCCCTGGCTTTTCTTTGTGACTACTGGCTCTGAAGGTGTTTTCAAAGCGGACCTCACCATGGCAAACCTCAAAAGGCCTTGTCTCCATGAGGTCGTCGTCCTGTGCCTGCACAAGAAATGACCTTTTAGCTGGCTATAAAATCCTGAGCTTGAACTTCTCCTTCGGCACTTTCAAAGTGACCTTCTAAGATCTTGCATTCACGGTTGCTATTGAAAATCTTGTGTCAATAGAATTTTTATTTTTTGAAAGTATCAGCTAATTTATATGACCACAAGGTCCCACAAGAGGCCATCTCTAGGCTGAGGATCAAGGAGAGCCAGTCCGAGTCTCAAAACTGAAGAACTTGGAGTCTGATGTTCGAGGGCAGGAAGCATCCAGCACGGGAGAATAGATGTAGGCTGGGAGGCGAGGCCGTCCCTCCTTTTCACGTTTGCTTTATATTCGTTGGCAGCTGACTAGATGGTGCCCACCAGATTAAGGGTGGATCTGCCTTCCCCAGCCCACTGACTCAAATGTTAATCTCCTTTGGCAACACCCTCGCAGACACACCCAAGATCAATACTTTGTATCCTTCAATCCAATCAAGTTGATCCTCAGTGCTCTGTGTTAACCGTCTCGGGCCATGGTGTTCTTAGGTTTTCCTGTAGTGCCTCTGGCCATGGTTTTTCCTCTGTCTCCTCTGACTCTCAGTGAGCCTTCCAATTCCAGGAAAATGTGGCTCATTGTTTCTTCAACTGTTTTCTGCACTCCAATTATGTCTCTCCTCCTGGGATTTTAGAAGAGACGAGGATGCTGACACCTGCGCGTCCCCCACACCCCTCAGAGCTCTTAAGAGGGTGTTCCGTGCTTCCTCCCTCGCTGTCTGCGGTCACCTGTGTCTCACTCGTGCTGTGGCCGGTCCCCTCAGCCACCCAACAAGTCCTCTGCACCTGACAATTTTCCTTGCCCTTTGTCTTTGGTGGAGGCATCTTCAGGATCCCCTCACTTCCTGGCCTCTCGCTGTGTCTCTATGGTGCCCGTAGCTCCTGGGGAGCGTGGCATGGGCTGTGCACCTCTTCGCCCCAGCTGCCAGTTCGTTTTCTTCCTGTGGATTCTGCCGCAGCCAGGACGCCTTGCTCGGTCCGTTTTCTTTCCGTGGATTCCGCCGGGGCCAGGACGCCTTGCTCGGTCTGTTTTCTTCCATGGCAGCTCTCCGAAGTCTGGCTTCCCTGCGGTCCAGGTTCTTCTGGGGTCCTGAGCCCCCCTGGCCGGCAGCCCACAGGGGAGGACAGGCTCAAGTGCAGGCCTTAGTTGCTCCTGCAGCAGGTTTGGGGAGGTGGGTGGTGCCCTTTGTCCTAACCCATAGCCTACCTGGCACCTCCTGTGCCTCCTGCCATCCCGACGCCTCAGGACACCAGCTTAGCCGCTAGGGAGTATAGGCCCCGCCCTGACCGAGAGGCGCCGTCAGGGTCGGGGTGAGCCCCACGGAGCAGCCTGAGAGCCAAGCGCAGGCTGTGGTGCAGGAGGAGGGGAGAGGCAGGTCAGGGCCCAGCAGTGTTGGAGAATCTCCTTGTCCTGGTCCGGGGACCCTGGGTGCACGCTGGGCTGCGGAGGCCAGGGGCTGGTGGCCTCGTCCCTGTCATCTCTGTGGGACGTTGGTGAGACGCAGCGCCATGGCCTTGTCTTGCTGGCGGCGGGGCGGACCCTCTTCGACGGGCACTCCGGGACGGCATCTTGGTCCTTGGAATTCAGCCTCTGCCTGGCAGACGGAGGGAGTTGCCAGGGCCAAGACCTTGGTCCAGTGGCCCCTGTGGCTGTCAGAGGCGCCTGCTGAAGCTGTGGTGCAGCCCCGGGCGTTTCTGTGGGGACACAGGGGCTGGAATCCCCGCTAACATCGCGGTTTGACGTCAGCGTGAGATGTGGGTTGAACCCCTGTGTGGAGCTGTGCGTCTCTTCTCCTTGAGGACCATGTGAGCACCCTGTGGGTGGCCTTTCCAAGCGGCTGCCACCTCAGGCTTGGGTGCTGGGGAGGGCTCCAGGCTGCCTACATCTCACCACCGGAGCCTGAGCTGCCGGGGCTATGGGCACAGGGTGCCGGGCAGTCTGGGCTCTCGCTGCTGCCCAGCTTCTTTCCAGCCTGGCGAATCCATCTGCTCAGGCTGGCACTTCTGCAAAGCCCGGCAGCACAGTGTGTGAACAGCGTGGCCACAAGGCGGGACTGCCGGACCCCCCGACGCACGCCATGTTCTGGCAGAGCGTGGCCTGAGCTGCTGCTCCGGGCCTCACCCTCGCCCGTGAGGAGCAGATAGCAGGCACCCACCTCGGGACTGTTGGAAGATGGAACACGCTAACGCATAGGCGCGTCCTAACTGCCCGGTCTTGCCTGATGTGCCTGGCGGGTTGTGGGAGTGGTGGCAGGGAGTGGACACGTGTCTGTTTCAGGGCTGGAGGCAGCACCAGAGAAAGACACAGTTGTGCGGTGCTTGCGGACGAGGACGAGGATGGACGAGGAGGTGTCGGACCCCACCTCTGCGGCTGCTCAGCTGCGGCAGCTCCGGGACCACTTGCCTCCACCCTCATCTGCCAGGTGACTCCCAGTGTCCTGTGTGCTGAGCCCCCTGCCCGGCGCTGCCACAGCCTCTGCCCAGAGCACTGGCCGGCCTCGAGAGGCTGCTTAGTGCCTTTTCTGGATATCTTGGTGGAAGCCTTGGGTGTGTACCCCCGGCCGGGTGAGCAGTGTTGGTGCCATGTTTGGGCTTGTCAGTGCCAGCATCAGCTGGAGCCCGGGTGGGACTGGGCCAACAAATACCCTTCCAGACACTGCCCGTGCCTCTGAGAGGAGCCCCCAGGGCTGGGGTTTGAGAGGCAGATGTCAGGTCACCTCTGGGCCAGGGTGAAGGACTGCAGACCAGAGGCCAGCTGTTGGCGAGGGCCCAGAGCTTCTCACAGGACCTCAGCGGTGGCCCTGAGGCCCAGGCGTCGTGTGGCAGAAGCCATTGCTCACCTGATCCGACCCGAGGCCCCAGCCTTGCTGTGGGGGTGGGGAGGGAGAGGAGGGTGGCTGTGGGTGGCACCAGCAGCACCGTCAGGCTGTCCCACTCTGCTCCTGTAGCCCCTCCAGAGCGTTGCCAGAGCCACAGGAGGCCCAGAAGCTGGCAGCAGAGCGGGCCCGGGCGCCTGTGGTGCCCTACGGCGTGGACCTGCACTACTGGGGCCAGGAGCTCCCCACAGCCGGGAAGATTGTCAAGTGAGTCCCCATGTGTCTGAAGTCGGCCAGGGCACACAACCAGGGTCCCAGCCTGAGGAGGGGGCTGCCGGCTCACCAGGCCTCCCTGGGTCTGAGGAAGCTGGCCCTGCCTCCCAGCTCTGCCCCACCTTCCGGGCACCTGGAGGGGCACAGGGGTGGGCCTCCCCTGCTGATCCGGCTCGTGGAGCCCAGAAAGGCTTTTTTGAGCCTTTCTGCTGCTGTGTCGGGGGCCATCCATGGAGCTTGGGTGTTATGAATCTTGTGGGAACAGCTGGACGAGAAACCACTCCCCTAAAGGCGGCCCTGGGGCCCGTTCAGTTTGTCCTGCTTCAGGACTGCACGGTTGGCTGAGGCCTGGGGCTTCCTGACCGTGTTGCAGCTGCTCACGGTGACCGTGTGTCCAGACCTCAGGCGGGGGCTCTGCAAGGAGCCTCGGGAAGCCACCCTCCCTGCCCACTTTCCCCTCTGCACCCCTCACCGCACTGGCCTCTTCTCTGTGAAGCTGCAGCAGAAGGGGGCACACGGGGGTCATCTGTGCGAAAGTCCGGACCGTTGGGCCTCAAGAGGCCACCTGGGTACTCCAGCGCCTGCCACAGCTCGCTGGCACGGCCTATCGGGGGAACAGGGCCCCTGCCGCCGCCTCAGCTCCTGCCGCAGGACGGTTCTCCACACCCGGGAGAGGGTGGGGAGGACAGTGCCAAGGCTGTGTCCTGGGATGGAAGGTCACCCTAAGGCGTCTTCCTTAGAGGGCAGAGGTGGGTCCCCCTGGCCTCTTGCCAGTCCCCGCCATCAAGACCCAGGGCCAGGTGTGACACGGAATATTGCCGTCCCCACAGCACCCATTTCAAGGGCCGGGCTGCCTGTGCAAACACCGTAACCACTAAAGCCAATGCTGCGGGGTCTGCGGGGCGTGATGCGGGAGCGTCTCATCCGTGTGAGGGGCTGATGTCAGAACCTCCAGAGAGCGGGGGGGCAGGGGAGCCGGGCAAGGGTCCTGGGGCAGCTTCAGGGCCTGAGGAGCACCGTGTGCCCAGGGCAGCCACTGCCTCTGTGTCTGGATGCCCAGGAACGGGCCCCGAGTGCCGGGACGTCCTGGCACATTGTCCACAGCTGCCTGTGTTCCCGGGGTTCTGCTGGGCTCACACACGACACACGAGAGCAGGATGGTAAGCGAGGCAGGCCCTGGTCTCACTCACAGCAGGACTGAGATTTGAGGGCCCCGTCCTCAGGGCTCCACAGACACCGCCCCTAGTGGGGGCCAGATTAGGGACAGTGTGAGGAGGGAGGGGCTGGGCAGGCTGCTCAGCGGCCGGAGAGGTCGGGAAGAAACAGCTGTCCCTGTCACACATTGCCACCAGGGGTGCCCCAAGGCCAGTGCTTGGTTTCTGAGCCTGGGAGGTGACGCCCAGCAAAGCTCCCACCGAGAAGCGGATGCCCGTCCCTCCTCCCACCTGCCTGGCCCGTCCCCAGGACCACAGGCTTTGCCCTGAGCCCCCAGGCAGTTGGGCTGAGAGAGAGGCCTGAGCAGCTGCTGGTGAGGACCCGGTTAGTCCTGGATGGCACCGGGGCCCTGCTGGGCAGGCCTGGCTTCACGTTCCACCTGCCTGGCCCGTCAGCACCACGCACCTGGTGCATCGAGCTCACGGCTTCATGTTTCCCCCAACTGCCTGCACACTGCTGTGGTCGGCTTGATGGAGTTGCAGCCTACACATGGCAGCGGCCCGGGCTGGGGAAGGGCCCCATGTCAGCTGCGTGGATGGGGGTACATGGGCTGGTGCAGGAGATGGCACCTGGGTGCCACATGTGCCCCACAGCCAGTTGAGGGCCACACTCCTCCTGGCTGGCCCCTAGCCAGGATGGCAGGGGCTGCTCACCCCACATTCCCTCACCAAGTGGAGGGGTCCTGCCCTCTGGCTCTCAGCCACATTTAGGGATCTCGGAGAGCCTGGGCTCGCCCCTTTCATCCAGGAGGTCAAGATGATGCGGGTCCGGGAAGCCAGGGCCTGGCCAGGCCGTGGTGGGAGACAGGGCTGATGGGGGTGGCGGCCACAGGCAACCACTAGAACAAAGCCGTCCTGGTACACAGAGGGCTGGCGGGCCCTGGCTGGGTACAGTGGCTCACGCCTGTAATCCCAGCACTTTGGGAGGCCAAGGCAGGTGGATCACTTGAGGCCAGGAGTTCGAGACCAGCCTGGCCAACATGACAAAACCCCATCACTACTAAAAATATAAAAATTAGCCGGGCGTGGTGGCGTGCGCCTGTAATCCCAGCTACTCGAGACTGAGGCGGGAGAATCGCTTGAACCCAGGAGGCGGAGTTTGCAGTGAGCTGAGATCGCACCATCACACTCCAGCCTGGGCAACAGAGCAAGAGTCTGTCTGAAAAAAAAATAGCCAGTGGTCCTCGGCCGAGGGGAGTAGAGGGAAGCATCCCTGCACCTGGACGGGGAGGAAGCGGTGGAGCCCGTGGTGTGGCTGCTGTGCGCCGGCTCCTGAGTGTTCTCACTGCGATCCACGGGGCGTCTCTGGTCCGAGTTCCGGGTGGCAGAATGCATCGCTGCTTCTCCCACGGGGCCTTGGGTGCAGCAGGAAGCATTTGGCCGGGCGGTCAGGCACCCTCGGGGGAGCCGCATGTACCTCCTTGACTGCGGGGCACATGGCCAGGTGCTCTTCAGCCCACCAGGGCTTTGCCCGAGACGCCTCTGCCTGTAGTGGGGCCAAGGCCCTGGGCAGCACATTCTGCCTGCGTTCCCACCCACTGCCTTATCCCAAACCAGCCTCATCCCAGACCAAGGTGGATGCAGAAATGAGGTCCAGGCGGCCCCAGGGCAGGGCCTACTGCTGGTCCCTTCTCCCTAGCGTGGGCCGTGCCTGGGGCTGTGCTCCTGTCTGTGGACCTGGGGTGAGGGCGGGGCTGCTGGGCTCTGCTCCTCCAGCATCCTCAGGCACAGGGTGTGGGAGCCCGGGAGCTTCGGGCAGAGCCGACCGTTCCCCAGTCAGCAGGCAATGAGCAGCCTCTCATCACTGGGAGCCCTTGGCACTGCCCATCTGTCCTCCCCAGCTCCTGCTGGCCCCAACTGTGGCTGTGTGTCCTAGAAGGAGGCCTGGTGGCAGCACAGGGGCAGTCTGGTCTGTGTGAGGGCCCCTCAGACACTTCTCCCCTGCCTGGGCATCCAGGTGGGCAGGGGGTGGAGTCCTCTGAGGCCGGCCTCCTCTTGGCCGGCACACCCAGCCCCCCCATCCCATGGCATCCGCCGGAAAGCGTCCCTAACCAGGTTGATGACAACAGCAGAGCGTGGGAGCGGACGCACCTGGGACGCCTGGGAGACCTGGGACGCCTGGGGCAGTGGAGTCTGGTCTCCAGCACCCGGCCCCTCTGTGCTGCCAAGGGCTGAACGGCCTTCACTCCTTCTCCTGGGTGTGCTACCGCCCTGTCCTTACGTCCCTGCAGTGGAAGGACGACCTTCATGTGGATGCCCCGTTGGCCTTCAAGGTCACGCCTCAAGGACGCAGCAGCTGTCGCCCTTGTCCTATAGGGAGAGCCCATCTTGCAGGTGGCAGTCGTGCCCGTGGTCGCGCGGCTGGTTCACGTGGCGTCAGAATTCAGACGCAGGCGGTCGTGCCCGTGGTCGCGCGGCTGGTTCACGTGGCATCAGAATTCAGACGCAGGCGGTCGTGCCCGTGGTCGCGCGGCTGGTTCATGTGGCGTCAGAATTCAGACCCAGCCGGGAGTGACCGTGTTCTCCCTGGGTGCTGTCCACAGTGTTGGGGTGGCTGGGCTGCAGTGGTGTTTGGCCTTCCCCTGTGCCTGCACCACCGTGGCCACGCTCTTCTGGGGTCCCTGCAGATGCTATGAGGGCCTCTGGCTGTGTCTGCAGGTCTGACTCCCAGCACCGCTTCTGGAAGCCCAGCGAGGTGGAGGAGGAAGTGGTCAATGCCGACATCTCCGAGATGCTCCGGAGCCGCCACATCACTTTTGCCGGGAAGTTTGAGCCTGTGCAGCACTGGTGCCGTGCCCCGAGGCCAGACGGCCGGCTCTGTGAGCGCCAAGACCGGCTGAAGGTGAGGCCGTGGCCCGAGGGCGGGGGTGGGTGTGGGCTGGACCAGGTGGGGCAGCCAGAGGGGTGCTGAGCCCCACCTGCCCCTGCCCTGGGTCAGGGTGCTTGTGAGCACTGAGAAGCCCATGGAAGGGGCTTATCCGTGGTGGGCAGAAATTGCTTAGCCGTTGGCCATCAGAGCATGGTGTCTGGGGCTCCTGCCCACGGCCCTGAAGCCTGACACCTGGGTACATGGCTTGGGGACTCTCCAGGGGCCAAGACACACAGTATCCTCCATGGTTGCAGCCCGGGTCTGTGCTGGGCCTGGGATCCTCAAAAGTGAGGAGAGGCCAGGGGGCCAGGGCAGCTCCCAGCCGGGCAGCTGGGCATGGTGCAGGGGGGTCGCTATGGCCATGCTGGATGAGGGAGGCCTAGACTTTCCACAGCTGCCCAAGACCTTCCGGCTCCAGAGGAGGGACGGAGCCATCCCCACGTCCCTGTGGCTCTCAGGACGCCCTCCTCTGAGGGGCGCGTGATTCCAGGTTGTGTACACTTTGGCTCTGTGATACCACCCACCCTGGTCGCTGTTTGTGCCCAAGTCGTGGTGGTGGGGGGAGGTGGTCAAGGCAAGCGGACCCCTCCCCGCCATCAGCCACCGTGTCCTCGCTGTGCAGTGCCCTTTCCATGGGAAGATTGTTCCACGGGACGACGAAGGACGGCCGCTCGACCCGGAAGACAGGGCTCGTGAGCAGCGGCGGCAGCTGCAGAAGCAGGAGCGCCCGGGTAGGTCTGGGCAAGGCGGTCACCGTGGGAGGCACAGCCTGGGACTCACTGCCACTAGTGGCCCGGGGTGTGTCTGCAGAGTCACAGAGCACCCGCTCTGCCAGCTTCGTCCATGGAGCTACAAGCCTCTCGGTCATAACTGGCAGAATCAGGAGGGGATGCTGCCCTGAGGGTCCTGGGTTTGGGGGCTCCAGAGGATGCTCCAGCTTTAGGGGGTCACGTGTTCATGAGGCCCTGACCGGGAGGTGGGCACCCACGGCCCCGAAGCCACAGGTGCCATCTGTGTGGCTGGGTCCTGCTTCCCTCGTGTTTTCAGGCAGGTGAAGGCCTTAAGGCGAGAGAAGTGATTGGGCTGAGCCCAGAGTGGCTTCTAGGAACCCCTCTGGCCTCCTCAGCCATACCCCGCACCTGCCTCAGTGTGCAGGTGGCCACAGCTCTGTCCAGGAGGCGTGTGGCCACTGCTATGGCGGCAGGAGTGCGGGTGCCCAGAGGCCCTGGACAGCAAGGCCACTGTGGGGCAGCACTGCCACATCAGCAGGGCCCATCTGCCCACCCTGTCTCACCCCAGGCCCATCTGCCCGCCCTGCCTCCCCTCGGGCCCATCTGCCCACCCTGCATATCTGTTTTCCAAGGAAGATTTGTTTTTAGAGGCCCTGGCCAGCCTCAGGCGCTCTCTCTTCTTTTTACTTTGATTTGGCTTTTTTTTTTTTTTTTTTTGAAGCAGGGTCTCTCTCTGTCACCCAGGCTAGAGTGCAGTGGCGCAGTCATGGCCTCCCAGGTTCGAGCGATCCTCGTGCCTCAGCCTGCCAAGTAGCTGGAATTATCATGCCACCATGCCCGACTAATTTTTGTATTTTTATTTTTAGTAGAGGTGGGGTGGCACTGTATTGCCCAAGCTGGTCTTGAACTCCTGCATTCTCCTGTCTCACCTCCCAAAATGCTGGGATTACAGATGTGAGTCCCCGCCCGGCCTCGGTCCCTTCTGGAGAGTGGCCACACCTGCAGGCCTGGCCCTGGCCCGAAGTGGGGGTTCACACCTTGTCTTGAAGAGCAGCTCTGGGGGCCCAGGATCCCTTCCAAGCTGTCTCTGTCATGGCTCCCGGGTGTCTTGCACTCTGGTCATGAGAGGCAGATGTTGAGTGCAGCCTGATGCCCAGAGGCAGCAGCTCAGCCCTGGGCGGCGGGAGGGCCCTGACCTGCTAATCTCCGGGTGAGGCCTTCCCTGGTGGCTCACACTCAGGAGCAAATTAAGTGCCTATTTTTTGTGTCAACCCTGAAGAGTATCTGGTTTTCCAGCCCTTGGTGACTTGTTAACAAACAGGTATCAGGCCGCGGGCTGCGGCCAGCGCTGGCCAGTCAGATGTGAAATAGTGTCTCTTTACTAACTACGGTATTGATCCCCGCCTCCCTCGCGCACGGCGCAATTTTCCTTTCCCTGGTGCTAACCTCAGTGACAATGTGCGTGCTGCTGCAGGGCCCGTCAGCGCCCAGGAAGGCCGCGCGGTCCCAGCATCTATTGATTTTCCTCAAAGGCTTTTAAATTGCTCCTTCATTTCACTGAGACGCTCGCTCCATCTCTGCTGGGTGCCGGGGCTTTTTCGTTGTGTTTAAACAATTGCTCCATTCACCGGGTTCCTAAACTGTGGCGCCTTCTTATTACTGGGAGATAAACTGTTTGGACAGTTTTCCTTAATCTTGGATTAATCGTTCCTGTATCTGAATTGTGGGCCCCGTATTCCTTCACTTCAAAGAATCCGCTTGGGAGGCCTGGCCATCCGTCCGAGATGTGGGCATTCCTCCGGGGATGTGCCCCCGTGGCCTGGTCGCCCCCGTGGCCTGGTCCCACTGGCTCAGCTCGTGGGGTCCTGTCTGCAGGAGCGGGTGCCTCTGTAGCATTGGTGCCTGGCCCCCTTCTGTGAGCCAGGGTTGTCTGTAAGTCCCATGGCCATCACAGTCCCGTCAGGGGTGGCCTTCCCGAGCCCGACCAGCACCACACCTGGTGGAGGCCCACCTCCGCCTTGTGTGGGGAACCCCACAGGAAGCCTGGGCCTGTGACCCCCGAGGGCCTCAGTGCCATCTGCACGGTGGGTACTCTCAGCCTGGGAGGCTGCCCAGTGGGGCTGTTGACATTTCTGTCCCCTCACTGCCACAGGGCCTCAAGCAGACAATGCACGGCTTGCTTGGGAAGGGCAGTTCTGTCTAGGAGAGCCCCAGCCTGCATTTCTGAGGCCTGAGGCCAGGTCATCTTTGGATCAACGAAAAAGAAAAGCCCTTTGCTGAGCATCATGCTTGGCCCAGCCCTGCCACACGTACCTCCCCACCAGCAGGCGTGTCCAGCAGGGCCACAGTTTGCCTAGTGGGGCACGGTCCAGCCTGCAGGCAGGAAAGGAGCTTGCGGATGGTGCCACCCCCCAACCGCTGGCCTTAGCCGCCTTCCAGCCTGGGAGGCCCATGGGTGCCCTAGGAGTGGCCTCTGGGCTGAGCCCCTGCTCCCCATCTCTGGGCTGCAGGGGCCTGTGGGGGTGTGGGGCGGTGGGGGCAAGCTCTGTGTCACCTTCACCCTGTGGGGGCCAGCATGCCCACCCTCCCCAGCCTGTTGCTCAGGGAACCCTAACCGCTGAGCATCCTCTCAGGCTTGCTGCTGCCAGGGTACGGCCGTGGGCAAGGCGACCCAGCCCCCCTGTCAGGACGAGACCAAGAGCCCCTCCTGGGGGCCTCGGGTAAGAGGCTCTGGTCAGTGCCAGACGTCTCCTGAAGTGCTTGAGTTTTGTTTGCAGAATGGCAGGACCCTGAGTTGATGAGAGACGTGGAAGCAGCCACAGGGCAGGATCTCGGCTCATCCAGGTACAGCGGGAAAGGCAGGGGGAAGAAGAGGAGGTACCCCAGCCTCACCAACCTGAAGGCTCAGGCTGATACCGCCCGCGCTCGCATTGGGAGAAAAGTCTTCGCCAAGTAAGAGTGGCTGCTGGGTCACCTCCCACCGCGTGGCCCCCCCGTGTGAGGGTGTTCGAGGGGGGCCATCTGAGCGCCAAGATATTCCAGGGACTTGGGGCCTCCAGGGGCTCCCCTGCTTTGAGTTCCCCTGGGGGACCACCCAGCCTTTCCCCGGGGAGGGGCAGTGCCAGCCAGCAGGGGCAGCAGGCAGGTCTGCTCAGGAACGCCCCCCAGCATTCCCCAGGATAAGAGGGGCTCGACCGCCAGGCACCGCCATCCTCGCTTCCTGGGGGAGCCATGCCAGGACACAGGCCTTGGCTGGTGCAGAGTGAGCCCCTCGTCTCTCCCTTGCCTGGCTGTACCCCCAGGTCAGTGCCTGCGTATTTCTGCAGCGGTGACTTCAGGGAGGGCGATGACTGCAAAGGCGGGCAGAACGGGGGTCCACGCGTCAGCCCCAGCAGAGCCCAGCCCCAGCATGTCTTCTCTGAGCACTGGCTCTGGGAGGCTGGCCTGGTGTCTCTGCAGCCCAGCATGGGCCTGTGTGACTGGTGAGGACTTGGCAGGGCCAGAGTGCGAAGCCCACCAGCCCGGCGTCCCTGCGTGCAGTCTGTCAGCTGGGGCACCAGCCACTCGCACGGCCTTGTGTTTCTGTCTTCATATTGCCTTGTTCTCGCCTAAGAAAATCCAGAATGCTTGTTTAGAAGCCACCTGAGGCTGTTGACTCCCTCCCAAATCTGTGTCAAGTCCCTGCTGGTGCAGGTTTGTCTGGTAGCACCAGTGAGGTGGCCCCCACCCATCGCCATCCCAGAAACCCTCCCTTGGACACACCTGGAAGGTGCTAAGTGCACCGGGCAGAGGAGGCCCCTCCTGGCCAGCATGACCGTGCACCGGCCTGAGTGGGCTCGGGTGGGAGGCGCCTTCACAGCACTCAGACCAGGCTTCCCCCAGGCTTGTGGGTGGTACATCCACAGCCTTGCTTGGGTGGGGCAGGGGCGCTGGTGGGGGCTGTGGAGAGGCTGCCTGGGGCCCCTGGCACAGGGCTGGACCCATCCCGTATGCCAGCCACCCAAGGCACCTTAGCCCTTGGAGCTCAGGGTGAGGCTGTTTTCCCGTGGATCAGCCAGGGGCAGAGGCCAGCCTTGGTGCTGATGCCCAGGAGGAGGAATGGCCAGTGGGCCCATGCCAGGCCTCCTCCCTGTGTCTCATGGGGACACTGAAGCCCATGGCAGGAGCTGGCTCTTCGCCACAGCTGTGTGGCCCAGACCCCTCCCTACAGAAAGGATCTGGGGTGACCACAGGCAAAACCCTGCCTCGAGGGGCCCCCACAGCAGCGCCTGGCAGCCCCACAGGGGCCGCAGCTGAGCGGCAGCTTCACCACATTGTGGCCTCAGGCCCTGCTGGCTCCACAGCTCCACACCCTCGTGGGTCGCAGCAGCTGAGCTGGTCAGCACAGCACACCTCATCCTGCTCCCCGGAATGCCTGCCTGGCCCGTGCCCCCCCTGCTGCAGCCCTCCAGGTTTCCAGCCCTGGCCGTGGAGCCGTGCGTGCAGCAGCGGGCAGGGCTGTCCTGACGCCTCCTGGCTGCATCTCCTGCGAGGCCGCTCCCCGGGAGGCCAAGGGGGAGGCTGCCCTCATCCTGGAGTGCGGGAGGCCACGGGAGAAGTGCCAAGGTGGGGCTGGGGCCACCTTCACCGCGCAGAACCACCCGCCGCAGACTCCGCTTCTGGGACCTGGGGCGGCCCTTTCTAAGCCTGTCTGTCTCGGGCCAGGGCCAAGGGGCCCGTCGCCCATCTGTCTCTGAAGGTGGCACCCACAGGCAGTCTGTCAGTGTCCGAGGGCAGCAGTTGCCCCAGGACCAGTGCCTAACTTTGGTGATGCCGCCACTGGGAGCCCAGGCCCCTGGCGGAAGCCTCCCAGGTCACATCTTGCCTTGTTTCCCCACAGGGCAGCTGTGCGGAGGGTAGTGGCAGCCATGAACCGGATGGACCAGAAGAAGCACGAGAAGTTTTCAAACCAGTTTAACTACGCACTGAACTAGAGAGCGGGGCCCAGTGCACTGGCCATCAGCACTTTCTCCCTCTGCCAGTGTCTCAGGACAGCAGAGTGGGCGTGGGTCTGGGCAGTAACCATGCTTTGTCTATTACTGTGTTTGATGTAAAGAAATGGTGTGTTGCAATGCCCTGAAGGTACGGCCGCTCTGCTGCTACAGGGTTCGGCATCGTCTGGTGATGGGTCTGGCCTCGCAGAAGAGGCCCTCGGGCCTGGAGATGTGAACACAGGCAGCGACCCTGTTCCAGAGGGCTTCTGCGAGTCCTCGTGAGACCAGTGCTTGTCGTGGTGTGGGGTTCAGCACGGACGGAATGTGTGTGCAGCTCAGCCTTCAGAGCGTGCATTCCCCAGCCAGGAGGCGACCACTCAGAGGAACTCTGGGAAACCCACTTTTGTGCAAATGCTGTTTTTAACACAAACACAAAGGCTAGTGAACCGTTCAGTCATCTGCTTTCTGTTTCTGGATGTGCCTTTTCATACATGTGTCCTCTTGTCCCTGGCTTCTTACACTTGGCGTTGTTTTTAAGGTTTATCCATGCAGTTCCCCTCCAATGTATAAAACAAAGGAGGTGAAAACCTGTCCATGCGGAAGCTTGTGCACCCATGTTCACAGCAGCATTGGAGAAGGATACCGAACATCTTCTCGTGGGCTTACTGGCCATTTGTGTATCTCCTTTGGAGAGGAGTCTATTCAAACCTCTTGCCTATTTTTAATTGAATGATTTATCTTGAGTTGTAACAGTTGTTTTTTTTGTTTTTCCTTTTAGAGATGGGCTTTTGCTCTTACCCAGGCTGAGTGCAGTGGCAGAATCATAGCTCAGTGCAGCCTCAAACTCCTGGGCTCAAGCCATCCTTCCACGTCAGCCTCCCAGGTAGCTGGGACTACAGGCACACACCACAACACCTGGCTAATTTTTTAAATTTTTTGTAGAGATGAGGTCTCACTGTGTTGCCCACGGTGATCTCGAACTCCTAGCCTCAAGCGATCCTCCTGCTTCGGTCTCCCAAAGTGTTGGGATTACAGGCATGAGCCACCACTCCTGGCCAGGAGTTTATATGTATACTGTGGATACTAGATCCTCATGTGATTTGCAAAAACTTTATTTATTTATTTATTTATTTTTGAAATGGAATCTTGCTCTGTCGCCAGGCTGGAGTGCAATGGCGTGATCTCGGCTCACTGCAACTACCACCTCCTGGGTTCAAGCGATTCGCCTGCGTCAGCGTCCTGAGTAGCTGGGACTACAGGCGCGCACCACCACGCCCAGCTAATTTTTGTATTTTTAGTAGAGACGGGATTTCACTGTGTTGGCTGGGATGGTCTTGATCTCTTGACCTCGTGATCCACCCACCTCGGCCTCCCATAGTGCTGGGATTACAGGTGTGAGCCACCGCACTCAGCTGATTTGCAAAAACTTTCTTCCATACTGTTGTTTCACTTTCTGGATAGTGTCCTCTGAAGCACAAAAGTTAATTTTGATGAAGTACAGCAATTTATCTGTTTTTTTCTTTTGTTGCTTATGCTTTTGCTGTCACATTTCAGAAGCCATCACCTAATCCAAGATCACAGAGATTTACACCTAGTTTCTAATAAGCATTTTATAATTTCAGCTCTTATGTGTAGATCTTTGATCCATTGTGAATTAAGTTTTGTGTGTGGTGTAAGAGCCCACATTCTTTTGCATGTGGATATCCAGTTGTCCCAGCACCATTTGTTGAAAACATTATTTTTCCCCATTGAATTATCTTCGCACCATTATTGATAATCAGTTGACCAAAAATGTACAGGCTTATTTCTGGGCACTTGACTCTATTCCATTGACCTGTTTAACCTTATGCCAGTGCCACAGTGCCTTGATCAGTGCTGCTTTGTTGTGAGAAGTTTTACTTTGTTCTGCTTCAAGGCTGTTTTGACTCTTCTGCATCTCTTGCATTTCCAAATGAATTTTAGGATCCACTCATCAGTTTCTTCAAAAAAAAAAAAAAAGCAGCTGAGATTTTTGATAGGAATTACATTAAATCTAGAGATTGCTTTGGAATGTATTACCGTCTTAATATTAAATCTTCTGAGTCATGAGCTTCTGATTATCTTTCCATTTATTTGGGTCTTTTTAAATTTATTTCAACAGTATTTTGTAGTTTTCAGTATATAAGTTTCTCACTTATTTTGTTAAATTTACTCATATTTTATTATTTTTGATTTATAACCAAAAGGACTATAAATGCAATTATAAATTATTAAAAGATTATAAATTGCATTTACAAAAGCAATCACAAATGTAATTGTTTTCCAAATTTCACTTTGGGGCTGATCATTGCTAATATGTGGAAGTACAACTGACTTTTGTGTATTGATCTTGTATCCAGCATTCCTTGCTGAACTTGTTTATTCATTCTAATTAGTTGTATGTTCCCTAAGATTTTCCATACACAAAATCATGTCATCTGCAAACAGCTTTCTTTCTAATCTGGATTTCTTTTATTTCTCTTACCTAATTGCTCTGGCTAGTACCTCCAGGACAATGTTGAATAGATGTGGTGAGAACAGACATCCTCGTCTTACTCTTGATCTTAGCGGGAAGCTTTCGGTCTCTCACCATTGAATGTGATGCTAACAATGCAGTTTTGTGTAGATGCTTCTATCAGGTTGAAAAAGTTACCTTCTCCTCCTAGTTTGTTGAGTGTTTTTGTCATAAAGTATTGAATTTTGTCAGATGCTTTTTCTCCATCTGTCGAGATGATAGTATGATTCTTGTCCTTTATTATAGTGATACAGTATATTACATTGTTTCTCATATATTGAACCGACCTTGCATTCATGGGGCAAATTCTACTTGTTCATGGTGTATAATCCTTTTTCTATGCTGCTGGCTTTGGTTTGCTAGGATTTTGCATCTGTATTCATGAGGGATATTGGGCTGTAGTCTTTTTGTGATGTCTTTAGCTTTAGTCACGTCACTACTGACCTCATAGATTGAGGTGGGAAGTGTTCCCTCCCCTCCTATTTTTTGGAAGAGTTTGTGAAAGATTGTTGTTAATTATTTAAACATTTGGTGGAATTTACCAGTGAAGGCTGGGCTTTTCTTTGTGGGATTTTTTTCCCTAATTCAGTATCTTCATTTATTATAGATCTGTTTAGTTCCAGTAGTTTGCATCTTTCCAGGAGTTTGTCCCTTTCTAGGTTCTTTGTTGCAATCTGTTCATATATAATGGTTCATAGCATTAAAAAAAATTTTTTTAACTGACAAGGTCTCACTCTGTTGCCCAGGCTGGAGTGCAGTGGTGCAATCATAGCTCACTCCAACCTCAGACTCATGGGCCCAAGTGATCCTCCCACCTCAGCCTCCCCAGTAGGAAGGACCACAGGCATGCACCACCACATTCAGCTAATTTTCTGTCTTTGGTTTTGTTTTGTTTGAGACAGAGTCTTGCTCTGTCACCCAGGCTGGAGTACAGTAGCACAATCATGGCTCACTACAGCTTTGACCTCCCAGACTCAAGCAATCTTCCCATCTCAGCTTCCTGAGTAGCTAAGACTACAGGGGCATGGCAGTATGACTGGCTAATTTTTTAAAAGCTTATTTTTGGTAGAGATGGGGTCTCACTATGTTGGCTAGGCTGGTCTCAAACTCCTGGCCTCAAGAAATTTTCCTGTCTTAGCCTAGCAAAGTGCTGGGATTACAGGCATGAGCCACCACACCCAGCCCTAATTTTCTTTAAAATTTTTTTGTGGAGACAGGATCTTGCTGTGTTGTCCAGGCTGATCTTTGTCAAACTCCTGGCCTCAAGTGACCCTCCCACCTTGACCTCTCAAAGTGCTGGGATTGTGGATGTTAGCCAATGCTCCCAGCCTATTCATAGTATTTTCTGGTTTTAGTAATTTGATTCTTCTCTCTTTTACTCCCCTTAGTCTAGCTAAAGATTTATCAATTTTGTTGATCTATTTAAAGAAACAACTTCTGGTTTTGTTTATTATCCCCTATGATTTTCCATTCTTTATTTTGTTAATTTCCACTGTAATCTTTATTATTTCCTTTGGGTTGCTTTGGGTTTTATTTTCTCTTCTTTTTCTTGTTTCTTAAGATGGAAAATTAGCTTACTGATTTGAAATCTTTTTCATATAGACATTTGTAGCTATAAATTTTTATCTCAGCACTGATTTACTTCATCCCTTAAGTTCTGCTATATTGTGTTTTCCCTTTTTTAAATCTAAAAGTATATTCTGATTTTTCTGGTGATTTCTTCTTTTATCTCTTGGTTATTTAAGAGTTTGTTGTTTAATTTCCACATATATGTGAATTTCCCAGGTTTCCTTCTGTTATTGACTTCTTTTCTTATTTTTGAGAGACAAGATCTCACTTTATCTCCCAGGCTGGAGTGCAGTGCAGTGATCGCAGCTCACTGCAGCCTTGACCTCCCACCTCAGCCTCCTGAGTAGCTGAGACTACAGGCATGAGCCACCAAGCCTGGCTAAATTTTTAAAAATTTTGTTGTAGAGACAGGGTCCGACTATGTTGCCCAGGCTGTGTTGGAACTCCTGGGCTCAAGTGATCCTGCCACTTTTGCCTCCCAAAGTGCTGGGATTACAAGCATGAGCTACCATACCTGGCCTGTTACTGATTTCTTATTTCACTCCATTATGGCTAAAAAACATAGATTGTATGATTTCTCGTCTTTTATATGTATTGAGAGTTATTTTATTGGCATACCGTATTTTCTGTCCCAGAGTGTTGAAGAATATCTATCCTGCTCTTGTTGGGTGGAGTGTTGTATAGATGCCTGTTGGGTCTGATTGGTTTGTAGTGTTGTATAGACACCTGTTGGGTCAGAGGTTGGTTTGTAGTGTTGTATAGATGCCTGTTGGGTCTGATTGGTTTGTAGTGTTGTATAGATGCCTGTTGGGTCAGAGGTTGGTTTGTAGTGTTGTATAGATGCCTGTTGGGTCTGATTGGTTTGTAGTGTTGTATAGATGCCTGTTGGGTCTGATTGGTTTGTAGAGTTGTATAGATGTGTGTTGGGTCTCATTGGTTTGTAGTGTTGCATAGAAGCCTGTTGGGTCAGAGGTTGGTTTGTAGTGTTGTATAGATGCCTGCTGGGTCTGATTGGTTTGTAGGGTTGTATAGATGCATGTTGGGTCTGATTGGTTTGTAGTGTTATATGGATGCCTGTTGGGTCTGATTGGTTTCTAGTGTTGTATAGATGCCTGTTGGGTCAGAGGTTGGTTTGTAGTGTTGTATAGATGCCTGTTGGGTCAGAGGTTGGTGTGTGTGTTGTATAGATGCCTGTTGGGTCAGAGGTTGGTTTGTAGTGTTGTATAGAAGCCTGTTGGGTCTGATTGGTTTGTAGTGTTGTATAGAAGCCTGTTAGGTCTGATTGGTTTGTAGTCTGATTGTTTATGTCTTCTCTTCCCTTATTGATCTTCTGCCCAGTTATATTGATATTGAATGTGAGGTATTGAATCCTTCAGTTTTGTCAGCTTTTGTTTCATAAATTTTGAAGCTCTGTTAAGTGCATCTGTATTTCTATTTCTTTCTGATGAACAGACCCTTTTATCATTATGACATGTCCTTCTTTGTCTTTAGTGAAAAAAAAATGTCTTTAAGTCCCTTTTGTATGTTATTAGTATAGCCACTTAGCTCTTTTTTGATTATTGTTTGCATGGTATCTTTTTTCACCCTTTAACTTTCATTGTATCTCTGAATCTAAAGTGTGTTTCTTGTAAACAGCATATAGTGGGATCATGTTTCTTATCTGTCCTGCTGGTCTCTGCCGTGAATCTAAAGTGTGTTTCTTGTAAACAGCATATAGTAGGATAGTGTTTCTCATCTGTCTTTCTGGTCTCTGCTCTGAATCAAAAGTGTGTTTCTTGTAGACAGCACATAGTGGGATCATGTTTTTCATCTGTCCTGCTGGTCTCTGCTGTTTGAGAGGGATGTTTAATCCATTTACATTCAGTGTGATTACTGAGAAAGTTGGATTTGTATCTGCCATTTCTAAATTTGTTTACTATATTGTCTTTTTTGTCTTTCTTCCTTTATTTCTCCATTACTTTTTTGTGTTAAATGGACATTTAATTCTCTTGTAACATTGTAATTTCCTTGTCTGTTTTACTGGGTTTTTTTAAAAGTAACTTTCTTAGCAGCTGCTCTGAGTATTACAGTAACAACGTAAAACCAATCAAGTGTTCAGATGAACTTAATATAATGTACAAAAACCTTCACTTCAAGTAGCTTTGTTTCCTCTCAGCTTCTTGGTGCTGTATTTGTCATATAAATGCTACCTTTTAGATTGTAAGTCCGTCAGCAGTCTTGTAATTATTGCTTTATGCAGTTGTCTTTTAAATCACATAGAAGAAGAAAAGATGTACAAACAGAAATGAGTTTCTGCTGTCTCTGTTGCTGGCTTTGCAGTTGTCTTTTTTGGTGCTCTTTGTGTGGATTTGAGTGTGGTGTCTTGGACTTCAGCCTCAAGTATTTCTTGTAGGACAGATCTTCTAGCAATGAATTCTCTTTGTTTTTGTTTATCTGAGAATGTTGTAATTTTTCCTTCTCTTCTGAAGAATAATTGTGCTGGATATGGCTGACTTGGTTGGCCCTCTTTTTCTTTCAGTCCTCTATAGATGTCATTCCACTGCCTCTGGCATCTGTGGTTTCCATGGCGGGAGCACCGCACCATGTCTCAGTCTCTTTTTAGCTTCTGACTGTTTGACTGTGGTGTGTCTAATTGTGGATCTTTCAGTGTGTCCTACCTGCAGTTCTTTGAGCTTCTTGGATATAGAGGTTAATATTTCTTGTAGTCTGATTGTTTACATCTTCTCTTCACTTATTGATCTTCTGCCTAGTTATATTGATATTGAATGTGGGTATTGAATCCTTCGGTTTTGTCAGCTTCATGTTCAGCCAGTGACTGGACAGGGGACCCCTTTAAGTGCTTTGCACCAGTAACTCTCATGGTTCTGCTGACACACAGTTGATGTGTGGTGAGTATGCCTTCAGCGCTCCATTGTGGTTCTGCAAATTTGGGAAATTTTAGGTTGTCGTTTCTCGAAATATTTTATGTCCATGTTCTCTTCCCCCACTTGGACTCCAGCTACGTGTGTTGATGTGGAGCTGGGCACAGCCTTGGAGGCCTCCTTGACTTTCCTTTATTCCGGAATTTTTTCTTCTTCTCAGAATGGGTCATCTCAGTTGACCTATCTTCAAGGTCACAGATGCTTTTGCCAAACAAAACCTGATGTCAAGCTGCTCTAGTGAATTTTTCATTTCAGTTATTGTACTTTTCTACTCCAAACTTCCATTTGGCTCTCTCCTATAATTTCTGTATCTTTACTCATATTCTTTGTTTAGTGAAACATTCTCATACTTTAATTCTGTAGACACAGTTTCCTTTAGTTATTTGAACATATGTGTAGAAGCTGATTTAAAGTACTTGTCTAAGCCGGGCGTGGTGGTGTGCACCTGTAATCCCAGCTACTTGGGAGGCAGAGGCAGGAGAATTGCTTGAACCCGGGAGGCAGAGGTTGCAGTGAGCCAGGATCAAGCCATTGTACTCCAGCCTGGGCCACAGAGCGAGACGCTTTCAAAACTAGATAGATAGATAGATTAGATAGATAGATAGATAGATAGATAGATAGATAGATAGATAGGATAAGATAAGATAGATAGGTGACTTGTCTACTAAGTTCAACATCAGGGCTTATTCAGGGGAAGTTCCTATTGATGACCTTTTTTCCCATGTCAGAGCCAAGGAAATAACATACTCTTTCTTTGTGGTCTCATATATATGTATTTTTTGAAGACTGGACACTTTAATAATGTGCTGTGCAACTCTGGAAATCAGATACCCTCTCCACGAGTTTATTGTTGTTCTGTTGCTGTTACCTTTTGTTTAGTGTGTGTTCTGGACTAATTTGAAGTGTCCACCTCATCAGCTTCATGTTCAGCCAGTGACTGGACAGAGGACCCCTTTAAGTGCTTTGCACCAGTAACTCTCACGGTTCTGCCGACACGCAGTTGATGCATGGTGAGTGTGCCTTCAGCGCTCCATCGCGGTTCTGCTGACACGCAGTTGATATGTGGTCAGTGCTCCAGCAGGCAGCTGCCAACTGTGCCTTTGCCTTCACTTCTTACTTGCACACAGCCACAAAGCCAGCCAGAGGTGAGGGCCAGGGCAGCTCAGGTTCCTCTCGGGCACACACACAGCTCTGTGCCTGTGTGGGCACAGCCTTCCATGCCTCCAGGAGTGTGGCAGAGCTTCTCAGCGGCCACTGTGGGCATCTCGTTCCTCAGATCTTCCTTTCATGAGTTATGTAGTTGAATTATCAATCTTTCTTGGCTTCTAAGTTTTGTGTTCTACTTAGAATGCTCTTCCCCCTTAAAGATTATATTTGAAATGTTTTCCATGTTTTCTTCTAGTACTTTTATGGGTTTCATTTTCATATTGAAATCATTGATCTACTTCTAGTTTTTGATACAAAATGTGAGCCAGGAAACCCAGTTTTTAAATTTCAAATAGCTGTCCAGGTGTCCCTGCACCTCTTATGCATGAGCCCTCGCTTTGTGCCAATGTGGAGTGCCCGCCTGCTCACACGTGCCCATGTGGAGTGCCCGCCTGCTCATGTGCCCATGTGGAGTGCCCGCCTGCTCACACATGTCGATGCGGAGTGCCCGCCTGCTCACACATGCCCATGTGGAGTGCCCGCCTGCTCACACGTGCCCATGTGGAGTGCCCGCCTGCTCACACACGTGTCCATGTGGAGTGCCCACCTGCTCATGTGCCCATGTGGAGTGCCCACCTGCTCACATGTGCCGATGTGGAGTGCCACCTGCTCACACACGTGCCCATGTGGAGTGCCCGCCTGCTCACGTGCCCATGTGGAGTGCCCGCCTGCTCACACGTGCCGATGCGGAGTGCCCGCCTGCTCACACGT
The DNA here is from genome assembly GCF_000001405.40 of Homo sapiens. Classification (NCBI taxonomy): domain Eukaryota; kingdom Metazoa; phylum Chordata; class Mammalia; order Primates; family Hominidae; genus Homo; species Homo sapiens. The sequence continues at coordinate 1,394,902 of NC_000004.12, forward strand.
GCCCATGCGGAGTGCCCGCCTGCTCACACGTGCCCATGCGGAGTGCCCGCCTGCTCACACGTGCCCATGCGGAGTGCCCGCCTGCTCACACGTGCCGACGTGGAGTGCCCGCCTGCTCACACGTGCCCATGTGGAGTGCCCGCCTGCTCACACGTGCCAACGTGGAGTGCCCGCCTGATCACACGTGCCCATGTGGAGTGCTCGCCTGCTCACACGTGCCGATGTGGAGTGCCTGCCTGCTCACACGTGCCCATGTGGAGTGTTCGCCTGCTCACACGTGCCGATGCGGAGTGCCCGCCTGCTCACACGTGCCGATGCGGAGTGCCCGCCTGCTCACACGTGCCCATGTGGAGTGCCCGCCTGCTCACGTGCCGATGTGGAGTGCCCGCCTGCTCACACGTGCCCATGTGGAGTGCCCGCCTGCTCACGTGCCGATGTGGGGTGCCCGCCTGCTCACATGTGCCGATGTGGAGTGCCCGCCTGCTCACACGTGCCCATGTGGAGTGCCCGCCTGCTCACACGTGCCGACGTGGAGTGCCCGCCTGCTCACGTGCCCATATGGAGTGCCCGCCTGCTCACACGTGCCATTGTGGAGTGCCCGCCTGCTCACACACATGCCGATGTGGAGTGCCCGCCTGCTCACACGTGCCCATGTGGAGTGCCCGCCTGCTCACACGTGCCCATGTGGAGTGCCCGCCTGCTCACACACGTGCCCATGTGGAGTGCCCGCCTGCTCACACGTGCCCATGTGGAGTGCCTGCCTGCTCACACACGTGCCCATGTGGAGTGCCCGCCTGCTCACACAAAGCCCTGGCATGGTGGTTCTGTAGGTTTCCTGTCCTGCCGGCCGAGTCAGACGCTGTTACCGTACATTCTACTCATGGTGGCTTTTTAATACGTTTTTATGTCAAGGATCCCTTTTATATTTCTCTGCACCTCGAGATAACGTAGGAATATTAGGGATGAGATGGAAGAGGAGAGGGTGTTTTTGTAAAATTGAATTCAGGACTGATTTGTTAGCCTGGTGCTTTTCGTATCAGACCTTTTAATGAATTTTCATGGATGCTGATTAAAAGACAAACCTGTGACTCAGTGTTTGTGACCAAGTGAGGGGCCCTGTGGGGTGGGGGTGCTGGGCCGGCCCTTCTGGCTGGTGGGGTGAGGGGTGGGGCCTGTGCACCTGGGAGCAGCTCCAGCACTGCGGGCTCAGGGCACTGTCAGTGACTTGGCACTAAGGGGGTGCTGGGGGTGGGCCCTCCTCAGATCCCCTCAGCAAACCCCTTCCACCCACACTTGCCACAAAGTGGTTTGGGTCCCCATGAGCCAGGCAGATGGCGGGGGGAGGAGCCTGGGGGGGTCTGGCCTGCAGATGCACGTAGGGGCTACTGGTACGGCTCACAGTGGGAGGGGGCCCGTGCCAGCTGGTCCAGCATGCTGCTGCCCTCATCCAGGGCAGACTGGCTGAGGTTGGCCCGGAGAGCAGCAGGGGGTGAGTGCGAGGAGTGACCAAGGGAGGACTGGTGGGCATGGGTCACAGCCCCAGCGCTGGGGTGGATGGGCCACCATGGAAAGTGGTGTCAGGGTTAGCAACACAGAACCAGAAACTCCAAATAAGAGTGGCTCGTAGACAGAAGGGTTTGTGTCCTATTGAATCAGGGTCCAAGGGTAGGCGCCCCCAAGCACCTTCCAGTTCCTGGCTCAGTATCAGAGCACGTGGCCTCCAACCCCAAGGCTACCTCATGGCCCAAGGTGGCTGCTGGGGCTCCAGCCATCACCAGGTCTGCAGAAGGAAGGAGGAGGGCTTTGCCTCCCCTCTGAGCTGATTCCCATAAGGAGCCTTCTCAGTCCCCTACCCCCACACACACTGTTCATGTCGACTTGGCCAGAACCTAGTCACAGGCAGCACCCAGCTGCCTGCTGCCCCAGAGGCAGGACATGTGGAGCTCAGCTCATCTGAGATGAGCGCTCAGCCACAGCCTCCCAGGGAAAGAGAGAAGGCGTCTGCACCAGCAGAGCTGTCTCCAAAGGGGACCACACTGCAGGGCAGTCGGGAGGAGGTGGGACATGGACATCCCCAGGTTGTCACCCATGAGCAAGGTCCCCCCCCAGTGGATGAGATGCCCCCACCCCACGGGCCTCTGTGGATGAAAAGGTGACCTTGGGATGGGGGAGGGGCAACAGTGCCAGAGGCAGGTGGGGGCCACAGTGGTCGTGAGGGCAGGGATGGGGCTCAGCCCTGCCTCCTCCCTCAGGTGCAGTCCTGCAGCCCTGCCTGGCTGCCCACCCCTGCCCCTTCCTCCCTGTGCTCACCTCCCTCTGCTGCTGAGCTATTCGTCCAGCCTCACCTCCCCGCCTCCCAGCTGACGCTGTGCACAGCTGGCCAGAAGAGACCAGGAGTGAGGGGGCACTCAGTCACCAGGGAAGAGATGGGGGACCCAGGTGGCCATCACAAGCAGGACACTGGGTGTGGGGAGGCCTGAGCACCGCAGGGAGGTCCTAGGGATGGGGGGACAACGTGGCGGTGGCCAGGGGGGATGTTGGATGCAGGGTGTTTTCGGGCATCTGGATGTGGGTAGATCAGGTTGGATGCAGGGTGTTTTCGGGCATCTGGATGTGGGTAGATCAGGTTGGATGCCGGGTGTTTTCGGGCATCTGGATGTGGGTAGATCAGGTTGGATGCCGGGTGTTTTCGGGCATCTGGATGTGGGTAGATCAGGTTGGATGCCGGGTGCTTTCGGGCATCTGGATGTGGGTAGATCAGGTTGGATGCCGGGTGTTTTCGGGCATCTGGATGTGGGTAGATCAGGTTGGATGCCGGGTGTTTTCGGGCATCTGGATGTGGGTAGATCAGGTTGGATGCAGGGTGTTTTCGGGCATCTGGATGTGGGTAGATCAGGTTGGATGCAGGGTGTTTTCGGGCATCTGGATGTGGGTAGATCAGGTTGGATGCCGGGTGTTTTCGGGCATCTGGATGTGGGTAGATCAGGTTGGATGCAGGGTGTTTTCGGGCATCTGGATGTGGGTAGATCAGGTTGGATGCCGGGTGTTTTCGGGCATCTGGATGTGAGTAGATCAGGTTGGATACAGGGTGTTTTCGGGCATCTGGATGTGGGTAGATCAGGTTGGATGCAGGGTGTTTTCGGGCATCTGGATGTGGGTAGATCAGGTTGGATGCAGGGTGTTTTCGGGCATCTGGATGTGGGTAGATCAGGTTGGATGCCGGGTGTTTTCGGGCATCTGGATGTGGGTAGATCAGGTTGGATGCCGGGTGTTTTCGGGCATCTGGATGTGGGTAGATCAGGTTGGATGCCGGGTGTTTTCGGGCATCTGGATGTGGGTAGATCAGGTTGGATGCAGGGTGTTTTCGGGCATCTGGATGTGAGTAGATCAGGTTGGATGCCGGGTGTTTTCGGGCATCTGGATGTGGGTAGATCAGGTTGGATGCAGGGTGTTTTCGGGCATCTGGATGTGAGTAGATCAGGTTGGATGCCGGGTGTTTTCGGGCATCTGGATGTGGGTAGATCAGGTTGGATGCCGGGTGTTTTCGGGCATCTGGATGTGGGTAGATCAGGTTGGATGCCGGGTGTTTTCGGGCATCTGGATGTGGGTAGATCAGGTTGGATGCAGGGTGTTTTCGGGCATCTGGATGTGAGTAGATCAGGTTGGATGCCGGGTGTTTTCGGGCATCTGGATGTGGGTAGATCAGGTTGGATGCAGGGTGTTTTCGGGCATCTGGATATGGGTAGATTGGGTTGGATGTGGGGAGGGTGCTTGGTGCCTGGGGTTTGCTCTGAGGCTGTGGGGCTGGCTTGGTCTGGGAGGAGCTTGGTCTGGCTTTGTGGTGCCTGGAGGGCCCCTGGCCCCCGGGGGGACATCGCAGGGCAAGGACAGGGCGAGGCACACCATTACCAGGACACTGCGGGGCAAGGACAGGGAGAAGCACACCATTGCCAGGACATCGCGGGGCAAGGACAGGGCCAGGCACACCATTGCCATGGCAGGAAGGCAAGTGGAGGATGAGGGTTCCCCAAGCCCAGGCTGCCCAGGACTCGGAGCAGGAGGAACCAGCCACCAAGTGAGCAGGGGGCTGAGGAGGCCACGCCAGGATGGGGCAGCCAAGGGCCCGAGTGACGGCGAGAGCCTCCTTAGGGGTGGAGAAGTGAGGAGGAAGTGTAGACAGCAGGTGTAGACGGCTCTTTCGATACTTTGGCTGGAGGCTGGGAGGAAAGGGGGAGAGCTGGAGGCCACACGGGGTCCAGGGAGGGTTATGCCTAAGCCTGGAGACACTGGACGCATCTGAAGCCCAGCAGGGGCTGTCTCCCCTGGCAGGACGCAGGCAGGTGACAAGATCCTATGGCTGGAAGATGGGCTTGGACCTGTGGCCAACCCAGGGTGGGGTTATGGAGAGGGTACACCAGACACCTTAGGGTGTAGGAGCTGGGTGCCCACCAAGGTCGAGGCCCTGGGCTTCGGAAAAGACCAGGCGGGCTGAGGGCGACTTTCTTCAGAAGCCCAGCTGCCTGGGGCTGGGGGTGTGGGCAGGTGGGCATGGGTGGGGAGCACAGGGGGGCTCGGCAGGGGCAGCCGGTGGCCCCAATCCATCCTCACCTTTCACTAGGAGTGAGATGCCTGGGGGGAGACTGCACTTCCCAGCCTCCCTTGGCTAAGAGAGGGCCCGTGACCCAGCTCTGGCCAATGGGACATAAGCAGCTGTGTTGTGTGGGCTTCCGGGAAAGCTCCTTAAAAGAGAGGGGTGTTGCTGGCCACTCCCTTTCTTCCTGTTTGCAGCCGGGGGTGAGGATGTGGTGGCTGGAGCCTCAGTTTCCATTGGGTTCTGTGAGGCTGAGGCCCGTCCAGGCCTGATGCAGCACAGAGAGCCAGGAGCTGGGTCTCCAAGGACTCAGTGAAGGTCTCAAAACTGCCCAGGGCTGCCACGGCCAGAATTCCCTCACAAAGAGAAAGTAAACAGTCTCCTTTCAACTCTCTTCATTCAGGTTTTCTCTTACACGCAGCCAAACCCAGGCCTGACCCACACAGCAATGGACCACAGCACCATCGGCTGGTGGGGGTGGGGAGGTGGCCTCAATGGGAGGCCCCTTACCGTCTGGGCTCAGCGGTCCCTGGGCAGGAGACGGGAGCCCAGGGCGTGAGAGCAAACGCCGCCCTTGTCTGGGCTCATGCTCGCTTGACAAGAGGCCCCTTCTGTGCCTGGCTTTGCAGCAACGACATGTGTGTGGTTCTGGGAACTTGGGGCAGGTGTGGTCCAGGGCAAGATGGGTCCTGAGCCCTAGGAGGAGGGTCCATGGAAGAGTGCCCTCAGATCCTGAGGTTGAGACCTTCCCTCACGGCCCTGACACCAAAGTGGGGGACACGTTGAGACCCCTAACAAGGCTCCCGCTCACCTCTGCCTGCAGCACAGGCCCAGGGAGCTGAAACTGAGTCAGGCACAGGCAGCCTAGACTGGAAATGGCGGGCAGGGGAGGCCCAAACCTGGTGGAAATGGGGGTGGTGGGGCAGCCCGAGGGCTCCCTGGGAGGCAGGCAAGGGAATGGCTCCCCAACTCTCCCAGGGAGACTGGGGGCCTGGGGACCCAGTAGGAGTGTGGGCTAAAAAGTGGAGGCTCCTTCAGGAGGGAGCAGGGCACCCACTGGCACCAGAGCTGGCACTGCCCCCAGCAAGCCCCATGACTGCCGGGCCTCAGTTTCCCACATGTGACTCTCAGCAAAGCACAGTGGGAGGCTCAGGTGGCTTTGCACGCAGTCCGACTCCGACGAGGGTCCGCTGCAGAGTGACTGTGAATCAGAGACTGGAGGAAATGCCCCCCATGCCTGCAGCATGAGGCTGTGGGCTGTCCAGGGAGCTTAGAGAAGGGGTGGTGCAAGGAGGGGGGTATTGCTTCCCAGACCTCACAGCCCCCGGCCCATACCCTCCATCCCATCCTGCAGCCCAGGGGCACTGCTAGAGGGCCCTCCGGTGTGGCTCTGTGTTTCTGGCTGAGGCTTGAGGGGAGGAGACAGAGGAGGCCAGGGTGGGGGCATGTGGAAGCTGGAGGGACGGGGAGCCAGGATCTAAGCTCCATGGGAGGGCTGCACACAGCGGTCTGGCCCGGCTCTGAGTGGGTCTGAATCTGGCCTGCACCGTCGCAGCCACCTTCTATCATCTCCCTGTGGGGCTGTGAGCTCCTGGAATGTTCCAGCAAGCTCAGCAAAGGGGAAGGCCCTTGCAGCACAGACCTGGGTTCCTCCTGGCCACGCAGCAGCTGCTTTCCCACTCAGCAGCCCCAGTGCCCAGCTTAGGCCAAGCCCGCTGCACTGGCTTCAGCTGTGAGTCGACCCTCTGGCTACACTTGGCCACCTGCAGGTGGCTCGCCTTCCCTCATGGACCCCCACCGAGCAAGTCTGAGCTCTGCCAGCGGAGGGAGGAGGGAGGAGGGAGGAGGGAGGAGGGAGAGGCTGCCCTGCCCCCGGGCTGGTGAGCCTCAGGACGCTTGCTGCAGGCAGGTGACTTCACCTATGCGGACCCAGAAAGGGAGCAGAGAGCAACTGGGAGTCAGGCCGGCCCTTGGCTGGAGGAACCAAGGCCTGCCTGGGGCTTGGGGTGTGGGGGCAGCAAACACACAGGGTGATCCCAGCCGCCCCTGCGCCCCGCCCCCTCAACCTGCCCGATGGCCGGTGCTGCTCTGGGCCTGCTCTCTGTCCACAGGTGCTGGCCAGGCCAGTGGGCAGCAGTGTCTCCCATCTTGCCTGTGGCACTGGGTATTCACTGCCGCCACCTGCCCCCAGCCCTCCCCCAGTGGTTGCTGTCAGGTTGACAGCCCAGAGATGAGCTCAGCCCACTCACGGAAAATGGACAGGACACCAGGAGACTGGGCCCAGTCAGGGCACAGCCGCCAGGCAGAGCCAAGCTCCCTCTGTGAGGCAGGACTCAGGACTCCCGCCAGTGGCAGAAGAGGGGCAGCACCTGCCCGGCTGTGGCCAGTGTCTCATGCCGCCTCCCCACCCTTTCTGGGGCTCTGAACCCTCCTCCCGTCGCCCTTCCCCGCTTCCAAGCACCAGCTTTTGCATCCACACTGCCGCCCAGCCCAAGCGCCTCTGCCTCTCACCTCCCTGAGCCCAGCTCAGGCGAACACCAAACCCACAGGACTCCGAGAGCCTGTGAGGGGATGTAGGGACTGTTTCCAGCGTCGTTGGAGGAGAGGTGGCAGCTCCAAGAGGGAGCACTCGACCCGACTTTTGGGGGCCTGGGTCTGAATGGGCTGGGACGCTCTTGGGCAGGTAGCTGAGCCCAGGCAGCCCCTTCTCCCCGGGGAAAACAGGCAGGCGCTTCTTCCTCCAGGCAGTAGCCGAAGCTGACACCGCCCCCAAGCTGACACGCCTAGCCCGGTGCTCCCTTGCGGGGCTGTGGGGCAGGGGAGTGGGACCGGAGCAGGCTGCAGGGGTGGGGAGCAGGAGGCGGAAAATGCCGCGGCCCCACCAGCTCCATGGCTAAGAGGAGAGGCGAAGAGGAAGCAGCTGGTCACTTTCCGAGACCTGTGATCTTTTTTGGGACGGGGAGGGGGCGGTCAGGGAGGTGACGCTGGGACCTGAGCCTCAGCCAGCTTGGCGGGTGAGCCCCTGCGCTCAGCCCCTGCGCCCACGACGACGGGCAGGCACCAGCAGAGTGGCCTGAATTCCGGCCGGGGGACGCCAGGCCGGTGGGAAAACGGGCTGGAGTCCCGCTCAAGGCCAACACCCGAGGAGCCTTGGTCCCCACCGGAGAGGATTCACGGGTGGGCCCGGCCGGGCGGAGGGCGGCGCGGGAGCCTGGGAGAAGGGGGCGCGGCCGCCTGCGGTTTATTGATTGAGTGAAGTTCCGCAAAGTGCTTCGCAGCGGGCCGAGCCCGCGGGAGCCACCTGCCCGGCCCCGACGCGCATGGTCATTTATAAATTTAAAACTCTTCCGTAGCAACCGGTTATGTACAGAGTCAACGACTGGAATCGTAGAAAACAGCCGGGCCCGGCAGCGGCCTCGGAGGCGGAGCGGCACGGGGCTCAGAGGTGCGGCGCGTAGAAGGCGGGCGCCCCGTAGGTCTGCGAGCCCAGCACGAAGGGCGAGAGCACCGCCGGGCTCGACAGGAACGGCAGCTGCGCGGCGCACACCAGGCCTCCGGGGCCGTGCGCCGGGTACCCGGCCGGGCCGTGCATGCCGAGCGGGGCGCCCATGGGCGGCGAGGGGCTGAGCGGGCTGAGGCCGCCGGGCAGCCCCGTGCCAGGCCCGGCCCCCGGTCCCGGTCCGCCCCCGCCGCCGGTCGGAGCGCTGGTGTCGGCGCCCGGGTTCTGCTTCTTCCACTTGGTTCGGCGGTTCTGGAACCAGATCTTCACCTGCGTCTCGGTGAGGCTGAGCGACAGCGCCAGGTTGAGGCGCTCGCACACCGACAGGTAGCGCGTGGCCTTGAACTTGTTCTCCAGCGCCACGAGCTGCTCGTAGGTGAAGGCGGTGCGCGCTCGCCGCGGCTTCCCGGACTTGGAGTCGGACCCCGTGCGCTTCCGCTTGGGCTTCGCCGCCGTCGCCGTGCCCTGCGGGGTGGTCCCCGCGCCCCCCGGCGCCGCTGCACCTCCCGGTGGGCCCTGGGCAACGGGCGAGTTCTCGCGGGGTCCGGGGGCCGCTGCCTCGTCGACGGTGGCTCCGGGGGACGCGTCGGTCTCAGCCGCGCCCTGGCAACCCGACCCGCGGGCCCCGAGGCCGCCGCCGCCTCCCCGCGCCTCCTCCGCGCCTCGCGCCGCCTCCGTCTCGGGCGCTTCGTCCTCGTCGTCGTCCTCGTCGTCGGGAACCTCGTCCCCGCTGTCCGCGCTCGGGCTGTGGCCGCCGCCGCCGCTGCTGTAGCCGTTGGTGTCGTTGGTCTCGGCCTCCCCTGCCTTGAAGGGGTCGCCGGCGTCTGCGGGAGGGAGGGACAAGGACAGGGCAGGGCAGTTAGGACCGGCCGGTTCCCAGATCCCGCCCTCCGCGCGCCCCGCTTCCTCCCCCAGGGTTCCCTCCCGCCCCCTGCTCAGCGCCTCCTGCTTCGTCACCCGCCTCCTCTCTCTCTCCTTCGCTCTGTCGTTTCCCTCCCCTCGGCCTGTCCTTCCCTCCCGCCGCCCGCGTCTCCTCTCGGTCCCTTGCTTGTTTCTTTCTATGGAGAGGGTCCCCCTCGCCCCGCGCTGCCCGTTCTCGCGGCGCCGGGCGTTTTTGCCTGAGCGGGGCTGGACGGGTGCTGCGGGCCGGGCCCGGCTGCGGAGATCACAGCGGAGTGGAAGCTCTGATCGATCCGCAGGGCTGATACACACTTAATTAAACTCATTTTGTGTAGTGTACAAACTAGTTAAGGCCATTTAATTTATTTCGGCGTATATTACCCCCCAATTACCGCCGGCGCAGGGCCAGCCAATTGCCGGGCATTTAATAACAGGCCCGGCGGTGGGGCCGGAGCCGGCCGAGAGAATGGGGCTTGGGGGACCCAAATCCTATGCCCTGGCCCCGACCCTACCTCAAGCCTCCAGGCCCTGAGCTTCGGTCGCGAGGGTCAGCCCCGGCTCCCCTGCCCGCGCCTCGGCCCCTGCGCAGAGTTGCCGCGGGTAGGGCCCTGCTCGGCCTCACCAGGAGGGCTGGGCGGGCGTGCAGGTCGGAGTGGCTCCCCGCGGCCTAAAGGCCCGGTCGGCCGAGTCTGAACAGCAGCTCCGCATCCTCCAAGCAGAGGCCCTGAAGTGACTGCATTTTGAGTCTCTGAAATTTGGAAGAAAGCATCTCTCCCAGGCAGGGTCGCCTATGCCCCGGCACTGGGGGCCTAAGTCAGGAGGAGTCGGGGCAGGTGCCCTCCACAGAGCTGCCCAGCGGCAGCCGCGGCCTGCTCTCCGGCCAGGTCGGAACCGAAATCTCCGGTAAGAAATGACCAATCGCTCCTGTCAGATTCCTCCAGGGCGACTGGCCACCTGGCATGGAGGCCAGCAGGTGGTCTGGGTCCCCGCGACCCTCAGCAGGAGTAGGATCCGCCCCTAGACGACCGCGAGCGCCGTCCCAGCCCTGCCCCGGGTGCCTGGCCCAGATGACTCCCCGGCTGTAGTATGCGCGCGCCTTCCCGGCTTCAGCGGGATCCCGGCCTTCCGCCCCATAGACTCCCCGCAGGTGGAGGCTCTGAGCGCAGCCGCCGCAGAGTCCGTAGGGTCCCCTCCACTCAGCCGGATTTGTTCGCCCTCCATCTCGGCCGACCCGGAAGAGGCCCCGCGCAGGTGCGGCCCGCAGCCTCCAGGCGCAGAGCCGGTGGCCGCGGCCCAGCCCGGTCCGCCCCGCGCTGTCCTCCCTGTGCTTCAGTAGGGCCGGAAAGTTGGAGGGAGGAGGAGGGGACACAAAAAGCAATCAGGAGCAGGTCGAATGCAATTCGCGATCAATAGCGGCCCCTAATAAGTGTAATAGGTTTTAATCGAGTAATTATCCGAATTTTGACCCTATAATTTAGATGTTCGGGGGGAGTTTGCAAGGTGCTTGAAAGAGATATGCACGCGCCGTAATGGGATATCGACCCGACCGGGGGCGCGGGCCGCCCCATTACCGGCCGCTTTCCGCCGCTAAGCACATTTCCCCTTAACTGTAATCGAAGGGATTTAATTGTTTTTCCAGCGATAACCAGCGTTTTGTCACAATTAGTCTGATTTGTCCAAAAAAAAAGAGAGAGAGGGAGAAAGGAGGGAGGGAGGGAGGCCTCGGGCGGGCACAGTGGGGGCGGGGAGGTCACGGGCCAGCCACCGCGAGCGGCCCCTCGCCTCCTGCACCAACTACCCTTCTAGGCCGGAGACGCGCGGAGGCGAACCCTGGACCGGCCTCACAGCCCTGCAGCCCCTGGGCCTGACCCGGCTAAGCTTCTCCAGAGGAGCCTGGCGATGCAGGCCCTGCAGTCCGGGTCGGATGGAGGCCACGGGTGGGCTGGTGCGGACCCGGCGCTCAGCGAACTTTCCACGGAGCCTCGGCGTGGGCCAGACCCAACTCGCCACGGTGTCCCAGGGTCGTAAACGCATAGAAGCCTCCGGTCCCCCGTCCCTGCGACCTGGTGCCGGGCGCATCCTACTCACTCGGCGGCTCAGCTCCGGCGGCTCCGACTCCCCCGGCGCCGGCGAGGGCGCGGCGCTCCAGCTCCTCCGCGCGTGGCGGGCGTCCCGAGGCGGCGGGTGCAGGGGCGCATGGGGCCGAAGCGCAAGGGGCGCACGCAGCGGGAGCCACTGGGCCCAGCAGCACGCAACGACGCCTCCTGCTGTTGAACTTGTTGGGGTCCAGGATGTCCAGTACCGAGAAGGAGGTGGGGCGCAGGGGCGCTGCGGGCCGGGCCGCTCCAGCCCCCTCGGGCGCCGCAGGCACAGTGTCGCTGGCCGCGAGCGGCGGGGCTCCAGCGCGGGGAAAGGCCGGCAGCTCGGCGCGCCCGTCCATAGCTTCCTGGGCAGCGGCGGCGGGAGCGGGCGGTGCGGGCCCCGAACCTGGCTGGGGAGGCGGCGGTAGCGCGGGAATGTCCCCAGGAGCCTCGGGGCCGCTAGCGCTCATGCCGGCCTCCCGCCGCTCCGGCGGCTCGGGCCCCGCCACCTACTGGGCTCCCATCCCTGGCGGCCCCCGCACCTCCACACGACCCCGCGCAGGCGGCCGCTGCTCCGCTCGCTCTCGGCGCCGCGCCCTGCGCTTGGCCGGTGCTGCCTTCGCCGCCGCCTTAGGCGCCCGCGGCGCCCGGTCCGCGCATTTATGGCAGCCCCGCCGGAGGCGCCCACGCGCCCACACGCCGAACACACGTGCGCCCGCAGGCGGCCGCGGGGCTCCGCCGCCCTCGTTAGCGCGCGCGCCTAATTGGCTGCGAACGGTCCCGGGCCGAGGAGGCGGACCCCGCACAGGACACACGGACGGAGCCGCCGGGCGGGACGAACAGACACGCAGCCCGGAGCCCAGAGCGGTCCGCAGGCGGCTGTGGTGGTCAGCGGCGCGTCGCTGCGCCTCCGCTCGTCCGGAAACGGCGCGCCAGCCTCCTTGGCTAAGGGGGAGGAGACAGCCCCGGCTTTTAAATAATTGCGGGATCAATCTGCGGCGGGGCCGCAGCGACCCCAGGGCGCGCGGGCCAGCGAGCGCCAAGAGTTGGCTGGGACATCCCGGCGCAGGATGCGGTGACTGGCCTGGCCTCTCCTCCGGGCCCCCAGCGCGCAGGGCCCTGAGCTCCGAAGGCTCCCACAGCTCTGGCGCCCCTCGGCAGTTGGGGTGGGGATGGGGGGAGAGGTTCTCACGCGCGATTCTCCGAGTCTCCGCCGGGTCTGCAGCCCCCTCCCGCGCGTTCCGTGGGTCTCGGTCCCGCCTCTCTCACTTGCTCCCGCTTGGGGTCTCCTTTTGCGTCTCCAGGGTCTCTCTTGCTCAGGGTCTGTGCCCCTCCATCCCTTCCCACGCCCGCCCCTTTCACGTCGTCAAATTAGGGCCCGACCTGGAGTGCCAGCAGAGGGGCGGAGCCGGCGGTCCCCGGGCCGCTCATTAGAAGTGGAATCGAAAATGAGAGACTGCTTGTCCCTCTTAACCCGCCCCCAAAAGGGGGACCGACAAATTGCACACACAGCAGGCGGCCTACATAAAATCGATCCTCTTCAAGTAAGGAGAAAATGTGTGTTTCTTCCAAAAAGAATACGACAAATGCCCCCTTCTCCACATCTGGATAAATAGGAAGCCCCGCGGCCTGAGTCTTTATTTGGGTACGTTTTATCTACAGCGGCGGTGTTTGCAGGACAGGGCCCTGCGGCCCGCGGCCCTCGGCCCTCGAGGATTGGGCCTGGCGTCCGGAGTCCCAGTGCGGGATCGTGGTAGCTCCCCGGCGGGTCGCTCCTCTCCCTCCTCCTCCTGCCCACGCAGCGAGCAGCCAGACGCAGGTGGACCCTGGTGGGCGCCGGCAGTGCGAGCGCGCGCGCTTCTTCAGGGTGTGAGCGCGCGGGCGCGTGCACCGGCGGGTGTGCGCGCCGCCTTACACTGCGGTCCCCGGAGCCTGTTCCGCGCGCAGGGCGGTCCTTTGCAATTACCGCGGGCAATGATCCTTTGGAAGCAGAAATTAAAAGTTGGGAGAAATAATGGTGGACCGATCGGCTGTAATTTGGGCCAAGCTCGGACACGCTGAGCCCCAGGGAGCCTGGAACTGGTTGGGCGGGGCGGGGGGGGGGCGCAGGGCTTCCCGTCCCTCTTCCCCTCCCCTTCCCCTCCCCTTCCCCTCCCCCGCCCTCCCCGCTGCTGGTCCATCCCGAGATTCTAATCAGGTCCACAGCACCGTGTCCTTCCTTGCCAGGACTTGATTATTCTTTATCTTTAACTTATAAATCACCTCTGGGGAAGGAGGGTGGGTAATCTCCCATCGCAGGGAGGCAATTATCTCCTTTGCCCACACCTTGGTCTTCACTCTCTCCCCCTCCCCCAGCTAAATTTGGATATAGAGGTGCACACGCCACTCACACACACACTCGTTCACAAGTGCGTAGCACACACAAGCACCCAGCATCCGTTCACGAGCATCCGTTCACGAGCACCCAGGCACACAAGCCCTGCAGAGCCCTCACAAACGCGCTGGCATCCCTGCATCTCCCTCTTCCCCGCCAGCGCCAGCGCCAGCTCCGCGCTGGTGTTGGTTCCTCTTTCACTGTTTCCCGAGGAGGGGCACACCAGACACTTTCCAGATTGCTGCGCCCCCTCCCCAGGAGACCGCTGGGTGGCGGGCGAGGCCTGGGTCGGGGAGGGCCGGGCAGGTCTCAAGGGCATACCCCTGACCTGGCTGCCGGTCTCCCTGCAAGCACAACCCACTCAAAGCTTCCGTCCCTGCCACGGCCTGACCTCAGCCAAACATCTCCCACTAGTAGCCACACACCCACCCTGCCGGGTCCCAGATAGTTGGAACACCTGCGCGTGAGGAAGGGATGGGTAATGGGCACACAGCCCTCTTAGTACAACTTTCAAAACGAACACAATCACATGGAAAAGATGTTTTATACAACATAGATGAAGTATGTATGATGGTTGTCGCTAAAACATAGTAAATATAACACATTAAATACGATAGGGAATAGCATAACGGAATTGCGTTATAATATACAATTATGACTCGTTTCCCAGCAAACACGTGCACATCGAGCACTGCAGAATGTTCTCCCTGATGGGGGCGGGGGCTGGCCAGGGTTGAGTGCCACTTTGACGAAAGCACGTGGCTATCTGAAGTTTGTGGGCCCCAAGGTTCTCCTCGAGCCTTCCCTCCCCTCCCCTCTCTGCCCCACACCATCCTCGTGTGAGCCGCAGCGGGCAGGGTAATGAACTTCGAAGTTCTCAGTCAGGTTCAGAGGAGCAGGGGCCGGGTGGTGGAGCCTGAGGGGACCCCCGGAGCTACACAGGGCACCTCCCGTCGCCTCCCCTGGGAAAGGCTTGGAGACGGCATCGCTGCATGCTCCCCTGCCCCACCCCTCCCCCATCTCTGAGGAACAAGGTAAGCCACAGAGATGCAGGGCACCCCTCCTCCTCTCTCAGATCCCCAGAAACATACCTCCCCTCCCCGATCTCAACCTAGCATGTCTGGGGCTATAAAGACGTCCTTTCACTCCTAATCACAATTGATTGTCAATTAGACCCCCATTTGTGCAATCTCTGCCCATCTGCCATCTCGGGTTATCTCCAAGACACCAGCTTCACTTGCAGGGCCCCAGGTGGGCACTGACAGGTGAAATCAGTGCCGGGGGTGGGCTGCCCCTGCCTGCCCAGTGCACAGGAAACATTCCCTCCATTGCAGAGCTCTCCCCTGCTGCAGGTCCAGGTGGGGTCACGATGGGCTTGGGTGTGGGCGTTGGCAGGAACACGCCTGGGACAGGAGCAGAAGTATGGGTGGTGGTAAAGGGTCTTAGAAGGGAGCATGAGGAAAGGAGTGGGTGGGAGCTGAGACTTCGAGGATTTTCTCCCCAGCATTAGAGGTTTTTAAAGTTTGAGGGACAAGAGGAAGAGGGGGAGCCAGCCACCACTGCCACGAACTCAGCATGGGTTTATGAACCACCCCCCGCCGCATTTTTTTCATCTGTCAATTGTAGGGGTTGAGTCCCATGCGAGCTTCCAGGTCCTGATACCCTCCCCTCATGGGGTGAATGATGACGACAAGGTCACAGCCTTTTACTTGGTGCATGGAGGGAAGTCCCTTCTCTCTTTGCCTGGAAAGCTTTAGCTGGATAGGCTGGAAAGGCAGCAGGGTCCCAGGGGCTCTAGGGTTGGGCAGAGGCATAATCACCTCCACTTTGTATAGTGTTTGCCTCGTGCGAAGTGCACTCCACCCCACACTTGGCCCCACAGCCTCGCTGTGCACCTCCTTGCATCGGCCGGACGGGGGCGGGGGGTGCGGGCGGAGGACGGGGAAGGAGGCTCCTGTGTCCCCTCTTCTCGCCCCTGCACACACTCGCGCCACGGCGACCCATGTTGATCACCGGAGTTTGGGAAGTCAGAGGGGAGCCCTCTGCTTTCAGGCCTGGGTTCCTTCTCTAAGATATGCCCACTTAGGGGCCTGTGACTCCTCCAGAATGAGTGTACCACACTCGGGACACCAGAAGCGAGAGGGGACACAGGCTCTGACCTCGAGAGCACGTCAGCTCTGGAGACCCGCGGCCCCAGCCTCGTGTGCCTCCGCACAGGGCAGCTTCAGCACTGCGAACAGCGCCAGCACCGCGGACAGCGCGCTCCCACCTCGCCCCCGGAGGCCACGGGCTCGGGCCGTGTTCAGCACCGCGGACAGCGCCAGCAACTCCGAGGGTCTCCTGGCCTCCAGCCCGCCGTCTCTGACCTCCCTGCCCCGCCCTCGACTCCTTCTCAAACTTTGGGATGCCCCAGGGGAGGAAGAGGGCGGCAGGCTGTGTGTGGAGTCTTGGCACGGCGTACATTACACAGCCCGATCAAAAGCCAGCCCGTTCACCTCGACCAAGCCAGCATCCACCAAAGGGCCAGAAGTTTACCAGGCCGCTCACCGCGTGGGCTTCCATTCTCCTACCTGCAAGCTGCGCGAGTTAAGGAGGGAAAGCACGTGGCACAGGGCCTGGCTTCTGGCGAGGAGCCCACCAGAGATGCAAAGGTGAGGCTGAAACCCTTTAAACTTAAAAACAAGAAGATACAAACAATTGGAACAACTGGGGACATGGGTGCTATGTGGAGGGCAGGACGCCTGGCTTCCCATCAGGGCTGCAGAGGCGGCCGCGGCTGGCTCCCTCTCCCGGGTGCTGCTGGTTGAACTTGGAGAGCACCCTGGCTCCTGAGGGTTTACCGACCACAGGGTCAGGCCGGGGCAGGGATTACCACCTTACAGATGCATAGCCTGAGGCCAGTGAGGACCCACGCTGTGCTCAGTGCCCCTGGCCGGTAAGTGGTAGGATTTTTATGTGAACGCTGGGTTCCTTTCACACAGCGTTTTTCATGTGCAAAGTCATAGGTAATTGTGTGACTGGTCTCTGAGAGAAAGCATCCAAGCCCAGAGGGGTCCTTACTCCTCAGGCTCTGTCCCTCCAGACTCTCTCTTATTGCCCCTGCCCTCTCTGGCCTCTGCCTGCCACTGGCTACACTGCATGGGGCAGCAGCATGCCCAGGTTGGAGCCTGCCTGGGATGGCCACATTCCCTCCCTTGTCCCCAAGCTCCTGCTGGTACTCAGGGCTTGAAGCATAGGCATTCTCCTGTCTGTGGCTGCCACAGTCGTCTAGGGGTCTGTGTGGGAATCACCAGAGTCATGTTGCCTGGAGACACATGGTCAGGAGACCCCTCCTGAGTGGGGGTCTGGGGGTGCCTTGGCCGCCTGGCCTCTGCCTGCCACTGCCCCAGACTGGCTGCCTCCTGTCTGCTTTCCATCATTCTAAAATGTAAATTGAATAGTACTCCTCCCCTTCCAGAAGTGCCAGGGACCATGTCTAGGCTCTGCAGCCTGGTATCAGGGGCCATTCCTGGCTGGATCCTTCCAGCTATCCTGTATGCTCCCTAGGCCTGTACCCGGTACTCCAAGCCCCTCCCTGTGCCTGGATGGCCGAGCTGTCCTCTCTGCTGGTGGTTACTCTGAGCCCCTCCCTGTGCCTGGATGGCCGAGCCGCCATGTCCTCTCTGCTGGTGGTTACTCCGAGCCCCTCCCTGTGCCTGGATGGCTGAGCTGCCATGTCCTCTCTGCTGGTGGTTACTCCGAGCCCCTCCCTGTGCCTGGATGGCCGAGCTGCCATGTCCTCTCGGTGCCCTTAGCCACTCACTAGTGCACATGCATCATCCCTGCTCCCCTTCGTGGCAGCACCACCTGGAGGCCACCCTGATTTCCTCAAGTAAGGCAGGTGCCATCCTGTGCACCCCTCCAACCCAAGCTTTCACAGTTCTGCCTTAACACGTCACGTGACCTTTATCTGTTCACTGGCGGATCCCCCCCCCGCCCCCGTGCCCCCGAGACTGTAGAGGCAGGATGCAAAAGGCAAAAGCATTCTGGGACAGGGAAGAGTGAAGGGCCCAATGCTGGCAGGTGGGGCAGTGTTTCAGCCTGTGCACCCCACCTCCACCCTTTTAGTTGTCTGACATCCTGGTCCATCTGTCTAGCCCCTGGGCAGGGAAACGGCTCTGGCCACCTTGACTCTGTCCTCCACGAACAGTGTGGTCTGGCACTGATCCATTTTCTCCGTGTGGGCTGGTGGACCCCTGCTCTGGGCTGCTGTGTCATGGCTTAACTTGGAGGAACTTCCCTGGGCCCCCAGAGACACCTGGGAGCACACTACCCCCTCCTCCATGGCTGAGCGGCTGGTGGGATTTACACCCCCGAGCTGCCCTCGGATCAGGCCACGGGGGACTTTACAGAGAGGTATTTTTGTCCAGTTCTGGCTCTGTCTTTCCTGGACTCCCTCTTGATATCCCTGCCTTTGGTAAGTCCCGGGCATCTGAACACATCTGAATCCCTGCCTCTGGCTCGGCTTTGTCTTCCCCAGAGGCGGTGCAGGAAGAGGATGGAAACAGAGACCTGGGGAGTCCCCTGCACAGGGGGAGTGGTCATCCCTGCCATGCTGTGGAGCTTGGCTCCAGCTCAAATCAGGAGCCAGGATGTGTGGTGTGCATTCACAGTAGGGCCCGTCTTCCCTCATTGCAGCCCCATCCAACTGGGGAAGCGTTAATTGAATCAGCAGTGTGACCCATGGGAGAATTTACCCACAATTCTCCTCCCTTTACCCTCTCCGCAATCCATGGCCTTCCTCTGGGGAACAAACACTTCCAGCCACGCTGAAGCTGGTCTTGGCCCATGACCCGCAGTGGGCAGAGTGGTGAGGTGTGGGTTCTGAGCTCAGGCCATAAGGGCCCCCTGCCGGTTGGAGACCCCCCTCCATGAGAACGTGCTGCAGGGAGCAATTACTCCCTCAGCCTGGGACTTGGAATGAAGGCGTGGAGCCAACTGGATCCAATGCGAAGCCTTCATCCTGATGAGCCCACCAAGGGCAGACACACTGAGCCGACCACAGCCCAGAGCAGGAGACGGTGCCGCTTCGACCCTGTCTTCGGGGTTGTTACCCAGAGGCATTGTAGCAGAGACCACCCGCCTGGAAGAAGTGGTGTCCCTGGCCACTGCAGGCCGCTGAGTCTTGGGGTTGAGAAGACGTGACTTCAGCACCACCACCGTGCGTCTGCCTGGAGCCCACCCTCTTACCTGGCTCCCATCTCACCTGGCTCCTCTGCCTCAGTTTCTCCCTCTGTGACAGGGTTCCATGCGTTCACCTCTATCCTCCCCACCGTTACCCCAGACGCGGGTGCCAGCATTTCTTCCAGCACGCCGTGCCCCACGAGGAGCCCACTCCCCCGTTATCACTCACGGGGCTCCTCGTGGCTCCTCCGACAGGGTGGGCACTGTGGCGGTCGTAAGGGGCAGGGATGAGCGCGCTCAGGGAGACCCCGCGGTTACCGCAGCCTTTCAGGGAGGAGGGAGGCGGCGGATGCGGTCTGGGAGGGCTCCAGGCGTGAGAAGGCGGCCCTTGCCTGGCGCAGGGGAGCAGGGAGCTTCCAGGGTGGGTGCGGGGAGGAAGGAGGAGTAAGGGGTTAGAGGCCAGGTACACAGCAGGTGCTCAATAAACGAGTTCGGCACCGTCATCCCGCCCTGCAGGGCCGCTCTGGGTTCGGAGGGCGCGTAGGGAGGGCGGGTCAGGCCGCACAATGAGCTTAATTGAGGTTAATGCCTCCCGCAGCTCCGCGATTATTAAATTATCATCATCACGCGCGTGAATCATAATTAGGAGTTTGAGGAACGCTCCTGCGGAAGCCTTGGAGAGTGATTCTGGCGCCACCGCCTGCTTGGGGCCGCCCGCAGGGAGGGAGTCGGGGTGGGCGCGTGTCCGCGGGAGGGAGTCGGGGTGGGCGCGTGTCCGCGGGAGGGAGTCGGGGTGGGCACGTGTCCGCGGGAGGGAGTCGGGGTGGGCGCGTGTCCGCGGGAGGGAGTCGGGGTGGGCGCGTGTCCGCGGGAGGGAGTCGGGGTGAGCGCGTGTCCGCGGGAGGGGTTAAGGGTGGGCGCGTGTCCGCGGGAGGGGGTAAGGGTGGGCGCCTGTCTGCAGGAGGTGGGTGGAGATGGGCGCGTGTCCGCGGGAGGTGGGTGGGGGTGGGCGCGTGTCCGCGGGAGGGGTTAAGGGTGGGCGCGTGTCCGCGGGAGGGGGTAAGGGTGGGCGCCTGTCTGCAGGAGGTGGGTGGAGATGGGCGCGTGTCCGCGGGAGGTGGGTGGGGGTGGGCGCGTGTCCGCGGGAGGGGTTAAGGGTGGGCGCGTGTCCGCGGGAGGTGGGTGGGGGTGGGCGCGTGTCCGCGGGAGGTGGGTGGGGGTGGGCGCGTGAGCACGGGCTATTGCGCGCTCACGTGGCGCGCCCCCGGCTGAGCCCAAGGCCGGGGTCTCAGAAGGCCCCGCCCACCCCGCAGCGACCCCCCCCCCACGCCCCTCGCACCGCCGAGCCCCTCCCCCAGGGGCCGTTCCCTTCCGGGCCTGCACCGCCCCCGCAGCTGCCCTCCCCCCAGAGCAGCGCCCGCCCCCCTCCTCTCGGCGGTTGGGAGCCGGCCCCGCCCTCGCCCGCTCCCCGCGCCGCCCCTACATTTTCTGATTCTCTGCGACCTTCGCGGATCCCCCCGTCCCCTGCAAAGCCTCGGCCCCTCCCGGCACCCGCAGGACCCCGTGAGTGGCGCGTGGGTGTCCGTCCCGCGCGTCCGACCTGTGATCTCCGAGTGGGTGCGTGCGCCTGAGACCGCGCGGTGTGTCCGAGTGTCCGCATCCACGTGTCCCTACGATCGTGTGCATTGCGGGGCATCCACGCGTGTCCGTGTCCGTGTGTGACCGCACGGTGCATGCCAACCACGGCCTGTGTGAGCGTCCGGGCGTCCGTGGGTTTGTGCGCGTGGATGCGTGTGTTTCTGCTCCTGGCTTGAGCGTGTCCGGGGCCTCTGTCGTGGGCCTGTGGCGGGGCCCCTGGAGTGGGCCCCCTGGTCTCCGGCCGGGCTGCAGTGCCATGTGCGGTGTCTGTGTGCGACTCAGTCCCTCGGCCCTGTCCTTTGGCCCCTCCCCCTCACAGCCTCGTGGGCTTGGCCAAAAGGAGCCCCCCAGAAAAGACGAGGGATGTAGAGTCCAGCGTCCCCAAGGCAAGAGACAAGTCAGTCACCCCCTCCTCTTGAACGGATCCTCCTATCCCACTTCCAGCACTTCAATTCTCCATTTATTTTCCTCTCTGTTGCCGAAACATATTGAAGGGGAGAAAAAGGAAACATTAAGATCCACTGTGAGCTGCGCGGAGGTTTAACGATTTCAAATGAGGCCCGGCTCGGGTGAGGACCTGACAATTCCCCGTCAGGATGGCAGATGACGGCTAAAATTACCCGGAATCAATATTCTCACCGGGTGTCCCGGGCTGATAAGCTCCGCCAAGACAATGTTGACTATTAAAGTCGACAGCTTGAGATATTACACTATTAGTTATGCTATTTTTAATAATCTATAATATTTGGGCTATAATTAATTAATTATACGGGTCAGATAATATCTAGGGCTGGAATGAGGTCTGAAGGACCCATTACGGTGGTAATGAGAAAGGGGAAATCTAATCTGGGGACAGGTGCTGCGAAGGCCTGGGATACTGCTGCCCGCCTCGCTGGCCTCGTCCCCACCAGCAGGCCCAGCATGGCCCAGCTTCCTCGGACGCAGCCAGTGGGCACGTCAGGCAGGGTTGCTTGAGGTGGGGCCCTCAGCGGGCCAGGAGGACTGAGAGGCTGGGGTGGAGGGTGGGACTGAGAGGCTGGGGCGGAGGGCGGAACTGAGAGACTGGGGTGGAGGGCCCGCCCGCCTGTGTTGCTGGCCTGCAGCTGCAGACTTGGCCGGGGGGCGGGGGGGCAGGTGCCCACGTTCTTGGCTCTCTTTTGGGGCCTGGAGGGCCCCTGTCCCCCTCCGGCTTTCCTGTCTTTCTCTGAAGTGAGGGCCTGGCTGGACCATTCCCTGCATGTGTGGAGTCCAGTCCTCACCTCGAGCTCCTCCACCACCACCCCACACTCAGAGACTGAAACCCATGCCGGTAGCCAGAGTCCATGGGGCCGGCCGGGACTGCCCTGCCCACCCTTCCTCTCCTTTTCCTGGCTCCCACGACCCCACCGCACGGCCTCCCTGCTGCCTGAGGGGTGAGCGGGCCAGCTGCCTTCGCACTGGCTGTCCCCTTGTTCTGAAGTCACCTCCTCTTCATCTTCTCTTTGACATGAATTTCTCTGCTCTGACATTAGCTCTTCAGAGAGGCTGGATCCTGGCTGCCCTGGTCAACCCCCTATGCCCGCCAAGACTGCCCCCCAGTGCAGGATGTATTGACTTGCTGGTGGAATGGAGGACCCACACTGGCTCCGCAGTCCCGGGTCGTGTGCCTTTCAGGAGTGCTGCTGTCCCATGCCCAAAATCAGGACACACATGGTGGTCTGGGGTGAAATCTGAAGACATCACACATCACAGACACTGCAGCTTGGCGGCTGCTTTCCCCCTCGTCCTCAGTGCTGCAGGCAGCCTGGTGCCTGCAAGTGGCTCTGGTGAATGCAGCCCTTCCCTTGCTGGGCTTCCTAGTGGGGGCCTGGAGGTGCGGCCCAGTGAGTCTGCCCTGCCCAGTAGCTGTGGGCCTCAGACGCACCTGTCTTCTGGCAGCCTGAGGTTCTTTGGAACCTCCTGGCGGGGATCCAGGGGGCTTCAGCGGGGCTGGCTCGCTGTTTGAAACTCCACACCACCCCTTCCCTGTCAGGCCAGGCCGATCCCCTGCCCAGATGGCCCAGGTCCTCCTCACTGTCTCTGGGCATGGTGGCCGGGCAGTGGGCACCCTGTCTGTAGGGAATTTAAAACAATAGTGAGGCCAGGCACTGTGGCTCATGACTGTAATCCCAGCACTTTAGGAGACTGAGGTGGGCAGATCACCTGAGGTCGGGAGTTCGAAACCAGCCTGACCAACATGGAGAAACCCCAACTCTACTAAAATTACAAAATTATCGAGGCATGGTGGTGGTTGCCTGTAATCTCAGCTACTTGGGAGGCTGAGACAGGATAATCACTTGAACCCGGGAGGCGGAGGTTGCGGTGAGCCAAGATCACACCACTGCACTCCACTCCAGCCTGGGCAAGAGCAAAACTCCATATAAAAAAAAAAAAAAAAAAGTGAAAGCAACAAACGGGCTGCCTGCTTCCTCCCACCACAAGAGACGTGCTTCTGAACAATGTCCGTGACCAACACTCCTGCCCAGGAATGTGTTTTGACGGTCAAAGCTTGCAGTGGCGGCTGTGGGTACTGCCGGGTGTGTGCATGTGGACAGGTAGCATATGAGCATGTAAATGTCCTTTGCTAAGTGTGTGCCCTACACGGAAGCGAGTCTATAGAATCCCGGTTCACAGTTGCTTGTGGCCTGCCGATGCGGCCACACGCGTCCATTTTGAGAGGAGGCCTGTGGTTTGGGAGCGCGGTTCAATTTCAAGCTCAGCTCCTGTCCCCACCCCACCCCAGGTCCCACTCGTTCCTTTGTGTAAACAGTAGGTTCAAAATAAACAGATGGCACAGTGGCCGCAGAGACCAAGCTGCAGAACTTGGTGCCTCCCACCCTGTTCTTCCAGGCGCAGGCTGCCCGCACGCCTCGCGGCACTTACTCCCTCGGACATGTTTCTTCAAGCGCCTTTTTCTGCTAAAAATACATCCATGCCGAGAGCAGTTTGGCGTCCTGGACTGGACCCTGGATGACAGAAGGGACATTCGTGGGGGAAAAAGTCGGTGAAATCCCAGAGGGTGTGTAGTTTGCTTCATAGTGTGTGGCGATGCCGCTCTCCTAGTTTTGACAAATGTCCGGGGGTGACTTAAGAGGTGAATGTGGGCTGCCGTGGGGTGTAGGTGGGTGCTCTCTCATGCTCCTCGCAGCTTTGCTGTTAATCTAAAATGATTCCAAAAAGGAAATATTTATGACATTCATGTCATTAAAAAGCATCAACCCATTCCCTTTTTCCGATTTTGCATTATAATACGTAGTTAATTTTTTTACTAATAATATATAAATTCAATAAAACTTTCACCATTGGCATGCACTTTCTGTTGCTTGTTTCATTACATGGCAATTTCTGCCATAATTTTTTTTTCTTTTTAGAGGTAGGCTCACTCTGTCACCCAGGCTGGAGTGCAGGAGAGAGATCTTGGCTCACTGCAGCCTCGACCTTCCAGGCTCAAGGCATCCTCCTGCCTCAGCTTCCCAAAGTGCTGGGCCAATGATAACTTTTGTTTGCTTTTTGAGACAGGGTCTCACTCTGTCGCCCAGGCTGGAGTGCGGTGGCGCAGTCACGGCTCACTGCAGCCTGGAACTCACAGGCTCAAATGATCCTCCCACTTCAGCCTCCTCACTAACTGGAACTACAGAAGCCTCCACCTCACCCAGCAAATTACTGAACTTAATTTTTTTGATGTGCCCTGGGGTCAATACTCGAGATAGGTCCTGGTGGCTGCCTCACCAAAGGATGCCCCATTACGTCAGTCCTCCCAGCCCCTATCCAAGTGCCCATTTGTCATCACACTGAGGAGGCTGTGGGGTGAGGCTCCATGTCTCCTCCTCCACCTCCCCAACACGGCAGATGTGGGAGGCAGCTTAGGGCTGGGGATGAATAAGGGAATGTGAACACAGACACCACCCAGGACCACACCCCGTGATCCCAGCGAGGGGGGCTGGTCGTGACGGTATCTCTTTCCAGCTGTGACGAGGATGCCACCTGGGCTTCCTGCTGACCTGGCCGAACCCTGCCAGGTGTCTGTGAGGACATCCTGCCCTCACAGTGATTGTAGACAACCGTTGCCTTTTCTAGTGATCAAAGTAACACGTGCTCGTGAAAAAGCACAGAGGAGAAGCAGCATCTCCCATAACCCACAGCACAGCGACGGCCCAGCTCACACCTTGCCGTTTTCTGCTTTCCTCTCATCTCGTTTTCTGCTTCCTAAAAACATAAATGTTGGCCGGGTGCTGTGGCTTACGCCTGTAATCCCAGCACTTTGGGAGGCCGAGGCGGGCAGATCACTTGAGATCAGGAGTTCGAGACTAGCCTGACCAATATGGTGAAACCCCATCTCTACTAAAAAAAAAAAAATACAAAATTAGCCGGGTGTGGTGGCGAGTACCTGTAGTCCCAGGTACTCGGGAGGCTGAGGCAGGAGAATTGCTTGAACCCAGAAGGTGGAGGTTGCAGTGAGCCGAGATCTTGCCACTGCACTCCAGCCTGGGTGACAGAGCGAGACTCTGTCTCAAAAAAAAAAAAAAAAACCATAAATGTGGGCGCTGCACCTATAGCCTTGGGCACTTGGATGCTGGCCCCCCCTTGTATCCTAGGCATTTCTCGTTGTCATAGCAGACTTCGTAACACAGGTTCTTACCGGTCCCATAGAACCCTGTCACACGGAGGGCGTGAGCCGTCCATCCGTGTGCCTAGGCAGTCTGGCTTTCTGTGCCTGGAACCACTGCTGTGTAGATTCTTGTTTAGACTTGAGTTCACCTCTAGGAGACACCAGAAGTGATGGGTTGGGTTAAAGGGAGGGAATTCCTAAAGGCTGGGTAACGTCTCCGGCGTCACTGGCATGGGCACCATCTCACAGGGTGGCATCCCCGCCTCCTTCTGTGGCGGTTGCCATTTCTGTGGACACTGGTGAGAAGGAACATTTTCCCTCATGAATATTAGCCACGTAGCTTCTTTTTTTTTGTGAACTTTGTCTTCTTTGTGAGCTCTGTCTTTTTTCCATTTGGTCAGCTATTGAGGTTGTTTTGTGGGTGGCAATAGGTTAAAAAGTAACCTTGGGTTGGGCATGGTGGCTCATGCCTGTAATTTGGGAGGCCGAGGCAGGCGGAGCACCTGAGGTTGGGAGTTCGAGGCCAGCCTGGCCAACCTGGCGAAACCCCGTCTCTACTAAAAATACAAAATTAGCCGGGCGTGGTGGCAGGTGCCTGTAATCCCAGCTACTCGGGAGTCTGAGGCAGGAGAATTGCTTGAGCCTGGGAGGCAGAGGTTGCAGTGAGCTGAGATCGCGCCACTGCACTCCAGCCTGGGCGACAGAGGGAGACTCCATCTCAAAAAAAAAAAAAAAAGTACCCTCTACTATAACATATTTCAAACACACACAAAAATACAGCGCAGAGTAAGATCAGCTTCCTGGGACCTGTCACTCAGATGCAACATCTGTCAACATTTTGGTGTCAATATGGTTTTGTGTATCCAAAGCCACACCTTTATTCTGGAATCTTAAAATATACCTTCAGACATTAAGTTGCTTCACCTGTAAATATTTCAGGCAAGAAAAAGAAATAAAATGTAAACATATTGAAACAGAAAAAATAAAACTAGCCCTGCATACAGACGACATGATTATCTACGTAGAAAATCCCAAGGAAAAAGCACCCAGAATTCATAAGTCAGCAAGGTCAGAGAAAAAGCCTGAAAAAGGTCAATCTAATTTCTATATACCCACGATCAGTGATTAAATCCTAAAAATTCAAAAACATTTTATAATAGCTCCAGGTTAAGGAAGTTCCTTCCTATTCTTAATTTTCTGAGAAATTTGTAAAATCATTAACAGATGTTGCATTTTATCACATTTTTTTTCCGTATCCATAGGCTCATATGGCTTCTCTCGTTGCGTCTGTTGACATGGTGGATTGTGATGGCTGGCGTTCTCTGTTGAACAGCCTTGTGTTCTCAGGGTAAACCCCACTTGGCCATCATGTGCTCATGCTTTCCATGTTTCTGGATTTGATCGCTAGTGTTTTGTTGAAGATTTCCACATCTATGTGCCTGAGAGGTTTTGTCCTGTAGTTTCTTTTCTTGTGATGACTTTGGTGTTGGTATTAGGGGAATTCTGGCCCTGCGAAATGAGTTGAAAGTGTCACTTCCAGCCGGGCATGGTGGCACATGCCTGTAATCCCAGCACTTTGGGAGGCTGAGGCGAGTGGATCACGAGGCCAGGAGATCGAAACCATCCTGGCTAACATGGTGAAACCCCGTCTCTACTAAAAATACAGAAAATTAGCCGGGCATGATGGCGGGCGCCTGTAGTCCCAGCTAGTCGGGAGGCTGAGGCAGGAGAATGGCCTGAACCTGGGAGGTGGAGCTTGCAGTGAGCCGAGATCGCGCCACTGCACTCCAGCCTGGGCGACAGAGCAAGACTCCAACTCAAAAAAAAGAGAAAAAAATAAAATAAAATAGAAAGTGTCACTTCCACCTCTATTTTTTGATTAAGTTTTGTATAGAATTGGAGTTATTTTTATGTTTAAATATTTCGTAAGATTCACCAGTGAATTTATCTGGACCTGGAGTTTTCTTTTTTGGGAGGTTATTAACTATGGATTCAACTGCTTTAGTGGAGATAGGGCTGTTCAGGTTATTAGTTCTTCTTGAGTGAGTCTTGGTAGTTTGTGGATTTCCAATTGGTCCAGTCATCTGAGGTGCTGAATCCGTGCATGGAATGCTCCTTTGTTATCCTTACAATGCCTGTGGGCTCTGCAGTGACAGCCCCTCTGTTATGCCTGTAATGGGTCACTTGTATCTTCTCTTTCTTTATCAGTTTTACCTATTTTTATTGACTTTTCCAAAGAACCAGCTTCTGATTCCATTGATTTTATCTAATATTTTTGTTTCTATTTTTCTTAACATTTTATTTACTTATGTTTTTTGAGATGGAGTCTCGCTCTGTCACCCAGGCTGGAGTGTAGTGGCGCCATCTCAGCTCACTGCCTCTGTCTCCCAGGTTCAAGTGATTCTTCTGCCTCAGACCCCCAAGTAGCTGGGATTACAGGCATGTGTCACCACACCTGGCTAACTTTTGTATTTTTAATAGAGACGGGGTTTCTGCATGTTGGCCAGGCTAATCTCAAACTCCTGACCTCAAGTGATCCGCCCACCTCAGCCTCCCAAAGTGCTGGGATTACAGGCATGAGCCACTGCACCTGGTTATCTGTTTTTAATTCCACTGACGTCGGTTTTATCTTTACTATTCTTTCCTCTGATTGCTTTGGTTTTCTTTGGCTCTTGTTTGTCTAGTTACCTAAATTAGAAGCTTAGGTTGTCAATGAGATGTTCTAATATAAGCATTTATTGCTAAAAATTTCCCTCTAAGAGCTGCTCTAACTGCATACCAAAAATTTTGATATTTTAAATTTTCATTTGTATTTAGTCCAGAATGCTTTCTAATTTCTTCTAGGAGAACTTCTTTGATCCATGGATTACTTACAAGTGTAATTGTTAATTTCTCAGCCTCTGGGGTTTTAAAGGTATCTTTAGGTCATTCATTTCCAGTTTAAACCCACTATTGTCAAAGAACATGCTTTACATAATTTTAATTCTTCTAAATCTGTTAGTTTTGTTTTATAAGCCAGGATATGGTTTCTCTGGAGAGTTCCATGTGTACATGACAAGAACGTGTGTCCTGCTGCTGTTGGATGGCAGATGCTGTAAATGTCATTTAGAAATTGTTGGCTGATGGTATTGTTCTCCTGTATCCTCCCTCCTTATCTACCTAATTGTTCTGTTGATACTGAGAGGACTGTTGAGGCCCCAGCTAGAGTTGTGAGTCTGTTACTTTTCCTTTCAGTTAAAGGTCTGTTATGAGGGCAATACACGTTTAGGTTTTTATGTCTTCTTGGTGAATTGACCCTTTTGTCATTATGTAATGTCTGTTTACCCCTAATAATTTTTCTCGTTCTGAAGTTGACTTTATCAGATATTGTAGCCATTCCAGCTTTCTTTTGATGAACATTTCCCTGGTATATCTCTTTTATCCTTTAACTTTTAATTTACAAATATAGTCATATATAAAGTGGGTTCTGTGTAGCCAGCATGTAGTGGGATGGATATTTTTTAAAATTCACTGTAACAATCTCTGCCTTTTAATTGGGTATGTTTAGATTACTGACATTTAACATAACTGTGTTTGAGTTTAATTTTGTGGGTACAGAGTATGTGTGTATATTTATGGGGTACATGAGATACTTTGATACAGGCGCGCAAAGCATAAAAATCACATCATGGAGAATGGGACATCCGTCCCCTCAAGCATTTATCCTTTGTGTTACAAACAATCCGATTATACTCTTTTAGGTATCTTTATTTTATTTATTTATTTTTTTTGAGGCAGAGTCTCACTGTCGCCCGGGCTGGAGTGCAGTGGCGCGATCTCGGCTCACTGCAAGCTCCACCCCCTGGGGTTCATGCCATTCTCCTGCCTCAGCCTCCCGAGTAGCTGGGACTACAGGCGCCCGCCACCACGCCCGGCTAATTTTTTGTATTTTTAGTAGAGACGGGGCTTCACCGTGTTAGCCAGGATGGTCACGATCTCCTGACCTCGTGATCCACCCGCCTCGGCCTCCCAAAGTGCTGGGATTACAGGCGTGAGCCACCGCGCCCGGCCTCTTTTAGGTATCTTTAAATGTACAATTAAATTGTTATTAACTACAGTGACCCTGTTGTGCTATCAAATACTAGGTCTTATTCATTCTTTCTACCTGCCCTTTGTGCCCATTAGCCGTACTCCCACCCCCACCACCCTTCCAGCCTCTGGGAACCATCCTTCTACTCTCTCTGAGTCCAGTTGTTTTCATTGTTATCTCCCACAAATAAGTAAGAACAAGCAAAATTTGTCTTTCTATGCCTGGCTTATTTCACTTAACACAATGACCTCCAGTTCCATCCATGTTGTTGCAAATGACAGGATCTCATTCTTTTTTTTTTTTTTTTTTTTGAGATGGAGTCTCTCTTTGTCACCGAGGCTGGAGTGTAATGGTACAATCTCAGCTCGCTGCAACCTCTGCCACCTGGTTCAAGCCATTTTCCTGTCTCAGCCTCCTGAGTAGCTGGGACTACAGGCGTGCACCACCACGCCTTGCTAATTTTTGTATTTTTAGTAGAGACGGGGTTTCACTATGTTGGCCAGGCTGGTCTCAAACTCCTGACCTCAGGTGATCTCCCCACCTCAGCTGCCCAAATTGCAGGGATTACAGGCATGAGCCATGGCGCCTGGCCATGGATCTCATTCTTTTTTATGACAGAATTGTGTGTAAGTACCACGTTTTCTTTATCCATTCATCTCCTGGTGGACACTTAGGATGCTTCCAAATCTTTCTGTTGTGAACAGTACTGGAACAAGCATGGAAGGGCAGGTATCTCTTCGGTAACCTGATTTCCTTTCTTTGGGGTGTGTCCTCAGCAGTGGGATTGGTGAGTCGTATGGTAGCTCTCTTTTTAGTTTTTTGAGGAACCTCCAAACTGTTCTCCATAGTGGTTGCACTAATTTACATTTCCACCAGCGGTGTGTGAGGGTTGCCTTTCCTCCACATCCTCACCAGCATTTGTTACCCTCCAGCTTTTCGATAAAAGCCATTTCCACTGGGGTGAGATGATATCTCATAGTTTTGATTTGCATTTCTCTGATGGTCAGTGATGTCAAGTACCTTTTCACATGCCTGTTTGCCATTTGTATGTCTTCTTTTGAGAAATGTCTACTCAGAACTTTTGCCCATTTAAAAATCAGACTATTAGAATTTTTTTTCCTATACTGTTGAGTTCCTTATCTATTCTGCTTACTAATCCCTTGTCAGATGGGTAGTTTGCAAATATTTTCCCCATTCTGCAGGTAGTCTCTTCATTGTTTTGATTATTTCCTTTGCTGGGCAGACGCTTTTTAACTTGACGTGATCTCGTTTGTCCATTTTTGCTTTGGTTGCCTGTGTTTGTGGGGTATTCTTCAAGAAACATTTGCCCAGACCAATGTCCTGGAGAGTTTTCTTAATGTTTTCTTATAGCTGTTTCATAATTTGAGGTCTTAGATTTAAGTCTTTAAATCTACTTTGATTTGATTTTTGTATATGACAAGAGGTAGGGGTTGAGCTTCATTCTTTTGCTTATGCATATCCAGTTTTCCCAGAAACGTGTATTGAAAAGACTGTCTTTTCCTGAATGTAGGTTCTTGGCACTTTTGTTGAAAATGAGCTAATTGTAGGTATATGACTTGTTCCTGGATTCTCTGCTTGGTTTCATTGATCTATGTGTTAATGTGATTCCTACAATTGTTCTTTGTTTGTTTGTTGTTTTTTTCTCAGGATAGCTTTAGCTATTTGGGGTCTTTTTTGGTTCCATATACATTTCAGGATTTTTTTTCTATTCCTGTGATGTGTTATTGGTATTTTAATAGGGGGATTGCATTGAATCTGTAGATCACTTTGGGTAGTATGGACATTTTAACGATATTGATTTTTCCAATTCCTGAACATGGAATATCTTTTTGTGCCCTCTTCAACTTCTTTTTCTTTTCTTTCATTTTTTCTTTTTTCTTTTTTTTTTTTTTTTTCAGACAAATTATCTCTCTGTCGCCCAGGCAGGAGTGCAGTGGTGCAATATCGGCTCACTGCAAGCTCCACCTCCCGGGTTCAAGCAACTCTTCCTGCCTCCGCCTCCCAAGTGTCTGGGATTACAAGCCCGCCAAAACGCCCGGCTAATTTTTGTATTTTTAGTAGAGACGGGGTTTCGCCATGTTGGCCAGGCTGGTCTTGAACACCTGACCTCAGGTATCTGCCCACTTTGGCCTCCCAAAGTGCTGCGATTACAGCTGTGGGCCATCGCCCCGGCCTCCTCTTCAATTCCTATCATCAGTTACAGGTGTGAGCCCCCGCCCCAGCCTCCTCTTCAATTCCTATCATCAGTTACAGGGGTGAGCCACCGCCCCGGCCTCCTCTTCAATTCCTATCATCAGTTACAGGGGTGAGCCCCCGCCCCGGCCTCCTCTTCAATTCCTATCATCAGTTACAGGGGTGAACCACCGTCCCGGCCTCCTCTTCAATTCCTATCATCAGTTACAGGAGTGAAACACTACCCCGACCTCCTCTTCAATTCCTATCATCAGTTACAGGTGTGAGCCCCCGCCCCGGCCTCCTCTTCAATTCCTATCATCAGTTACAGGGGTGAGCCACCGCCCCGGCCTCCTCTTCAATTCCTATCATCAGTTACAGGGGTGAGCCCCCGCCCCGGCCTCCTCTTCAATTCCTATCATCAGTTACAGGAGTGAACCACCGCCCCGGCCTCCTCTTCAATTCCTATCATCAGTTACAGGGGTGAGCCCCTGCCCCGGCCTCTTCTTCAATTCCTATCATCAGTTACAGGGGTGAGCCCCCGCCCCGGCCTCCTCTTCAATTCCTATCATCGGTTACAGGGGTGAGCCACCGCCCCGGCCTCCTCTTCAATTCCTATCATCGGTTACAGGGGTGAGCCACCGCCCCGGCCTCCTCTTCAATTCCTATCATCGGTTACAGGGGTGAGCCCCCGCCCCGGCCTCCTCTTCAATTCCTATCATCAGTTACAGGGGTGAGCCCCCGCCCCGGCCTCCTCTTCAATTCCTATCATCAGTTACAGGGGTGAGCCACCGCCCCGGTCTCCTCTTCAATTCCTATCATCAGTTACAGGAGTGAGCCACCGCCCCGGCCTCCTCTTCAATTCCTATCATCAGTTACAGGAGTGAGCCACCGCCCCGGCCTCCTCTTCAATTCCTATCATCAGTTACAGGTGTCAGCCCCCGCCCCGGCCTCTTCTTCAATTCCTGTCATTGCTTTGTAGTTTTAATTGTAGAGATCTCTCCCTTATTTGGTGAATTCCTGGGTATTTAATTTTAACTATTTATTTCGACTTGGACCTAACACTTTATTATGAGTGTCTGTTGAGGCCTCTCACGTGGTTCCTCTACCATCCCTTTCCTGACTTCTGTCGGATTATTTCTATGTTGAAGTCTCCCACTTTAATTCTTCTACTGGGTTTTTTCACTACTTAAATTGTTTGTTTGTTTTAAGCAATCGTTCTGAAGATTGCAATCTACATGCTGAATTTGTCACAGTCTATTTATAATTAATATTTGCCACTTAAAATGGGAAGTAGAGAACTTCGCACCACAACCAGATTGCTCCCTTATACAGAAAGTTGTCTCATTATTACATCTATATACACTCACAACTTCCCCGGGTGTTATAATCATCATTACATCCATATACACTCACAACTTCCCCCGGTGTTATAATCATCATTACGTCTATATACACTCACAACTTCCCCCCGTGTTATAATCATCATTACATCTATATACACTCACAACTTCCCCCGGTGTTATAATCATCACTACATCTATATACACTCACAACTTCCCCCGGTGTTATAATCATCATTACATCTATATACACTCACAACTTCCCTGGGTGTTATAATCATCATTACATCTATATACACTCACAACTTCCCCCGGTGTTATAATCATCATTACATCTATATACACTCACAACTTCCCCCGGTGTTATAAACATCATTACATCTATATACACTCACAACTTCCCCCGGTGTTATAATCATCATTACATCTATATACACTCACAACTTCGCCCGGTGTTATAATCATCATTACATCTATATACACTCACAACTTCCCCCCGGTGTTATAATCATCATTACATCTATATACACTCACAACTTCCCCCGGTGTCATAATCATCATTACATCTATATACACTCACAACTTCCCCCGGTGTTATAATCATCATTACATCTATAAACACTCACAACTTCCCCCGGTGTCATAATCATCATTACATCTATATACACTCACAACTTCCCCCGGTGTTATAAACATCATTACATCTATATACACTCACAACTTCCCCCGGTGTCATAAACATCATTACATCTATATACACTCACAACTTCCCCCGGTGTTATAATCATCATTACATCTATATACACTCACAACTTCCCCCCGGTGTTATAATCATCATTACATCTATATACACTCACAACTTCCCCCGGTGTTATAATCATCATTACATCTATATACACTCACAACTTCCCCCGGTGTTATAATCATCATTACATCTATATACACTCAAAACTTCCCCCGGTGTTATAATCATTATTACACGTATATACACTCACAACTTCCCCCGGTGTTACAATCATCATTACATCTATATACACTCACAACTTCCCCCGGTGTCATAATCATCATTACATCTATATACACTCACAACTTCCCCCCGGTGTTATAATCATCATTACATCTATATACACTCACAACTTCCCCCGGTGTTATAATCATCATTACATCTATATGCACTCACAACTTCCCCCGGTGTTATAATCATCATTACATCTATATACACTCACAACTTCCCCCGGTGTCATAATCATCATTACATCTATATACACTCACAACCTCCCCCGGTGTCATAATCATCATTACATCTATATACACTCACAACTTCCCCCGGTGTCATAATCATCATTACATCTATATACACTCACAACTTCCCCCGGTGTCATAATCATCATTAAATCTATATACACTCACAACATCCCCCGGTGTTATAATCATCATTACATCTATATACACTCACAACTTCCCCCGGTGTTATAATCATCATTACATCTATATACACTCACAAATTCCCCCGGTGTTATAATCATCATTACATCTATATACACTCACAACTTCCCCCGGTGTTATAATCATCATTACATCTATATACACTCACAACTTCCCCCGGTATTATAATCATCATTACATATATATACACTCACAACTTCCCCCGGTGTTATAATCATCATTACATCTATATACACTCACAACTTCCCCGGGTGTTATAATCATCATTACATCTATATACACTCACAACTTCCCCCCGGTGTCATAATCATTATTACATCTATATACACTCACAACTTCCCCCGGTGTCATAATCATCATTACATCTATATACACTCACAACTTCCCCCGGTGTCATAATCATCATTACATCTATATACACTCACAACTTCCCCCGGTGTCATAATCATTATTACATCTATATACACTCACAACTACCCCCGGTGTTATAATCATCATTACATCTATATACACTCACAACTTCCCCCGGTGTC